>NC_000011.10:46120606-46423636 GCF_000001405.40 Homo sapiens | reverse complement strand
GGCAGATCACAAGGTCAGGAGATCAAGACCATCCTGGCTAATACGGTGAAACCCCGTCTCTACTAAAAATACAAAAAACTAGCCGGGCGTGGTGGCAGGCGCCTGTAGTCCCAGCTACTCAGGAGGCTGAGGCAGGAGAATGGCATGAACCCAGGAGGTGGAGCTTGCAGTGAACCAAGATCGCACCACTGCACTCCAGCCTGGGTGACAGAGCGAGACTCCATGTCAAAAAAGAAAAAAAATAAAATAATAAAAATTATAAAAATTACATCAACATTTTGTGAATTCTGAATTCCAACATAGAATATAAAGGTTTGGAGACAGTAAAAGAAATTAAAGTTTTTAAAAAGCAATCAGGCTTTCCTAGGGTCGAAGAAACTCAATAATTCATTGATCTAAGCAGATCAACAGCTGGAAAAGAAGAAAAGATGGCCAAGGTATTTCTCCCACTGCCACTCTAGGATATGTGCATTTCTCAGCCTGTGACAAGATATGTAGCCATCCATTTCCAATGGAAAGGTCAGCTGTCTCTTAGCATCTGCTTTCTATTGATTTTTCCCTCTTCTCAGTTGATTCTCTTCTAGTAGCCCTCACTAAAACCTTAAGCCTTCCTTAATTCCCATCATTACCCAGAAGGCATCTTTCCTCCTCACAGTTCCTTTCTTCCTCAAAGCCCCCTTGCTTTGCACCTTGCACCTTTTTCCACAGCTCTTCTAGCCTCAGTTTCCAGTTGTCCGCTTCCTCCAGCCAGCTTCCATTGTCTTAAAGAAGATCTGCCAACTGCACTTGACCTCTGGCCACCACTGCGAGGTTTTAGCTTTACAGATGATGAGATTCCCAAATGTAAACAAAATAACCATAAAGTTTTTCTTTTAGCTTCTTATCCGGGCTGATCTGAACAGTGCCGTTTGCTGCTTGAACTACTCGTCTGAGTTTTATTGGCATGCAGTAGGGGAAAAAAAATACGACCATCTTGTTGAGGGCTGCAATACCTTTTTCCTCTTCATTTTAAAAGGATGGAGAAGAAGGTTTCCCGCTGACCTCCTGGCTCCCTCTCATTCTTTTCCTGTCTATCTTTGAACAAGAAACAAGACACTTTTAGTTTTGATCTGAGAACTGTTTTCTTTTGCTCTCACTTCCTATTAGAGTTTGAGGGGTAGAGAGGCAAGCGGTACAAGAGATTGTCTTGGACACCAGAAGTGGAGCAATCATTGTCTTCTACTCTCTTAGAACCACAAAGATCTTGGCAACCAGACTCATTCCCTATTAACATGCTGAGACTGCACTAACTCTAAGAAATTTCTTCTTTCTAGCATATTGATTCTATTTCCCTTCATAGATGTTAGACAGAAATGAGAACAATCTACTTTGGGAAGAGGGGTTGCTGTCAGCATTCGTCATATACCAGGGAAGAGCTGCAGTGGAGACAGGTGAAACCAGGACTCGTCAATCATGAATCAGCAGCTGGGTTTTGTATTCAGCCCCACAGAGGGTCCCCTGTTCTGATAATACGTCCGGTGTAATAGAATTTGGTGGTGTAGCTGCACGGCATGTCTCTTGTGTCAGAGAGAAGAGTGGGGGACAGGGTGGGTGTTCAGCAGGCCACCCAAGCTTTGTTCTGAACATCCCATGGGGAGCTTCAGGGCACATGACTAGTATTAAAGAAACCTTTACTTGAGATGTTTTTAGGGTGTCTGTACATGAAGACCAGAGCCATCTCTTATACTGTCTTTGTCAGTACTGATGACCTTTGGGTTTACAGAGCCAGTCCCCGTGGAAATCTAAAAGGGGACTCACAACTCACCCAGTCTCTGGGTTAGAAAGACTGATGACCAAAACCGTAAATGGTTTGGGATTAGCAGAGCTACGTAACCATCTGTCAGTACTGAGAAACTTGTCCAGATAGTCTCTCATCTGTAGGGCTAATTGTGAGAGGTATTTCCCTTCAGTGAGGTGGACTGAGAGCTGTTCAGCTTTGGCCCGGGAAAGGGGTAGACACTACATCTCTGGGTGCTTTTCAAAATGGGCCAGATTCTCATTGTTCAAGTGTCCATTGGTTTCAGGCATGTGTGAAATCAGGATGATTGGACCAGATGACCTCTCAGCCTATGGATCAGTGATTAACCTCCCATTCTGCACCCTCCATGCCCTCATCTCCCTCCTTCCCACACCGCACTAGAGTGTGCTAAGCAAGCAAGTGCTTATCAGGATCCAGGAGGCTGCTGATCTTTGTGCGGCATTTTCTGGCTTCCTGCCACAAAGCAGGATTTAGCCTAATACCCAAACATGGGAAGAGATGTGCACTTGAGAACTGCCCTTTCGGCACTGTTTAAGGACTCGAGCATGAGGGAGTGCCATAGCTGGAGGACAGATTGATGCCCCCATGACTCTTGCCACTGCAGAAGTTGGGAAGTGGCTAGCAACAACCCGGGGGTCTCAACATTTCATTACTTCTCTCCAATCCCTCTGTGACCTTGTCTCACCTAAGCTGGGTTCATCTATCATATTGGCGTCTTGAGGGTTTTGTCCCCAAAGGAAGTTCCTATACTAAGAAGCAAATAGATAATATTTGCCTGTTAATCCCTGTACAGCAACAAATGATAAAAGGTAAATTTGTGACAGAGGCTTGTTTTGTTACTTTCTGGTCTGGAACATTTCTAGGAAAGAGGTCTTTTATTCTTTTGTTTCAGACCCCCATTTAAAAAACGCAGCACAGCAACTTAAGCATCTGATTACTAAAGTCTTATTATTCTCCTCGTAAGGCTACTTTCTCTGGCCCTTTTGCCCCATTCCCTACAATTATAAATCATTGTAGTTTCAGGGGAGACTTTGTTGTGAGGCCCATGTAGAGCTACCACAGGCTCAAAACCAAGGTGCTCCCCTCATGCACCCATTGAGGTTAACCCTCATCCCTCCTTAACTCTGGGTGTGCTCTGCTCACACCATCTGACCTTTGGAGAAGGAAAACTAAACAGATTAAGTGATCCCAGCCACAATTGTCTCATCACACCCACATTGTCCTTTTAGTGTTAAAAGTTAAATGGCAAGTTGTGTTTAACCATAAAGTCTATAGGTTGGACAGAAACCATTGGTTATCTTCTGAGAAGGTGAAAACCTCCATGAGAAAGAATAAAGGTGCCACACCTCATTGCTTGATTTAAAGGCAAAATATTGATTAGGTGCAAAGGAGAAAGAGTGGTATTACCATATCTGTGCCCGTTCAGACAGTGAGGCTGAGTGAGAATAGCAGCCATGAATTTGTTTGAGACTCCTGCCAGCCAGGAGGAGATGATCCAAAGGCCAAGCAGCCAGACTCCAGATAACTACGAGAGAAATTCATTAACTTCATCGGTTTCTTTTTTAATAGTCTCCTCAGTTAGAGCAAAGATTTAAGGAGCCTTAACGAGTTCCTTACATTTGGAGTTGAGTCCTACAGGAAGGGTGTAGGAGGTTCCTAATGCAGCTGCCACAGGGCAGTCAGTGCCGTGCCTCAAACCTGAACCAGTTCCATGTCTGTAAAAGGCCCATTTGACCTCAGGACCATAGCTAGGCCATTCTGGAAGAGTACCATTTAGCTACCTGGGCACATTTCTCAGCACCACAACACCTGGAAGAGTGTGTGTGTGTGTGTGTGTGTGTGTATTGAGGACACGTGCTGCTGTCTTTTCCATTCTGGAGGCTGTCCTGTCAGAGGCCTTTCAGATACGTACCCAAGGCACATGAACATGTGTTCTCAGATCCAGGGCTGCTTATCACTTGGTTTGCATAAATGGAGTGGACCCTTAGTTCAGACTCAATCATCCCTCCCTGCCTTCCTCCCTCCCCACCTTCATCCCTCATCAGGATAGTCAGAAAAATAATTATAATTGTACCACTCTAAGTTCATTTTATGAATATTACTGTCTAAACCACATGCTCATTTGTTTTCTCTTTTTTTCCCCTTCTATCAACCCTGGGGGCAGGTAAAGGCAGATGAAATGAAGTTCATATTTGATAAATTAAAAACTGGGGAAGCAAGAAGGGAAATAAACTCCAGTTTATAGAGTTTCAGCTTCCTGTCGTTTTCATAGGCCCTGATGATCATTTGTGAAGAGACTGAGATACAGGTTCCTGGTTGCAATAATAGCAGTTACTATTTAGGAGCTTGCACCATGGCAGGCATTTTATACATCATCTCTTTTAATCTCCCAAATTATTTGAATGTATGTGTTTGTTCTAAGTTGAGATCTAGAGATATTGTTTTGTAGTGGCATCAGGACTCGAACCCAAGTCTTATTAACTCTAAAGCCCATGTCTTTTATTCTTCCACTGACCTGCCCCTATCTCTGATTAAGTTGCTTCTAAAACATATCAGAGAGTGGTGAAAGAGACTGTGAGGCCATAGTTTACCTTCAGCCCAAACCCTACATACTTAGAAAATATGCCGCTCAGAAAATATTAGCTTGGAAAAAGAGAAACAATCAATTTAACGGTGATTTATATAAGCTAGAAACAAGTTGTGTGCCTGAATGTTCACGATTCCCCTCTGCTCCGCTCCCTCCATCTTAATGCACCTTTTAGGTTTCCTTAACAATAGCAGTTTTAACATTGCTTTTAATTAGATGAATTAAGAATGTTCTCTGATGTTATCACCCCCTCCCGCCCCCCTATCACCTCCAATTCCCCATTGCTGTGAGAGCACTGTGGTTACCATGGTAACAGGACTACCAGCCAAGGCTGATGCTCACTGGTTGGCCTGGTCAGAGGAAAGTTATGGGCAGTCCGTCCTGGTATGGTGGGCTTTATGGGGCTTTCCAGGGAGTTAATTTAAAAGCAATGAAGTTAGTTAGCTAAAAGGCTCTAAGGAGAGCGCATTATTAGAGCCATAGAGTCCCCTAGTATTTCTTAAAAGAGACCTAGCTCTCCCCAAAACTAAGAGAATCCCATCTCTCCTGCTGCCCCAAGTTCTCAGGCATGAGTTAAGAGTCATCCTGTTCGAAAACCAAACACCGCATGTTCTCACTCATAGGTGGGAACTGAACAATGAGAACACTTGGACACAGGAAGGAGAACATCACACACCGGGGCCTGTTGTGGGGTAGGGGGAGTGGGGAGGGATAGCATTAGAAGATATACCTAATGTGACTGACGAGTTAATGGGTGCAGCACACCAACGTGGCACGTGTATACATATGTAACAAACCTGCACGTTGTGCACATGTACCCTAGAACTTAAAGTATAATAATAAAATATATATAATATATAATAAATATATATATTTATATATAAATAATAAAATATATATTTATATAAATAATAAAATACATATTTATATATAAATAATAAAATATATATTATATATTTATATATAAATAATAAAACATATTATATATAAATAATAAAATATATATTATATATATTTATATATAAATAATAAAATAGATAGATAGATATAGAAAAAAAAGAAAAAAAAAGAGTCATCCTGTTCCCAGCCTAACCACCTCCTTTCCTCCTTCTAATTTGTTTCTCCCTGGATTTTGTTATTCTTGGTAACAAATTGTTTCTCCTCCCATTCTCTTTTTTTCCCTCTTTTCCTCTACCTAGAGAGTTTTCAACGTCCTTTATCCCATGCCTGCCGACCAGCGGAGACATGTCAGTATCAACTCTGCCCGTTGGCTGCCTGAGCCAGGGCTTGGCTTGGCCTATGGTACTAACAAAGGAGACCTGGTGATCTGCCGACCAGAGTAAGTGGCTTAAAGTGTGGGGGTTGAGGGATCACTGGGGCCGAGGACTGGGGTAATCAGTATTCACCAACTGGGGTCTTTTAGAAGGGAAATGTCAATCCATCTAGAGCCTGCCTCATTCTCAGCGCCACTCCTTAAAGGGCCCTCTTCCCACAGGGGCTGGTAGGATTAGCTCCCCATTTCACATTTCATCCAGAGACTGATTTAGTGATCATGTTTTCTTGAATCTAAAGGCAGTATTTTTTTTTCTTTGTTTTCCCTTGTTCTCTGGTTTCCTAGTGATACTAAAGTTTCCCTGCAGTCAAAAGCATAGATATCAAAGATTCTTTTTTAAACCCTGCTAGAAAAATTCAACAGGTGGTCTTGGGTTTGAGTAAATACCGTAGACTTTAACTTAAAAAGAATTGGAAATAGGTATTGTTGAAACCCTAATTTGTTAAGCCACTGATCTCTAATAGCCGATCTCTAACTGATCTCTAACAACAATTCTGTCTTGCTTGTTTTCCTTTCTGCTTGGAGCTCTAGCTTATACTAGTGAAAGCAGATTGAAAAGCTCAATTTGGGGCTGGGCACAGTGGCTCATGCCTGTAATCCCAGCACTTTGAGAAGCTGAGGCAGGCGGATCACGAGGTCAGGAGATTGAGACCATCCTGGTCAACGTGGTAAAACCCCGTCTCTACTAAAATACAAAAAATTAGCCGGGCATAGTGGCACGTGCCTGTAGTCCCAGCTACTCAGGAGGCTGAGGCAGGGGAATCGCTTGAACCTGAGAGGCAGAGGTTGCAGTGAGCTGACATCATGCCATTGCACGCCAACCTAGCGACAGAGTGAGACTCTGTCTCAAAAAAAAAAAAAGAAAAGCTCAATTTACAGTCAAAGCAATTATTATCTGGTCTTGAAGTAGGGAGTAGGAGGGGATTTGTGTCTGAAGTCCTGATGACACCCCTTCCCCTTCCTCTGGCTTTATGGAGGTCAGAGTTTCTCCAGGCATCCATTCATTAGAGACGCTGGGAGTCAGCCAGGTCTGTCATCAGTTTCCAGCCTCAGCCAGGTGGAGAGTGTGAAGCTCTGCCTCACTGCCGATCAGGTTGATTGCTGCGTGGGACGCTGCAAGGTTCCAGCCGACTAAATGCCACTTCTGCCTCCAGGCTGTCCTCATGTTGACCTCCACTTGGTGCAGAGTCTTTTCCCAGAGTGTTCTGCAGATCACAGAGTGTGGTGTGACAGTTCCAACAGGGTCTCTGGTTATCGGAAGTGTCCGTGTTGCCTTTTGATGGGATCCTTGATAGTTTCTCCTAAAGGATGTATTTGGGTCAGCTCATGTGGCCTGGTAGGGAAGTGCTGATTGAGTCCTTATCGGCTGAATTAGGTCAGTGGCCTAGGAGAAAGGAAAACTGGTTCTTAGGGCAGCTCTTGCATTCCATTTTGAATTTTTTGAGCTCCTCCCAAAGACAGACTACTGTCTAAGCCTAGCCTGCTCAGGCTGCTCTTGGAGCTGCAAGAATGTTTTGTGTTGCAAGCCACTTGCTCCAGAGACCATCTTTCACCATCTCTGGAGCATCCAGAGAGCATTTTCATTATCTCCTTGGGTCTCTCAGTTTCTGCCCTTCTTCTGGCCTGTCCCTAGTCCCAGGATCTGTCCTGAAATACTCCTTTTCCCCAAAGCACATGATGCTGATTGTCTTATCTCTTTTCTTAACAGTTCATAAGAGAAATCTAATAAGCATCTTTTCCAAAACTGGCACAGAATTCTGGACTATGATTCTACTCTTACTTACACTTCAGTTACAGGCCTTTCTTTCCCTGTTTCTCCAAGACCTCTTTCCTCAGCAGTGTTGTTTTGTCTATGGCTTCCACCACTAACTTTTGTCCCAGCCAAATTTCTAGTCCTCTCCCTTGCAAAAATAATCTACACCCAGTTTGTTGTGGCCTCATAAAGGTTTTTATGTCTGAAACCCCAGCCTGCCTACTTTGTGTCAGTCACAGTCACCTCAGCCAAACATGAAACTGACTTTGGCTTCTGTTTTCTCTTTTCTCCCCATATGTTGCTCCAGCATCCCAGAGTCTCAGCTGGCCTAAGCCATCTTGGGCTGCCTGGGGAACTCTCTTACCCACCAGGAACTCAAGCCTCTTCCCTGAGTAAGATGGCATTAGCACTGGACACATTGAACAGTGTCCTGTCACAGACCAAGTTGTGTTGGACTAAGAAAACTAGTTTAGCCCATCTTTTTTGGTTGCTGTTTCTCCTGACTTCTTGGGTCAGGTTGGCAAATGCCTCAAGCCTTAGGGCCCAAAATGTAAGGGTACCATATAAATTGGACATGGACATGACTTAAGTTCTTCAAAGCTTAGGCAAGGAAGACTGTGTGTGAGCAATATACACCTAAGGAAGTTAAGACTCCTCTGAGGCCTCCTAACAGATGACAGAACTAGAATTCCTCACTTTACTATCCAGAGCGCTTTTCACTCAAAAACCCCTTTAAAATTCTGACGAAAGCAATGTACAGTCTTCCACAGAAAAATATGCCACAATAACACACACATACTTTTGTAACTCTTTAAGACCTCAGGTAAAGAATGCAGCTTTAGATTGTGTTGAGACATTTCAGCAGGTCAGGCATGGATGCAGGTGGAAATGAGAGAGGATCAGTGAGCGCATTCATGTCTTTTGAGCGGTCTACAGATGAGTGGTCTCCAGTCTCAAATGAGGAGAACAAATAGGGAAGTAGGAGCTCAGGGTTCTTGTGTGTCTCATAGGCAGCTGCCTATCCCTGGGTGATACAGCTCCCTGGCACACCCATTCCCAAGGGCACAGGATCCAGCCAGCCAGCTGGGCCAAGATTGCAGCCCTCCCTCCGAAACAGGTGGCTGTCTGCCTTTGTCCCAGGCACAGGCAGCTGCACCCCATTTTGTGCTCTCAATACTGCTCTTGATTTCTCCTCCATTGTCTTTGCCTCAGCAGTCTCTCCAAGCACAAAGACAGAGGAACAAGCTCCTTGGGCATCTCTTGGTGGTACTAAAACCCACTTGGCAGTAGACTAAGGCCTTCAAAAATCCTCCATCTCTCCAGGGGAAGGAATTCTTAGGACAGGCAAGAAGACAAACAACTGGCCAGTCAGCCCCTCTACAAAGCCATCCCAGGGGCTGATAGCGCAGTCATCCCGCCCTTCCTGGCACTGAGGCGCTCCCTCCTCCTCTGCTCCCCCACCTGCACTCTGCCCAAGCTGCTGCTGTGCCTCTGGCTGCCTGCCAGCCAGCCAGCACCCCCACTGATAACCATGGGGGGTGTGAAGTGCCAGGTTGATATGAGGGGGTGCTTGCTTACTTCCGGCCTCATAAACCAGCCCTACAAATGTGATAGGGGGAGGTGCTGGCGGGAAGCCCACTGCCTCTCAGAGTCAGCTCAAAGGACAGAATCAGGGGACTCATGGCAGAAGAGAGGTGGGCTGAGACTATGGGGCATCTGGCCCATTGGCCAACTGTGGGGCTCCTGACAAGGCCCCAGCTCTGTCCCTTCTGTAATCATGGTAATTATAGTCAAGTATCATCACCCAGGGAGGGGAAAGCATGCCTCCGAATCAAAAGGGAGCCAAAATTGCCACGGAAACCACATCTTTCAGGCGAGGCTCTAAGAGCCAGGTGCTGGCTCTTTCCCGCGCTGCAGAGACACCAGGCATCTTTGGTCTGATCCTCTCCCGTCGTGTCACTGATAAATGAAAGAAGAATGTTATCCAAGGGAATGGTCCCAAGAAGTTGGGAAGTTCAGAGCCAGAAGTTCTGTGAAGAGAGCATCGTGACACTGAGGGAGCTCAGGTCTGTTCAGGGAGCCCTTGGAAGGTCTCAGCATGGGGAAGTTGTTGAGCCAGGCCCAGAAGCACAGCTTCCAGATGCTGTGGAGGAAGCCAGGTGTGAGGTGGAAGCCCACTGGAAAAGGCTGGCCCTGATTGGACCTCCTAGCCTTCCTCCTCCCTTGGTGTATTTGTGTAGTTCCCAGGAAGAACCCAGAGCAAACAGTGACTCATTCACCCTCACTGAGACCCAAGAAGACACCAGGACATGTTGGGATCATTCTTTAGCTCACAGACAGTCAGTGACACTGGGTATTGAAAGCTAAGAGTTTCAGGCCGGGCATGGTGGCTCATGCCTGTAATCCCAGCACTTTGGGAGGCTGAGGCAGGCAGATCACCTGAGGTCAGGAGTTCGAGACCAGCCTGGCCAACATGGCGAAACACTGTCTCTACTGAAAATACAAAAATTAGCCAGGCATGGTGGCACACACCTGTAATCCCAGCTACTCGGGAGGCTGAGGCAGGAAAATCACTCGAATCTGGGAGGCTGAGGTTGCAGTGAGCCGAGATCACACCATTGCACTCCAGCCTGGGCAACAAGAATGAAACTCCATCTCAGAAAAAAATAGAGAAAGAAAGAAAGAAAGCTAAGAGTTTCAGTAGCCAGAGAGGGTGTCTTCAACTCTATTCCTTGGTACAGTGTCTGGAATTGAAACCAAATCCATGAGCTCATTGTAGTCCAGCTCTCTGACCACAGAAAGTAAAGCAAATCCAGGCTTAGAATTAGACCTGTTTGTGGGGAGCAGAAAGGATTGGGATGGGGAGGCATAGTGGAGCAACACATCTGAGACAGGAAGTACGGCCCCTGTTCTGTTGGCAGTGGACCTCTTCAGTCAGTAGCCAAGGTCACAGCCCTGAGCCGATGATGCTCCATGCTGCTGCCTGGATGGAAAGCATTCGAGGGGACCTTTTGGCCACCAGCATTATGCTGACAGTCCCAGCTCAGACAGAAGGCCTTCTTGTGGCCTCTTTTCTGAGGTAGGAAGGAAGGTTCCGGGTCAGGAAGTACATGGTTTGTTGTAGGTCTGATGTGAACAGTTTGTTGTCACTAACCAGCCCTGGCTAGCAAGAATTCCAGAAGAGGGATTTGGCAGGGACCCATGTGGTATTGCAACCTGTCAATACATCTTGACAAGTTTGTAAATCAGTCTTCCTGGCAGCCAGCTTCACATAGTATCTAACACAGACAGGATTTGCTCACCAAAAACAGAGATGAGTTTGTTTTTGGAGGCCTCTGCTGTTACTTCTGGCCATTTACCTCTTGCATAATGTAAGGTAGCCTTTTCTCATCTTTGCCCTCCAATGCCCATCTGGTTCTCAGACAATCCCCAAACCCCACAAAAATGGCTGTTTAGAAGAGGAAGGATAAACAGTTGGCCCTTGGTATCTGCAGGTTCCACATTCATGGAGTCAACAAACCATAAATCAAAAACATTTTGGGGAAAAAAAAACAGTGAAAATTAACAATACAATTAGTCTGGGAACGGTGGTTCACACCTATAATCCCAGTACTTTGGGAGGCTGAGGTAGGCAGATTTTTTAGCCCAGAAATTTGAGACCAGCTTAGGCAACATGGTGAAACCCTGTCTCTACAAAACAAAAAACAAAAAAAATTAGCCAGGCGTGGTGAGGCACGCCTGTAGTACCAGCTACTCGGGAGGCTGAGGTAGGAGAATCACCTGAGCCCAGGGAAGTCAGGGCTGTAGTGAGCCGTGATCACACCACTGCACTTCAGACTGGGCAACAGAGTGAGATGCAATACAGTATAATAACTATTTGCATAATTTACATTGTATTAGTGCAAGTAATCTAGAGATGATTTTAAGTATACAAAAGGATATGGATAGTTTGTGTATTAGGGACTTGAGCAACCATAGATTTTGGTATCCACAGGGGGTCTTGGAACCAATTCCCCAAAGATACCAAGGGACAACTGTACTGCTTTTTAAAGAGGTGGCCTTTGGAATTACACCAACTCCACAGCCTGACAGGCCCCTTAAAAGGAGCTGGGAGAGGTTTACTACAGCGCAGTGAAAAGAAGAGCACTTTTGTTTGGCTGTGGCTCTTTCCCTTCAAAGAAGCAAGTAGTATTCCCTCAGGTGAAGCCTAATCATAGTTACCCTCTAAAAGACAGATTTGGGCCGGGCATGGTGGCTCACGCCTGTAATCCCAACACTTTGGGAGGCCGAGGTGGGAAGATCATTTGAGCCCAGGAGTTCAAGACCAGTCTGGGCAACATAGTGAGACCCCACCTCAAACAATAAAAAATAAAAAAAAAATTAAAAAGACAGATTTGGGCTGGGCGCAGTGGTTCATGCCTGTAATCCTAGCACTTTGGGAGGCCAAGGTGGGCAGATCACTTGAGGTCAGGAGTTCGAGACCAGCCTGGCCAACATGGTGAAACCCCATCTCTACTAAAAATACAAAAATTAGCCGGGCGTGGTGGCACACATCTGCAATCTCAGCTGCTCAGGAGGCTGAGGCAGGAGAATTGCTTGAACCCAGGAGGCAGAGGTTGCAATGAGCTGAGATCATGCCACTGCACTCCAGCCTGGGCATCAGAGTGAGACTCCATCTCAGAAAAAAAGGCAGATTTGGAGGCTCAGTGCCTGGTTTTGTTGCCTTTTACCTGAGGCAGCACAGCCTCCTGGGACCTCCTGGGACCTCCTGGGACACAGTCCCTCGTCTTCCAGGCCCTGCCTGGTCTCTGTCCTAGCCAACACCCATGTTTAGGAAGGAAGCACCTCCCAGCATCCTATAATACACTCACTTGGGGATGTTTGCTCTTTATGGAGGTAACTTCTGTTGTTAAAGGAGGGTGACCTAGGCCTCTAGGTTAAATAGCTGACTTTTGGTGAAGTTTGTCTTCCTCCGCTCAGGCCGCCCCAGGGGCGAGAGCCTGCACTGTCTTTGTTTTCTGAGGCCTCTGCTTTTCTTTTTTTTTTTTTTCTTTTTTTTTTTTTTTGAGACAGAGTCTTGCACTGTCACCCAGGCTGGAGTACAGTGGCGCGATCTCAGCTCACTGCAACCTCTGTCTCCTGGTTCAAGTGATTCTCCTGCCTCAGTCTCCTGAGTAGCTGGGACTACAGGCATGTGCCACCACGGCCAGCTAATTTTTGTATTTTTAGTAGAGACAGGGTTTCACAATGTTGGCCAGGATGGTCTTGATCTTGTGACCTTGTGATCTGCCCGCCTCGGCCTCCCAAAGTGCTGGGATTACAGGCGTGAGCCACTGGCGCCTGGCCAAGGCCTCTGCTTTTCAAGACTAGGCATGCCCATTGGGCAGGGCTGTCCATGGCTCTGTATCTCTCCAGTGGGCCTCACTCCAGCCTCACATTTGCCATCTTAGTTCCTTTCTCTGTGTCTGAAGAATACTCAGGACCCACTGCCTGTATCTGTTGTTGCTATTTTTTTAGCTGTCTCTTAGCTCCGAGGAGGAGCCGGTTAGGCTTGTCAGGGGGAAGGGAGAAGCTAAACCCACCATTCCAGGCATTTAGGCTATTAGAGATTTGTCTGAATTGATCCAGCACTGAGCATCCTGATGAGGCAGCAGCTCTGGTCTTGGTTTCAGCTCAGCCCCAGGAGAGAGAAAGGATGGGCAGCCACAGTCCACAAAGCCAGGAGTTTCAGGAGCTCTTATCCTTCCCTCTCTAATGCCTTTCACCTTCTTCTTTACCCTTCCCAACTGATTTTTAGGGCCTTAAACTCTGGTGTTGAGTACTACTGGGACCAGCTGAACGAGACGGTCTTCACTGTCCATTCCAACAGCAGGAGCAGCGAGCGGCCTGGGTATGTTTGGGAAGTAGGCAGGGAGCAGCTGGCTGGAGGCCCATCCCTTCCTCCTGCTTTTGATGGGCTCTTAAGCAGCGCCCTCTAGGGCTCTGGGTCCCTCCTCAACCAGAGCAGCACCTCCTTGATCTTTTGTGTACAGTTTCATTTGAGAAAAGTGTTGTGTGGCTAAGAAAGAGAACAAAAGCTCTGCTCTCAGAGTCTTGCTGTAGAACCACCCCCTGGCCCTCTCCCATCCTGGCCATGGTGCCTGGGCACACTTGGGGTGAGGAGAGAAGATAGGGCCTGGAGAAGGATGCCGCCCCATGAAGTCTGCTCCATGGCCCAGGCTCTTCCAGATGACCAGGACCTCAGGGACCAAGCTGCCCAGGGCTGTAGCCCAGGGACAAATCCTCTTGAGGCACCCATTAGTAGAAATCTGGTACTGATCCTTTCATCACTTAATTCACTAATGAAGACTGGAACAAAGCGCTGGGTTGTTGATAAACCCAAAGCAATTGCTACTTCCCCTAGGAATTGCTGAGCATAGCTGGAGGAATAGTCCCAGAAGCAGCTAGAAATGTGAGTGTCTGGTGATAGTCTCAAAAGGCCTGGGCTGCCTCTGCTGCCAGCTCCAGCTATTCCAAGGCAGTGCCTGGGAGATGCCCAAGGAAGGGGGATGCTAGCATTGGCCAGAACCTTCCTTGTAGGACAGCCTGTGCTCCCTACCTGCAAGGGTCTGTTTTCAGAAGGCCCTGGAAAGAGGATCCCAGAACAGCCTCATAAGAGTTCCAGTCCTGGATGGGCGCGGTGGCTCATGCCTGTAATCCCAGCACTTTGGGAGGCTGAGGCGGGCGGATCACGAGGTCAGGAGATGGAGACCATCCTGGCCAACATGGTGAAACCCCTCTCTACTAAAAATACAAAAATTAGCCGAGCATGGTGGTGTATGCCTGTAATCCCAGCTACTCGGGAGGCTGAGGCAGGAGAATCGCTTGAATCCTGGAGGCAGAGGTTGCAGTGAGCTGAGATTGCGCCACTACAGCCTGGGTGACAGGGCGAGACTGTCTCACCAAAAAAAAAAAAAGAGTTCCAGTTCTTTCCTTCCAAAGTGGAGTTCTCAGTTCACTTGCAAATTCAAGAATTCAAAGTGGAATCTTATGAGCATACAGTTGGAAGGAAGGTAAAGCTAAAGAGAGAAAGGACCTTCTTCTAGTGCTCACTCTTTATCCCATGATCTCAGCTACTGGCCTCCTGAATTTCATTAGTCTTTTCAGATCAGCCATCTCTACAGCTCCTCCCCACTCCCCGACAGGGGCCTGTTGTTGAAGGGCATGACTGAGTGAGCCAGGGTTGCAAGATTGGATGTTTCTGTGGCCTTTCATTGTTCTAGGGTATAGACTAACCTTGGGGGAGAATGGACACAGACAAGTTAACCACCATCAAGATGTAGTTGCAGGAGCACAGGGCTTCTCTTAGCCTGCAGGGCCTGGCCCACACTGCCCTGAGGATTGGCACAGAGCCAGCAGAGTGCTGTGAGGGGTGCTGTCCCAAGCCCCATCTGACTTTAGTCTGCCTTTCTCTCCCTAGAACCAGCAGAGCCACATGGAGGACAGACAGAGACATGGGGCTGATGAATGCCATTGGGCTTCAGCCCCGGAACCCTGCCACCTCAGTGACATCTCAGGGCACCCAGACTCTGGCCCTTCAGCTGCAGAATGCCGAAACACAGACTGAGAGGGAGGTGCCGGAGCCAGGGACAGCCGCCTCAGGTCCTGGTGAAGGTAGGAGCCATGTGGCGCTGGAGGGGGTGGGAGAGGGACCCTAAGACCGAGTGAGTGCCACTTCCCACTCAGGATGCATACCCCCTCCCATGTCTGGGTGATGCCCACCTGGTGGCATTAAGAGCCTCCTCAGCAGCGACATGGTTTCCCTGAGCTGGGTCACTCTTGCAGCTCGCCTCAACTCCCACCAAGTACACTGATGTCCCTCTCCTCTAAAATGTGAGGACCCTGTCTCTTTTTCCAAAGAGAGAGCACAGAAAGCCTGGATTGAAAGGGCTAAAGGGAGACTCCCTCCTGCAAGCTGCCATTCCAGAGAAGTACACCCCAGGCCTTAGCTTCTGGGGCCAAACCACAGCCTAGCTTGTCGTCCCCCTACCAGTGTGGCAGATTTGGGACTGCCCCATGGGAGGACCTCTCACAATCCTGTCACACCTGGGGCTCGTTGACATTTTGGCTGCAGCCTGGCCTATCATCAGCCCCTTCCTCTCACCTATTTCAGGTGTGGCTCTGCCACACTCGGCCCTGACTCTCTGTGCCAGCCTCACACTTTTAAAAACCAATTAGCACTTCCCAGCAGCAGAGTTCGAGCCACTTAGGAGTCCGTCAGCAGCTGTGTTAAACAGGCTGTTCTCACTCAGTTGCTATCCTCACCCCCTACCTCCAGCCCCCTTGCTGATCCTAGCTCCAAACAAAGCAGCCTCCAAACAGACACATTTTCTAAGTCTGTGTTGAGCCATTTGCCCAGAAGAGACCATGGGAGGAAAAGCCACGGTGCACGTCAGGCAAAGAATAACAAACGTGCCTATCACCCCAGGGAATGGCTTTCTACACCGCAGTCCCCAACAGGGTATTGCGTGGTCGCTTGCGATGCCATGAACTGAGAATTTTCAAAGTGAAGTCCCTCTTTGGTCTGTAGCACAGCCCACCTCCTGCATTTGTGCTTGGTGGAAGCCCCTCGCTGGGGCCATGACCATAAGGTGGTGCTGGCTGGAGCAGCCAACCTCCGCTGTGAGCCTCTGGGAGGAGGTGGTGGAAGGCTCCTTCTGCCATCTTCAGGCCCTTTTTTGCAGGTTTCTGTGGACTCTGAGCTGCTCTGGAGTCCATTAGGCCTTTTCCAGGAAGCCTGAGGGCCAGGCAAAAGGGAACCACCACGGGCTTCTCAATGGAGCCAGCAGGCCAGCCCTCTCAGTAGGAGGCAAACCTCTCAGAGCTCCCAGTAACCCCTGACAGCGAGAGGGATTTGGAGAAGTGGGCCATTCTCTTAGGCAGCCCCTTCTTTTTATTTTTATTTATTTATTTATTTATTTTTGAGACAGAGTCTCACTCTGTCACCTAAGCTGGAGTGCAGTGGCATGATCTCGGCTCACTTCAGCCTCTGCGATCTCAGCTCACTGCAACCACCGCTTCCCGAGTTCAAGTGATTCTCCTGCCTCAGCCTCCCAAGTAGCTGGGATTACAGGCATGTGCCACCACTCCCGGCTAATTTCTGTATTTTTAGTAGAGACAGGGTTTCACCATGTTGTCCAGGCTGGTCTCGAACTCCTGACCTCGTGATCCGCCTACCTCGGACTCCCAAAGTGCTGGGATTAAAGGCGTGAGCCACCGTGCCTGGCCTGTTTTTTTATTTTTTGAGATGGAGTCTCACTCTGTCGCAGAGGCTGGAGTGCAGTGGTGCAATCTCAGCTTACTGCAACCTCTGCCTCCCAGGTTCAAGTGATTCTGTCTGCCTCAGCCTCCCGAGTAGCTGGGATTACAGGCTCCTGCCACCACTCCCAACTAATTTTTGTATTTTTTAGTAGAGACGGGGTTTCGCCATGTTGGCCAGGCTGGTCTTGAACTCCTGACCTCAAGTGATATGCCCACCTCAGCCTCCCAAAGTGCTGGGATTACAGGCGTGAGCCACCATACCTAGCCAGCCCCTTATGTGTGTTTGTAGTATGTATATATGTATGTGCAAATAGCAGTCACTGGAAGAGAGTGTTGTTTGTTTTGTTTTGTTTTTGAGATGGGGTCTCACTATGTTGCCCTTGCTGGCCTTGAACTCCTGGGATCAAGTGATCCTCCCACCTTGGCCTCCCAAAGTGCTGGAGTTACAGGTGTGAGCCACCACACCCGGACCTTTTTTTTTTTTTTTTTTTTTAATTTAAAGATAGAGTCTCAGCTGGGTGTGGTGGCTCACGCCTGTAATTCTAGCAACTTTGGGAGGCCGAGGTGGGCAGATCACTTGAGATCAGGAGTTCAAGACCAGCTGGCCAACATGGTGAAACGCTGTCTCTACTAAAAACACAAAAATTAGCCGGGCATGGTGGTGGGCACCTGTAATCCCAGCTACTGAGGTGGCTGAGGCAGGAGAATCACTTGAACCTGGGAGGCAGAGGTTGCAATGAGCCAAAATCACACCACTGCACTCCAGCCTGGGCAACAAAGCAAGACTCTGTCTCAAAAATAATAATACAATAAATAAATAAAGACAGAATCTCAGCTGGGCATGGTAGCTCACACCTGTAGTCCCAGCACTTTAGGAGGCCAAGGCAGGAGGATCTGTTGAGTCCTGGAGTTCAAGACCAGCCTGGGCAACACAGCAAAACCTTGTCTCTACTAAATATACAAAAAATTAGCCGAGCATGGTGGCACGCATCTGTAGTCCCAGCTACTCTGGAGGCTGGAGGCAGGAAGATTGCTTGAGCCTGGAAGGTGGCGACTGCAGTGAGCTGTGATATGCCACTGCACTCCAGCCTGGAAGACAGAGTGAGACCCTGTCTCAAATATAAATAAATAAATGAAATAAAGATAGAGTCTCACTCTGTCACTCAGGCTGGAGTACAGTGGCACCATCATGGCTCACTGCAGTCCTGAACTCCTAGGCTCAAGCGATCTTCCTGCCTCAGCCTACTGACTAGCTGGGACTACAGGTGTGTGCCACCATGCCTGGCTATTTTTTTAATCATTATTTTTTTTTAGAGATAGGGTCTCACCGTGTTGCCTGGGCTGGTCTTGAACTCCTAGCTTCAAGCAAGCCTCCCTTCTTGGCCTCCCAAAGTGCTGGAATTACAGGCATGAAGCACTGCACCCGGCTGGGCAGCCCTTTCTGATTTGATTTCACTGAGCTTTTACCATGTGTCAGCCACTTGGTAAAAGCGGTGAAGACAAGTAGGCCTCTCTGTCCTTCCATGAGGAGCTCGCAGTCTAGAGAGGGAGATGGGCACCTAAACTGATAATTGTTTTAGTGTGATGAGGACCTCTGGAGCATAGAGGAGGAGGGGCTTTGCCCAGCCTGTGGGGTTTAGGGGAGACTCCTGGAGGAGGTGGCCCTGAGCCTAGTCTTCAAGGATGAATAGGAGTCAGGTGAAGTAGGGTGGTGGGGAAGCATTCCTGGAGACATGTCTCAGCACATGAAATGGCACCAAGTTCAAAGACATGTTACTGCATAAAGGACCACTAATTTGTGTTCATGGCATGTCTGGTGCATGTGGAGAACTGACACTGGATGAGTGGGGAAGGCAAGTTACTGGGACTGGGCTGGGAGTGAGGCCTTCAGCCTGAAGGTGACATGCTGGGGCTCTGGGAGCAGGAGCTGCCACCTTCAGAAGTATGTCTGCTGGTGTTTCACCTCCCAGAGAATTCTCTGCTGTTTTCTTGGTTAGCATGCAGCCCATTTCTGGCTTCTAGTCAATTATAAGTTCCTTTCATTCTTTTGGGGGGATGGGGACAGAGGGTGGGGCAGAGGGAAGGAGCTCTTTTCCCTGGTTTTAGGAGGCAAGACCTGGTTCCTCGCCCCACTATCCCCTCCTCCTGTAAAGTAGAGTAGGCGGTAGAGGATGGCCCCAGCTAAGCTGAGGCTCTGGTCAGCGGGAGCAGCAGGCAGAGTGAGACCGGGCAGCTGGCTGCTTCTGCCTGCCTGCATCCCTGCATGCTCTGCGTATACCCTGTACCCACAGCTGTTCCACACACCATACCCCTTTCAGAAACCAGTCAGGGCAGGGGAGGTGTGGGTCAGAGGGTATGGGCACTTGATGGATGGGTGTCATTCTCCAGCCTTGTCCCTCCTAGGGCAAGGAGCCTTGCTCTGAGGCACTCACACCACTATTGTGCTGTCAGACTCTTCAGGGGAGCCCAGGGATCAGGGCTCTCTTTGAGCCCAGATTTCCCCATGCAGAGGCAGCTGGCAGGTTTTGTATTGACAAAACCAGAGCTGCAAGAGCATGGATAGTGAAACCCTCTGGTCAGGGAGTTCAGCTCTTCTGGGCTGGGCTAGAAGGGAGATCCCACCTGTACTCACACCTGCTACAGGCACCAAGATTTATTTATTTTGTTTTTATTTTTTGAGACAAGATCTCGCTCTTCCATCCAGGCTGGAGTACAGTGACACGAACACGGCTCACTGCAGCCTCGACCTCCTGGGCTCAAGGGATCCTCCCACCTCAGCCTCCTGGCACACGCCACCACGCCTGGCTAATTTTGTTTATTTTGTTTGTTGTAGAGACAGGGTTTCACCATGTTGCCCAGGCTGGTCTCGAACTCCTGGGCTCCAGTGATCCTCCCACCTTGGCCTCCCAAAGTACTGGGATTATAGGCGTGAGCCGCCACATGCAGCCACACAGATTTATTAATGTGGGAAGCCTGCTCTGCTTGTGGTAATTGCTGTTCTGTGCCCTGCCCCTCCCCACTCCCCTTGGCCCTTTTCTGTCAGTTAGCACCAAAGGGCTCCTAGGCTACTTCTCATTTTCTTGTTCTATAAAAATGTGGTTGAAATCCATTCAGCTCTTTCCAGGCCTTCCAGGAGGAGCCCTCCACAGGGGTATTTGCACGCGTCAGCTTTTTTGCATGTTCAACTTTAACAAGAGTTTGACTTCTCCCAGAATTTGACTCTACAGCAAGCTTTCCTACCCTGCTGGCCAAGAGCATAGCTCGAAAAGGGAGGGAAGCATTTCCTGGGCTCACCGTTGGCTTCCAGCACTGATGACAGTGCCTCCCTAGCTTGCAGTGGGCATTCAGGGCAAGCATGGAATTAATGAGTTTAGCTGAGCTGAGGCAAGGCCCTGCCTCTGAGCATGGCTGTGCCCCACTATTTGGAGAGCACCATGGCTGTGCCCCTGACCCGTAGCAAAGGTCATCTGAGCCTCTGTTTTGTCTGGTGAAGATGGTCGGTAGACCAGCAGCAGTAGCCTGGGCCCTGGGCCAGGAAAAAGCAAATGTGAAGAGGGAGGGGCTGGAAGACCAGTACTCCCAGAGGTCAGGAAGGGCAGCTCCTCCTGTGACTCTCTGAGCCTCAGTTCCCTCTTTGGCTCTTCTGGCAATGAAATCTCTAGAATTAAATATGGTTGTAGGGCATGGTGGGAACTTGTTGATCCTACCCTGGCCTCTGCTTCTAGAGTGTACCTTAGGACTTGCCAAGGAAGAGACCTCATGTGAACTCTAAATCAATTTCCTATTTTCAAAGACAAAAACAGATGCTTTTGCTACAGAGGAGGAGACTGCAGAATTAACCCCCTGTCTGCCACTGTGCCTGGATCCCTGACTGTAACTGCCATTTCCCTCTAGCCCTGGTATTTTTTCTCTTGAAGAATGTGCCAGCTCTCCTCAGTTGCTCTTAGCCTTGGCTTAGAGTTCCCAGGAGGGAAGCATAGCTCATAGTTCTGTAGGCTGAAGCTGTCCACACCGAGCCCTGGGGGAGCCATTTGTTTGTACATTTTAAAATCTTCCATTCATTCTTTTTTGAGCACTTACTTTGTGTCTGGTATTGTGTTCGGCACCATGAATTCAAGGGCACTGTGGAGGGAATTACATTGAGATGAATCCATTGTGTCTCTTCCCTCAAAGAGCAAGTCCAGAGAGAACTAGACATGTAAGTGCTTCTCCAGTGGCTCATGCCTGTAATCCCAGCACTTTGGGAGGCTGAGGCAGGCAGATCACAAGGTCAGGAGTTCGAGACCAGCCTGGCCAATGTGGTGAAACCCCATCTCTACTAAAAATACAAAAAAAAATTAGCTAAGTGTGGTGGTGCACACATGTAATCCCAGCTACTCGGGAGGCTGAGGCAGGAGAATTGCTTGAACCTGGGAGGCGGAGGTTGTAGTGAGCTGAGATCTCGCCACCGCACTCCAGCCTGGGCAACAGAGCAAGACTCCGTCTCAAAAAAATAAAATAAAATAAATGCTTCTCCCACAATGGGCAGTTACAAGACCGGTTTTCCAAGCATCCTTAAGTCTGGAGCCCCTGTGAGGAGCCTGGGAGCCCTTTTATTAATACATACATGTATTTGACAAATACACGCCCAGTGTAAACCCACGTGTTAGACTTGGCTGAAAAGAGAATACAGCTGAGTCCAAGACCTTCAGGAACTTATAGGCCAGAAGAGAGATGCCACAGCTACGGGGAGTTGTGAAGCACTGTGAGGTCCCAGAGAAGGAGCATCCCCTTCTAGCTGGGGGACCAGAGAGAAGTGGGTGGCAGAGGAGATGGGACGAGAGCATGGCACAGTGTGCACAGTGTATGCCCATCTGTGCAGGCAGGGAGCAGGGCTGCCGGGTACCTGCAGGAATGTGGGGGACAGGGCAGGAAGGTCTGCAGCATGATAAGGGTCTGGCCAGAGAGCCCTCAAATGTCAAGCTAAGGAGTTTTGACTACTGTGAGGGCTTTTGCAGCTGCTGGGTTTTGAACAGGGTGCAGACTTAACCAGAGCTCAAGTCAGCAGAGCTGAATTAGGATGGTAATAGGAACAGTGTGGAGACTAGACGGAAGGGGAGGAGACTGGAAGCAAGAAGCCCAGTTAGGACACAGTCATAGCCATAGAGAGGGGTGGCCAGGCCTGGAGCCATAGGCAAGCAAGCAGTGGGCTCAGACTTGAGTGCCAGCAGCAGGGCCTCCCGCAGAGCCTGGGAAAGCCCATCCGGGGCTCTCTGGGGGCTTGGCTGCAGCAGCACCCATAGGGCCCCAAGGCAGCCTGTTCTGCCCCTGGTAATCTACTTGAGAAGAGCTGAGCTGGGTGCGGTGGCTCATGCCTCCCAGAACTTTGGGAGGTCCAAGTGGGTGGATCACAAGGTCAGGAGTCTGATACCAGCCTGGCCAGCATGATGAAACACTGTCTCTACTAAAAATACAAAAATTAGCTGGGTATGGTGGCACATGCCTGTAGTCCCAGCTACTCGGGAGGCTGAGGCAGGAGAATTGCATGAACCCGGGAAGTGGAGGTTGCAGTGAGCTGAGATCATGTCACTGCACTCCAGTCTGGGCGACAGAGCGAGACTCTGTCTCGAAAAGAGCTGAGAATTCACTAGGCACAGCGCCTGGCACAGTGCACTCCAATGCCAGCAGGCCTCAGGCCAGCCACAGCACGCCCCAGACCATGCTGCGAGGGCTTCAGTGCACAGAGTTCTGAGAAAGCATTGGGGCTACAGTGAGCACAGGGAGGGCCCCAGGGGACCTCCCCAGGCAGCCCTTGGCTCCCAGGGTAGAATCTCTGTGGGCACCAAGGCCGTAGGTTGACTTTTTTCTTCTTACCTTCTGCCCCACTGTTAGAAGGCTTTAAAACCTGAAGATGGGGTTGACCCAGTACTCTGAGAGCCCTTCAGGTTTTCTCTCCTTCTGCCCTGGGAGCTGGAGCCGGGTGTCCCAGGAGGAAGTGGGGAAGGGCAGCCACCTTGAGGGATGGAGGGCAGTGCTTTATCAGGGGTTGTCCAGAAAAGCAAGAGAGGACATAATGCTGAGGAAGATCGTCTAAGACTGGGGCTGGGCGCAGTGACTCACCCATGTAATCCCAGCATTTTGGGAGGCCAAGGCAGGAGGATTGCTTGAGCCCAGGAGTTCAAGACCAGCCTGGGCAACACGGCGAAACCGTCTCTGCAAAAAGTACAAAAAATTAGCCAGGAGTGGTGCTTGCCTGTACTCCCTACTACTCAGGAGGCTGAGGTGGGTGGATCACTTGCACCCAAGAGGCTAAGCTACAGTGAGCCATGTTTGTACCATTGCACTCCAGTTTAGGTGACATAGCGAGACCTGGTCTCAAAAAAAAAAAAAAAAAAAAAAAAAAAAAAAAAAAACTATAGAAAGAACTAGAAGCATGAGGCTGCCAAGTACCAACAAGAAGGGTGAGAGATCTCTTGGGGCCTTAGATGCCACCAAGCTGTGAAACTGGCTGGCCTGGAAATCCAACTCTAATGAGGCAGGCAGAGAGAAGGGGATGGATGGGGTTAGGGGAGCAAAGAAAGTCTCATAAAAATAGCTGCTGGCAAGTACCCCAAAAGGAAAGAAAACTCACCATCAAAACCCCCAAAACTGCAAAATTCCAAACAGTAGCTGATGGAGACAAATCAGCAGTTCAGTGGAGCCATCCCTCGCAGCCTCAGAGCCTTGATCATAGTTGCCCACGGTCTTGGCCTGGTTCTCACCCTACCAAGAGCTGAGCAGAAAGCTGGAAGGGAGGTCCCACAGCAATAGAGCTCCACTGCTGCAGACCCCAAGTTAATCACAACAGGCACCGTTGACCAAGTGCCTGGGCTGTGCGTTAGCTCCTTTTCTCTCTCCAGCACCGTGCAAGGTAGATGTTAGGGATTTTTTTCAAGGTCACCCAGCAAGCAAGTGACAGCTGAGATTTGAGCCGAAGTCTTTTCTGTTCCCACACAAGGGAATGCTCAGGCATTTCTGCAGAGGGAGTGGCGGACAGATCCTTCTCTCCCTCCCTAGACCTGGGTCCTGTGCTGGTCAGTTGACTCTTTTCCGGGAAATATGGCATCAGGCATTGAGCCCCAGGAGAACAATAACTGGGGAATAGCTTGTGAAGACTGGGGGGTAAAGGGAAAGAAGAGAAGGAAACAGCCCTTCCAAGGAACAGTTAAAACTCTCAGCTTCTGACCAGGCACGGTGGCTCACGCCTGTAATCCCAACACTTTGGGAGGCCTAGGTGGGCGGATCGCCTGAAGTCAGGAGGTCGAGAGCAGCCTGGCCAACATGGTGGAACCCCATCTCTACTAAAAATACAAAAAATTAGCCAGGTGTGGTGGGAGCCTGTAATCCCAGCTACTCAGGAGGCTGAGGCAGGAGAATCGCTTGAACCTGGGAGGTGGAGGTTGCAGTGAGCCAAGATTGTGCCACTGCACTTCAGCCTGAGTGACAAGAGCAAAACTCCATCTCAAAAAACAAAGGCTGGGCACGGTGGCTCATGCCTATAATCCCAGCCTTTTGGGAGGCTGAGGCAGGCAGATTACCTGAGGTCAGGAGTTCGAGACTGGCCTGGCTAACATGGTGAAACCCCGTCTCTACTAAAAATACAAAAATTAGCTGGGTGTGGTGGCGGGCACCTGTAATCCCAGCTACTCGGAGGCTGAGGCGGAAGAATGGCTTGAACCCAGGAAGTGGAGGTTGCAGTGAGCTGAGATCGCATCATTGCACTCCAGCCTGGGCGACTAGAACAAAACTCCATTTCAAAAAAATAAATAAATATGGCCAGGCGTGGTGGCTCACGCCTGTAATCCTAGCACTTTGGGAGGCCGAGGAGGGTGGATCACCTGAGGTCAGGAGCTCGAAACCAGCCTGGCCAACATGGGGAAACACCATCTCTACTAAAAATACAAAAATGAGCCAGGTATGATGGTGCATGCCTGTAATCCCAGCTACTTGGGAGGCTGAGGCAGGATAATTGCTTGAACCCGGGAGGCGGAGGTTGCAGTGAGCCAAGATCACACCACTGCACTCCAGCTTGGGTGACAGAGCAAGACTCTGTCTCAAAAATAAATAAAATAGGCCAGGCGCAGTGGCTCACACCTGTAATCCCAACACTTTGGGAGGCTGAGGTGGGCAGATCACGAGATCAGGAGATCAAGAACATCCTGGTTAACATGGTGAAACCCTGTCTCTACTAAAAATATAAAATTAGCTGGGTGTGGTGGCGGGCACCTGTAGTTACTCAGGAGGCCGAGGCAGGAGAATGGTGTGAACCCAGGAGGTAGAGCTTGCAGTGAGCTGAGATCGCACCACTGCACTCCAGCCTGGGTGAAAGAGTGAGACTCCATCAATCAATCAATCAATATAAAAATAACTCTCAGCTTCCTCAGGGGCTTTGAGGAGGTAACACAAAACTACGCTGAAGGAAGACAGCATTGTAATGAAGCAGAGCAGACTGTTTCCCTTTGGGCCACACCCATAGGGTACCTACTCTCTTTGCAGAGAAAGGGTGGCATACCCCAGCTCAGCCCTAGGTCTGCTGAGTTTCCACAACAGGGAGCAGGCAGACAAAACCAGCTGTCTGAACCTGCCTTCTCGCATGCTAAGCTGCCACTGGTGCTGAGAGAACTCATTGAGGCCAACCTGCTGCCTTCTGGGCCAGTGCTGCCTCTTAACTGGCCATCCTAGGCCTCAGTTTCCCCACCAGTAAAACAGAAGTATGGATTGTGAACATTTTGGGGGTTTTGTCTAGCTTTCAAGACTCGGATTGGTTTTCACAGTGATGGAGCGAGTCTTTCTCTATCCTGCGTTTAGTCAAGAATCCCCCAGCTGCTACCGGTGGCTGCCCACCTGCCTCAGAGGCCCAGGCCAGCAGCCAATTCGCTCTCTCTTCTGCTTTGTATCTGCCAGGTGAGGGTTCAGAGTATGGTGCCAGTGGAGAAGATGCGCTCAGCAGGATCCAGAGGCTGATGGCGGAGGGCGGCATGACAGCCGTGGTGCAGCGGGAGCAGAGCACCACCATGGCCTCCATGGGCGGCTTCGGCAACAACATCATCGTCAGCCACCGCATTCACCGCAGCTCTCAGACGGGCACTGAACCTGGTGCCGCCCACACCTCCTCACCCCAGCCCTCCACCTCTCGGGGACTGCTCCCAGAGGCCGGGCAACTGGCAGAGCGAGGCCTAAGCCCCCGGACAGCTTCCTGGGACCAGCCTGGTACCCCTGGGCGGGAGCCAACCCAGCCAACCCTGCCCTCTTCCTCCCCTGTCCCCATTCCTGTTTCCCTTCCCAGCGCTGAGGGACCAACCCTCCACTGCGAGTTGACCAATAACAACCACCTTCTGGATGGTGGCAGCAGCAGGGGGGACGCTGCAGGCCCTAGGGGAGAACCACGGAACAGGTAGAGACAAACGTTGCACTGGTGCCTCCCCTCGAACCGCCAAGCAGAAACCGGACCTCACAGCTGACTGGGAACTGGACATGTGGAAGAGCTGCTGGCTGCATCAGGGAACAGGAGGAGGAAGAGGGTCAGGGTGGAGAGGAAGATCAGTCAGTGGGCACAAGACAGTCAAATGGGCAAGGCCTGCCTCGGGGAACTAGAACCTTCCAGGATCTGGAGCCCGGGAGAGCCACACTGTGGGCTTAATGTGAATAGAGGAACAAGTGGGTATCTCTGCCAGGCACCCCACTTTCTCCTAGTAACATGGGCTCAGGGGACTCAGCCCTGGACAGAGAGCCTCCAGAGAGTGAACAGTCTTCCAGATCTGGGCCAATCATCCTGGACAGAGGCCCGCGAGGCAGCTTTGCCCTGTCCACCTGTTGGGTGGGCAGAGCCACCAGGAACCCAGACACCACCTCCAACTCTGAGCCTTCCAGAGCTTCAGCCTCTCTTCGTCGTCTTACCCCACTGAAACCAACAGGGATCGGGCCAGGCTCCCAGATTCTTGAGGACAGGGACTTCGGCATTTACTAATGGGGGACTACTGTGGGGTAAGGGGGCGCCTGCTTGCCTGATACAGGATGGGGTCAAGGGACAGTGGGCAGGTCCTCACTCAGGAGTGGGGGGTGTAGGCTGGCCAGCCCCCAGGGCTTGTCCACCAGTCTTCTCCCCGCAAGGCCCTCAGAGCAGCGCCTGTGGGTGTCAGTATTACCTGAGCCTAGGCCAAAGCTAGCCCAAGGCTGGGGAAGGGGAGGAGACTCCAGGTCAGAATGTGAGGTCTCAGTCTGTGATTTAAGGTGTTGCATGTGGACTCTTAACTGTACGTGTAGTTTCTAGTGGAGAAATCAAGGCTCTGATCATTTTGTTTTTAGTATGAAAATGTGATTTCCTTTCTGTTTGTAACTCATCATAGAAACATTGTGGTGGGAGGAGAGGGGATAGTCTACAGCTAATGAGGGAAACACCAAAGATCACATCATTAAAATGATGACATGCCCCTCGCCAGGCTCCTCTCTCTTATTTCCAAGGAGGATGGGGGAGGGGTGGGGATTGGGAAGTGAGGGGCATTGAACTGGGCCAGGCCCAGGTTCTCCCGGCACTGTTTCTGGTGCTCTCCTAGTGGGGTGCAGTGGACCCCTCTGACCCCTTCGCCAGAGCTGGTCAGGTGAGGGCTGCCACCTCTGCTTCATACCACTTCTCTGTACGCCACCACTTCCTGCTTCCCCAGGGCCTGCTACAGACTGGGGCCACCTTCCAGTGCCAGGGTGAGTATGTAGGAAGGAACGACAGAAGGCTATTCATCCTAATAGCTTCCCACCCAGGACTACAGGCCTGAAGTGATGTAACTGGCCAGAAACCTGGATCCCCTCCAGTCCTGGGAAAGCACGCACAGCAGGTGTCCAGCCTGCTAGGCAGGTGGAGGGGCTTGGTCCTATCTGCAGGCAAGGTGCCAGTTGCTAGCTGCTCAGGTCTCCCTTGACTGTGTCTTCCCTACAGTGGCCGAAAGGCCTGCTCTATTCGTGGGCTTTGGCTGCTTGAAAGCTTCCAGCTGGCCAGGCGTGGTGGCTCACGCCTGTAATCCCAGCACTTTGGGAGACCGAGACAGGCGGATCACTTGAGGTCAGGAGTTTGAGACCAGCCTGGCCAACATGGTGAAACCCTGTCTCTGCTAAAAATACAAAAAAATTAGCCAGGCGTGGTGGCTCGCACCTGTAATCCTAGCTACTGGGGAGGCTTGAACCCTGGAGGCAGAGGTTGCGGTGAGTCAAGATCACGCCACTGCACTCCAGCCTGGGCAACAGAGTGAGACTCCGTCTCAAGTGGGAAAAGGATATTTGCCCCAACTCTTCAAGAGCTCTAATGGAAAATCCAAGCAATTCCAGGGCTTTTTGCCAGCAGCACGTACTTTTGAGTGTGTGTGTGTGTGCCCAAATCTGTCCCTGATGCCATGGGGCACTCAGAATTCCAGGTTCTGCTCCAACAGAGACAAAACCAAAAGATAAGTTGGCAAGCAAGAAATAAAAAACCATGGCCAGAGTTAGGAAGACTCTTATTTTCTAGAAAATTCTGTATTAGTGGACTCTGGACTGAAAGACACATCACTTAGCTGTGTGACTTTGGGCAAGCCATTTGCCTTTTCTGGGCTTCACTTTCCCTTGTTAGGATGCAGGGCTTGTACTACACAACCTCAAAGTTACTTCTAGTTCTGTACTTTGGAATCACTGAAGCCCAGAGAGCACACAAGTGGCTAGGGCAGGCTTCCTTTCAGAGGTGGGATTTAGACACCTGTAGTCCCTAAGTACTTGGGAGGCTGAGGCAGGAGGATCACTTGAGCCCAGGAGTCCAAGTCCAGCCTGGGCAACAAAGTGAGACCGTATCTCTCTCTCTCTTTTTTTTTTTTTTTTTTTTTGAGACGGAGTTTCGTTCTTGTTGCCCAGACTGGAGTGCAATGGTGCCATCTCGGTTCACCGCAACCTCCATCTCCCAGGTTCAAGCGATTCTCCTGCCTCAGCCTCCCTAGTAGCTGGGATTACAGGCATGAGCCACCACGCCTGGCTAATTTTGTATTTTTAGTAGAGATGGGGTTTCTCCGTGTTGGTCAGGCTGGTTTCGATCTCCCGACCTCAGGTGATCTGCCTGCCTTGGCCTCCCAAAGTGCTGGGTTTACAGGCATGAGCCACCGTGCCCGGCTGATGCTATCTCTTTAAAAAAAAAAAAAAGTGGATTTGAGCTAAGCATTGAAGGATGGAAGGAGAAGGGAGCCCACTGCCCCACATCCTCTCCCCACCACCCGTTGGAGGAAGAATTCCTTGGTCTGATAGTGGGTCCTGCTAATTTGTTTAATGTAAACCACAGGCCAGGAGTCAATGTGCGTTCTCTCTGTCAATCCTCACAAAAACTCTCTGAGGTCATTACTGCTGTTACCCCCAGAGCACACAATTAACTGGCAGAGCCAGAGTTTGAACCAAGTAGTGTATGATTCCAGAGTGCACACTTCAGCCAGTCATTTCTACAGAAGGAAGACAAGGTGTAGGAGAAACAATGGAACCCTGACTTGTTCTGTTGCTTTGGGGAAAAGGGTATGGGGAGGTCCCTAGGGATGAAGTGGTCCAAATTTGTTTTTTGGGTTTTTTTGTTTGTTTTTTGTTGTTTTGTTTTGTTTTGTTTTTGAGATGGAGTCTCTGTCACCCAGGCTGGAGTGCAATGGCACAATCTCAGCTCACTGCAACCTCCACCTCCCAGGTTTAAGCAATTCTCCTGCCTCAGCCTCCTGAGTAACTGGGATTACAGGTGTGTGCCACCACACCCAGCTAATTTTGTTTGTATTTTTAGTAGGGATGGGGTGTCACCATGTTAACCAGGCTGGTCTCAAACTCCTGACCTCAAGTGATCTGCCTGTCTCGGCCTCCCAAAATGCTGGGTTTGTGGGCGTGAGCCACCATCCGGCCAAGGTGGTCCAAATTTGGACCTGCCAGGCCTTGTCTCTGCTGTCTCTGGATGGTGCCAGCCACCCTCCCCAACCTCCCCACCCCCCATTGGAGGCCCTTGTCAACACCTCTCTGTCCCCACACCAGCCCCTTTCCTTAGAAAGCCCTTGCCCAATGACAGAGCCTCTCTGGTAGTAAAACCTTTGCAGGCCCCTTACACGTCACAAGGTTGTGGGGTCACCAGGGCAAAGATAGGGGCAGTCCCTTTTGGAGATGAGGAAATAGGTTCAGAGAAATTCTGTTACTTGTCTGCTGACCTAGTGGCATCAAAAGCAGAGCAGAGAAACCACCAAGTCCCCTTGTTCCCAATTCAGCTCTCCAGGGTTCCACCGTGGGTTCTTGGGGTTGGGAGATTGAGAGAGGTCAAAAGCCCTTCATAACAGGGATTGTGGAGAAATTAAAGTGACTTTGCCTGCCAGCTTCTGGAAGAGCTGGGGTCAGTAGCTGGAGGCGTGTCTTGTGTATGCAGCCTCCCGCCCTTGGCCTTGCTTGTTTTCTCATCTGACTGTTTTAAGGATCTATCTGCCTTCCTCCTCCACAACCCCCACCTCCTCTTAGGAGTATCACACTCTTCTGTGCCCTGGGAAGGATATGGCAAAGTGGAAGAAGTGCAGGAGTGCCGTCTTAGGGTCTTATGAACCAACTTTCCTTATTTGTGAAGTGGGGCAAGAAGAGTAGTGCTTCTTTCACCCCCAGTTATGAGGTCTTGGGAGACCCGATCATTCATGTAACAACAGAAGATGGCTTCCTACTCTAGCCAACCAACCCCAGCCCTGAAGTTCCCAATTCCGACCAACCCCAGCCGTCGCGCTCGCGAGCTCTGGGGACCCGAACTCCACTTCCGGGTTCCGCGCGGAGAACCCCACACCAAGAGCCCCGCAGCGCTGGCTTCTACTCGAGTTCCCTCCCATTCTCTGCCAAGAGGCTCCTGCCTCTCCTCCACCGCCGCCCCCGCAATCGCCCTCACCACCTCCGGCCCTCGGGGGAGGGTCTTGAGTTGTTTCCCCGAGAGAAGAAATCAGACGTCTTAAGCTTAATCAAATGTTTGCGATCAGAATTTGGGGTTACAGGCCTCGGTCCTGGGCGCAGTGGGGAGCGTCCGACCCCGGCGGTCCCCCGGAAGGGCGCTCTCGGAGGGAGACAAGCGCTGGAGCGGAATCAGGCAGGCGAGGCTGCTGGGCCAGGGCGCGGGGAGCTCTCCGAGGTGCTGAAGCCGCCCCAAGGTCCGCCCAGCCTGGGCGAGGCCCGGAGTCCTGAGGCTACGGCCCGTGCGGTTCCCAGCGACCTCTGAGATTGGCTGCCCGCTCTCCGGGATCTTGTCCCGGGCTCCGGCCCCGGCGACCTTGGGCAACCGACTGTCCCTCACAGGCGGCGGTGAACTGGCGGTCCAGGCTGCGCCTGGACTGGCGGCGCGTCCCATCCCAGGGCTGGGAGAGCAGGGGCGCGCCCCTTCCCCGGCCCGGAACGCTGAGCAGGCAGCCGAGCGGGTGCGGGCGAGTGGTCCGCGGTGGGCTCTTCTCTCCCCGGCCGAACCTCTCCAGTCCACCCGCTCCTGCGCTTCCCCAGGCCCCGACGGCGCCCCTCCTCGCGGGCGGCCCGGCCGGCACGCAGCGGCGCGGCTGGAGCTCCCGGCCCTCGACCCCGACGGATCCCTGGCGGCGCAGCCCGCCCCACCCACCCGCAGCCTCCCGCTGGGGTCAGACTCCCGCGCCTCGCGGCCAAACCGCCAGCGGGGCCACGCAGGGCGCTGAGGTCCCGGAGAGGCGCGAAAATAGCTCAGGGTCCCGGGAGTATGGTCAGGGCGGAGGCGGGAGCGCGGCCGGACCCAGCTGCCAGCTCCTTCCCCAGCCCGCGAGGGGGCGCCGCGTCCCCATGACAACGCGGACACCCCCACCCCCCGGAGGGCAGCGCCCCCTGCTCCCCTGCGTCGCTGGCCGTGGGCGGCGCCCTCTGTGCCCAAGCAGGGAGCTGCCGGCCAGCCCCCGAGAGGGGCGCGGACCGCCGGGGTCTCCGACGCCTCGGGTGTTGACCCCCGCGCGTCGCCGCCGGGTGACCGGCCCGGGGCGGGCGGCGCGGCCCCGCCACGATTGGCTGCTTCCTCGTGACATCACGCGGCTCGGGGAAAAGTGCGAGCGTGAGCGCGAGTCGGAGCCACAGCGCCGGGAGCTGCGGGCGGAGCAGGGGCCGCCCCTCGACACCCCGTCCCCGCCCCCGGCCCTCGGCCCGGCCGCCCGCCCCGCCGGCCCGCGGGGCCGCGCGTCCGTCCCGCCGTCTGTCTGGCGCGAGGGGAGCTGGGCAGAGGCGGCGGGTAAGTGGCTCCGCGGCGGCGCGGGGGCGGGGGGCTCGCCGGGAAGAGCAGGAAGCAGGTCCCCGGGACGCTCTGAGGCTCCCCAGAGGTGGGTTCGACTGGGACAGGGCGCCAGACCCCCTCCGGGGCGAGCGCGGGCCGGGAGCGGCAGTGGGCCGGGGCTGGGGGACCCCGCTGGAAGCAAGGCCGGGGGCTCTCGGAGGCTTCTCCAGGTGCGCCCGGGTGCGCCCGTGGGAAGGGGTGGGCATCCAGGATGTCGGGGGCGGGGGATTGCCCGCCCACAGACCCCACGGAGCCAGGGGCAGCCGTCGGGGGTGGGACCCTGTACTCCAGCCCTCCCACTGGCGGCTCAGCAGGGCGCCGGGCGCTGAAGCCCCAAAGAGCCCTTTTCCCGCCGTCTCCCCGCCCTCCCTCTCCCTCCACCCCTTTGCCCCCGCGCTGCCAGCCCACTCCGGCCCCTGGAGTCCTCCATCTACGACCTTGAGCCCCGACGGAAAACACCCCTGCCCTCCCCGACACCCCTCCCCCGCTCCGGTACTACCCCCCTTTGCTGCCCAGCCTCCAAGCCGGGGTCCTCCAGCTCCAGGCCCCCTCCTCCGGCCCCGCAACGGAAGTGTTGGGCACAATGTCGGTGCCAAATCTTCGCCTCTCCCTCCCTTGGACTCTGGAGTCTCCTCTCCCGCCCCAGGGACAGATCCAGGGGCCACAGCCTTCCCAGAGCCATGGAGTGAATGCCCAAGAACCGAAGACCTACACCCCAAACCACCCCACGGGCGTGCGGAGCACCCCCTCCGGTCTCGCCCGGGGAAGAGGGGTGTCGAGGACTCGGGAAACACAGTGCCCACGCCCAGAGGCTGCAGGAACTGCGTGCTAGGGGCTTGGAGGGAGGGCGGGGCACCCGAGAGCCAGGGCTCCTTCGACCACGGCGGAGACATGGAGGAGCCTCCAGATGGCCTAGGAAAACACGGCCCTCGAGGCCCGCCCGACCCTAGCGTGAGAAACTGGGTCCCCACTTTGGTCACAGGGGCTAGACAGTGCCTCTGGGGTAGGGTGCAGGGTGAGGAGAGAAGGAGGACAAGAGTCTTGCACTCGCCTGACCCGAGCTCTGTCCGGGCCTCCGCCTTGTGGGTGCACTGCGGATGCCCTCTCGCCGCGAGAATGGGCGGCTTTTGGCAATAACGCCTCTTAGGGGAGTTATTAGAGCTGAGCGTGCCTGGTGTCCCTCAAGGCCAGGTTGGGCGACTCTCGCAGAGGCCCCTCGACAGATGTCAGTCAGAGGCTAGGACTCTGCCACATCTTTAAGGACTTGGACACCTCTGGGCACCGGGCTAAGACGGCGTCCCAAAGTTAGGTGGCCCGTCGCAGGCAGCCCCTAGTAGTCTGGCCTCCTCGCCCGCACAACCCTTCACCCACAGGCCAGGTGCAATCCCGATGCAGGCTCCTGGCCCGACCCTCTACGCGCTCAGGCGGACAGCTAAGGTCTGGCTGAGTCTCCGGCAGGGGCGTTTGGAATGTGACCGGTCACCCACTCTCGGCCCTGCATTTGCTTGTGCATGCAAGTCCACAGGTGTAGAGGCACCCGAACCGTGTGCATCCTCCCGGCCACAGCACCCTAGGCACGCACACGCATGCACATGCACGTGTGCACACGGCGCGGCATGCTCACGCGCTCTCACGGGCGGACTGGTATCCAGGCGTGGCCGTGCGCACACACACGCACATGCATACAGCTACTAGCGTCTACTCGCGCTCCCCCGTAGGCACACACAAACAGAACTCGCACTCGCGCTCCCGCCCACACGTTCCTCGCAGGGTGCCGGGTGGAATCCGGGCTCCCTCAACTTTCCCACCCGAGAACCCCGCGCGGAGCCGAGGGCAGCTCTGGGGCGGCGTCCGACGGGGCCTGGCGAGGGGACCCCGCGTCACTTCCCCGGGAGGCTGTGCCTGAGGGCTCCTCTGGGTTCGCAGTCGCATTGGAGTTGGGGGCGGTGGCCAACGGCGGCCGCACGGTCTAGGTCCGGAGCGGGCACCAGGGACCGACATTGCCATCTAGCGGTGCGCACAGCCCCGGCGGCGGCGGCTCGCTCCCCAGATGCCAGGCGTATCTGGATTCCAGGGAAGGCGCCAGAGGGGGTCGGAATGTCTGCGGGTGACCCCGAGGTGTCCAAAACGACGACAGCTGGGGCGGGGCGGAGTCGGGGAGACCCTGAGCCTCGCCCTGTCAGCACCTGGCAGCTCCCTCACGCGGGCCAAGAGCAGGACTTAATCACCGGCCATCCAGTGGTCCCGGCTCAGCCCAGCCGCCAGGATCTGGGAGAAGACAAGACATCGCTTGTCTTCTGGGAAAGCTAAGTCGAGAAGCCAGCAGGAATGTGAGGGGACCCTACCCAAGCCTCACCTGGACAGTCCCTCAGTTGTGTGGTTTTCGGGTCGAGGGGAGCAGAGGCAGGAGGTCAACTCTGAGCAGTAGCACCTTGGACTTTAAGAAGGAGCTTCCCGGGTTCTTCTGCCCCCACCCGTACTTCCTAACCTGGTGACTTTGGGCCAGTTGATTAACATTATCCTCATCTATAAGAGGATATTTACATCTGTAAGATGAGGACACTAATAATACCTGCCTTTTCAGGCTGTTGTAAGGATTAAACCAGATAATCTATATTAAAAGCTCAGAGGGGTTCCTGACACGCAGTTAACACTCAATAAACAAGAGCTATTATGTTTTCACATTCTGCACTTCTAGCCCCGTTTGTTATCATCCTGCTGCCCTGTATCCTGCCTTGGGAGGCTGAAGTGAGTTTCCTTGGGGCTGGCTGACTGATTACTCCTGCCTGCCCTGTCCCCTCCTCCACGTGAGTGATTGGGGGAGGGCAGCCTCCTGGTGCTGGAGGGGACAGCTCAGAGAGTGACACCTGAGCTTCTATTTCAGAGGCTCTCAGAGCCAAATGGGGTTGTCAGGGACCCCAAGAGAGGGCAGTATGTGGTCTTTGCCCTTGACTCGTTGTGTGACCTTGGGGGTGACAACACTTGCTCTCAGCCTCTCCTCCTACGAACCAAGGATTTAGAACAGGAGAACTTGAACTATCAGGCTAGGAGGCTGGGTCTGTATCTGCGACGGTGGAATAGAAGGGCTGGGGTCAGACTTGGGGCAGTTACCCTGGCCCTTGGCCCCAGCCTGCAGTACATTTTTGTGTTTATGTATAGAGATCAAGTTTAGGTGCCAATCCCTATAGCTGCTGGGGAGGATGTCCCAGGACAGGATCCTCTCTATTCTGCAAATGAGAAAGAGGTGCAGGAAGGGGCAGTGGATCGTCTCAGGCCACAGAGCCAGAGCCCAGGCTGCGGGTTAGTGCTCCTTCCTCCACAGCCGGCTGCCGCGCCCTCTCTTCCTCTCACACACAGACGCACAGAACTGCGTATCCGACCATGCCTGCTGGGCTGGCGTGGCTGTGATGGGCCCGCGTGCGTCTGTGGAGCGGTGTGTGTGTTGGCGGGTGTGAAGGAGGCTGGGCTGAGCGGCTGCCCTGGCACTCAGAGCTGGCGTGGGCCTCCCTCACATGGAGGGAAGAGGAAGAGGGGGAGGAGAGCTAAGAGGAGCCTGGTGGGAGGGAGGGCAGGCTCAGGGAAGGGCCTGTGGTGGGGACTCCAGCTAGGGCGCCGCCCGGTGTGCGGAGTGGACTGTGGAGGGGAGAGGCGGCCCTGGCAGCCCTTCTCTTCCCTCTGGGACAATTCTTTCACCTCACGGGTCCCCAGTTGGGCCTCAGGGTTCTCTGACAACCTAGTGACCCCTGCACTGCCTCCCTCCCAGCTGCATGCCCTGTGGCTGGAGCTGAGGACTCCTTGAAGGGGATGTGACAGTTGCAGGTACCTCCTGAAGCCCCTTCTGCAGGGACTCTCCTCCTCTCTGGGGTGCCCAGCTCCATGCACCGCCTCTGGTCCCCTGCAAAGCCTTCTGGCTCCTGGAGCTCTTTGGCCTCCTTCAGCCAGAGCTCTTAAGTTACGGGACTGCCTTCCTCTCACCACCTCACCCCGCACTTAATCCCACCAGCAACATAGTGCAAGAAGCCGTGAAACCTTGGTCAGGCTTTTAACAGCTCCGTGCCTCAGTTTCCCCATCTGTAAGTAGTAGAGAAAAAATGGTATCTACCTCATAGGTTTGTTATGAGGATGAAATGAGTTAACACTATAAAAAATGTTGCCAGGCATGATGGCGCCTGGAGTCCCAGCTACTCAGGAGGTGAGAGGATGGCTTGAGCTCAAGAGTTCTAGACCAGCCTGGACAACATACCAAGACCCTGTCTCTACAAATAAATAGATAAATAAATAGACACTTTTTTTAAGTGTCAAAAGTGCTTGGCACTTAGTAGACCATCAGTGTTAGGTGCTCATACATACCCCGATTATTGCCTTTGTCCCAGTGTCTTCTACAGGGGTTGGAGAGCAGGTGTTAAGAAATGACCGAATGGGTAAATGGATGAACAGAACACCTCCCTCCAGAGCCCACATGCTCGTGGGCCTCTGGGACCACTCTCCTCCTCCTCTTGCTTCCCTGAGCTCCCCCAGCACTGGCCTCTGTCCAGGCCTTGCGCTGCCTCCAGGCCTTTGCTGTGGCTACTGCCCCTGGCAGGGCCACTCTCCACAGCTCCTCCTGTGGCTGGCTCCTCATCACCCAGATGACCTGGTGGGTGAGGCCACCTAGCAAGGAGTCATGCCTGTCCTGCCTTCTGACTCACTCTCTCATCACCCTGCCTTTTTTTTCTTTTGTGGCTCACGTGTTTGCATGTCTCCCCCCATGAGGCAGGGGGCCATGTGTGTCTTATTCACTTCTGTAGCCACAGCACCCTGAGCAATGCTTGCCACATAGTAGGTGCTCAATTAATGTTGAATGAATGGGCAAATGCGGGATGGCGGGACAGAGTTCTCTCAAGGCATTCTGCCAGAGAATGTCCCTCTGTCACCTTGAATCCAGTGTACCTCCAGATGACTCCCCCATTCCCTCCTGTAGTTCATGCTTTTCTCTCCCCTTCCTCCCCAGACACGGCCTACCCACCCCTGGCAACCAACATGGCCAACTTCACACCTGTCAATGGCAGCTCGGGCAATCAGTCCGTGCGCCTGGTCACGTCATCATCCCACAATCGCTATGAGACGGTGGAAATGGTCTTCATTGCCACAGTGACAGGCTCCCTGAGCCTGGTGACTGTCGTGGGCAACATCCTGGTGATGCTGTCCATCAAGGTCAACAGGCAGCTGCAGACAGTCAACAACTACTTCCTCTTCAGCCTGGCGTGTGCTGATCTCATCATAGGCGCCTTCTCCATGAACCTCTACACCGTGTACATCATCAAGGGCTACTGGCCCCTGGGCGCCGTGGTCTGCGACCTGTGGCTGGCCCTGGACTACGTGGTGAGCAACGCCTCCGTCATGAACCTTCTCATCATCAGCTTTGACCGCTACTTCTGCGTCACCAAGCCTCTCACCTACCCTGCCCGGCGCACCACCAAGATGGCAGGCCTCATGATTGCTGCTGCCTGGGTACTGTCCTTCGTGCTCTGGGCGCCTGCCATCTTGTTCTGGCAGTTTGTGGTGGGTAAGCGGACGGTGCCCGACAACCAGTGCTTCATCCAGTTCCTGTCCAACCCAGCAGTGACCTTTGGCACAGCCATTGCTGCCTTCTACCTGCCTGTGGTCATCATGACGGTGCTGTACATCCACATCTCCCTGGCCAGTCGCAGCCGAGTCCACAAGCACCGGCCCGAGGGCCCGAAGGAGAAGAAAGCCAAGACGCTGGCCTTCCTCAAGAGCCCACTAATGAAGCAGAGCGTCAAGAAGCCCCCGCCCGGGGAGGCCGCCCGGGAGGAGCTGCGCAATGGCAAGCTGGAGGAGGCCCCCCCGCCAGCGCTGCCACCGCCACCGCGCCCCGTGGCTGATAAGGACACTTCCAATGAGTCCAGCTCAGGCAGTGCCACCCAGAACACCAAGGAACGCCCAGCCACAGAGCTGTCCACCACAGAGGCCACCACGCCCGCCATGCCCGCCCCTCCCCTGCAGCCGCGGGCCCTCAACCCAGCCTCCAGATGGTCCAAGATCCAGATTGTGACGAAGCAGACAGGCAATGAGTGTGTGACAGCCATTGAGATTGTGCCTGCCACGCCGGCTGGCATGCGCCCTGCGGCCAACGTGGCCCGCAAGTTCGCCAGCATCGCTCGCAACCAGGTGCGCAAGAAGCGGCAGATGGCGGCCCGGGAGCGCAAAGTGACACGAACGATCTTTGCCATTCTGCTAGCCTTCATCCTCACCTGGACGCCCTACAACGTCATGGTCCTGGTGAACACCTTCTGCCAGAGCTGCATCCCTGACACGGTGTGGTCCATTGGCTACTGGCTCTGCTACGTCAACAGCACCATCAACCCTGCCTGCTATGCTCTGTGCAACGCCACCTTTAAAAAGACCTTCCGGCACCTGCTGCTGTGCCAGTATCGGAACATCGGCACTGCCAGGTAGGCAGGCAGGAGTGCCCTAGGAGGTGCTGGTGTTGCGTGCGTGTGCTGGGGGGACCACACGGCTCACTTGCTGTGGGGAAGAGTTGCAGGCACCATTCTGCGTTCACGTTTGCTGAGGAGGAAGTTCAGAAGAGGCTCTGTGGCTGCATTCAGAGACCAGATCTCTGCTCAGGCTGAGGAGGCTCACCCCAGGGAGTGTCTGAACTGGGGCTGCCTGGCCCACCTCTGTGGCCCTGCTTCAGCGAGCTGCGGGGCACTGGCCTGGGTGGGCACCTGCCCCACTGTGACCAACCATCAGCAGTGCTGGAAGAATGGACATCTGGATGGGGGCCGAAGCCCAGGGCCCCCTCAGGAAGAACAAAGGGGCCAGTGCTTGGAAAAGGAGGCTTGGGAAGGGAGTAGAAGGGTGGGGTCCCCCATTCTGCTGTAATCGGTGCTTTCTGCCCCCTTGCACCCCGCATGTAGGCTCAGCCCCCTCTCCCCAAATCCCACTCCAGGGGCAGAAATCTCCTCTGGCTGCAGCTACTTAGCCAGGTTCTGGGTGGGTATGATGGAGGCCAGGTCCCCCCCGCCCCAGCAGCACTGCCCTTGTCACATTAAGATGGGGCAGCTGGGAGGTCAGAGGTTCTGTCTCAGGAACTGAGGTCTGGCCTTCTGCGATCCCAGGCTGAGCCGTGAGTGGTCCACGTATTCAGAAGACAGCCCCCTGCAGCCCCGGCCTTAGAAGGCTGTCCCAGGTCACACATCGAGTCAGGGTGAGGCTGTGGTGGATGGCATTCCCATCTGCCCTCTTCAAACCTCTCACCCCCTGGCTTCTGCAGGGTGGAGGCCTGGGTCACACAGGCAAGAGGAAAGGGGTCAACCTGGTGGCTCACTCGGGTTTCCATGACAGTGGGAAGGGGGGAGGTGGGCAGTGAGGTAGGCACGCAGCCCTCGCATCTGCTCTCCCCCATGGGTAGAACCTTCCTGATTGGCTGTGGGTTGTATCAAAAGACCTTTGACTGGGTGAGGCTGAGATGGGTGTGGTGGTTCCAGTGAGTCAGCCAGGTTCCCTTCCCCAGCCCTGGTCCCTGAGGGAGATGAGGACCGAAAGGCTTAGGTGACTTGATGGGGAGCACCCTTTCAGGGGCCCTGGAAGAAATGTTTGTAATTGTTCTGCTTTTTCCATGAGCTCTGGAGAGCACCCACCACCAAGCCCCCTGAAACCCACCAGTCCCTACAGCCTGGTCTTTCTCCCCACCTTCCCACTCCCAAACACATTTCCACAGCAAACTCCTTGGGAAGGGGCTTTTATATATTAAAAAAGAAGAGCTTTTATTGGGGGGAAAAAGTCAGTTTATTTGATGTGTTTCTTAGTAATGGAATTGTGGGGAAGAACAAAAGCGGGCTCTGGGACTCACATTGCTTTGGGGGAGGCTCAAGCTTCCCAGAATCCCTTGTCCCTCCCCACTTTGGGCACTTAGGGGTGGGGCTGGGGAGTGAGAGGGACAAGGCAGGGCATGATTGATTAAAGCTAACGAGCAGACAGAAGGCACTGGTGGGTCACATCTCGGGCCTGGGAGAGGGAGGGCGTGGGCCAGGCCCCATGTGACACCAGGGGCTCCTTGGCATCCAGGCTTGGCGTCTAGTCCTTTCCCTTCCCTTTCTTGGCTGTAAAACAAGAAAGAAATATTAATACCATATCAGCAGTTAGGCTGACCCATTGCAGACCGCCGGCTCCACAAACACCCGGGCATCAGGGAAGGAGAAGATTCTGCCCCCTAGTGGTTTCCAATCAGCTGACTCGGAAGCAGGGGATGGGGCAGCCATTGTGATGTGGACATGGGACATCCCCAGCTTCCTATTTCCACTTGGGATCAGAAAACCTTCAAGTTTCCAGTCCTAGTCCTGGTCACAGCAGCCCTGGGCATCCTCAGCCTCCTCACCTGAGAAGCGGGCAGATTCACCCCTGCCCTGCTGGCCTCGCTGGGCTGAGTCACGAGTGAGCTGAGAGGCCCAGGGTGGGCCTTGACCTCCTCCCAACACTAGAAAGGGCAGAGCTGACCAAATGCTGCCCGTGGCTGGAGAGCTGACAAAGGCAAGCCGTTCCAGGACACTCTCCCTGGGTCCTAAGCCAGATGCTCCAATGGAGTAGTTTGAGTTGGTCCCTATTTGGGCCAGGGAGGATTTATGTCCCCAGCATCACCTGCGGCCTCTCTTGTAGTGCCCATCTTCAGACTTTTCCAGGCAGGGAAGCCAAGTGAGGCGATGTCAGGAAGCCACTGGCCAGGACTCAAAACTTAAGGTTTAACTTGGAATTGTCCCCTCACAGGCGGGGGGGGGGGGGGGCAGCCCCCCGCGACAGCCCCACCCCCTTCTCCTTTCGCTGACCTTTGGCCTTTGCTTTGGTCTTGGGGGTGCAGGGCTTGGTGACGCGGATGGTCTCCTGGCACTGAGCATTGTAGCGCGCCTTCTTCAGGGTGCCTTGGCGGACTTTGGTGCCTGTGCCCCCATCACACGCACCCCAGTTCTCAAACTTGTACTTGCAGTCGGCTGGCGAGAGAGCGGCCCAGGTCAGCGCTGCGCGGCCCGCGGCCCCGCCCTCCGCCAAGGGTCCGCCCAGGCTTCGGCGAGGCTGTGCCCCCCGTCTCCTGCCCTCTGACTGCGCCCCGCCTCACCTCCAAACTCCTTCTTCCAGTTGCAGGGCACCCTGCACCGGATGCGCTGGGTCTGGGCCCCGCAGGTGCCCTCGCGGAAACCCACGCCGCAATCCTTGCTGCTGGGGGTGCAGGGCCCCCAGGCCCACTCAGCGCACTCGCTCCCCGGGCCGCCCTTCTTCACCTTATCTACAACGCGCGAGGAACAGAGTTCAGGACTGGGGCACGGGGAGACTCCCTCGGGAGCCGCCTTCCTGGGGTTCCAGGCTAGGAACCCAGGCGGCCCAGCCCAGAAGTGGAGGGGCCTCGCCTGCCCGTCCCCAGCCCTCCTTCGATCATCCCCCATCACCTTTCTTTTTGGCGACCGCGGAGGTGAGCGCCAGCAGGGCGAGGAGGGTGAGGAGGAGGAAGCCTCGGTGCTGCATCCTGAGGGGAGAGCCCGAGTCTGAATCCCTGGCCCGTCCCCTTCCCCACCGGGGGCCGCGTGCAGGGCCCTCCCACCTCCGCGTGCTCCACTTTCCAGGCCCCAAGTCGGGCTGCTAAGGTGGCGGCGGTGGGAAGACTTGGGGCGGCCCCTCGCCGCTAGCCCGGACGCACCGCTAAGAGGCGACTCCCCGGGGGACGCCTCGAGCCCAGGACGCAGCTCAGACCCCCACCCCCGCCTCCAGCCCCCAGCCCCTAGATCGGCCGCGGCCGGGCGGACCAGGGGCCGCCGCGCGCTCACTCGCTCGCTGCCCGCGCTGCTTCGCTCCCTCCCGCGCCGGGCCCGTCCCGCTCCGGCCGCCGCGGCCCCTTTTGTCTCCAGAACCGGTCTGAGCCGGTCACATGGGCCCCCGCCCCCTCTCCCCACCCCCCCAGGGAAGGACCCGCCCCGCCCCCTCCCCTCAAACCCGCACCGCCCCCGACCCCGGCGTCCCCGCCCCCGCTCCAGCCCGCGCCCCCCGCGCTTCTACTCCGGCGTCCGTGTTCCCGGCCCCGCGTCCTCGCGTCTCCCCGCCGGTGCCCTCTGCGCTGCGACGGCGGCCTCTCCCGGCCCCATCTTCCGAGCGGTGGTCTCCCGACCCCGGGCCCCGTCCCGCCCGCGCACACCGGCCCCCGGCCCACTCCCTGCGCCGCCGCCCGCTGCCCCCATCCCAGGTCGTCCCCTGCCGTACGCCAAGGCCCGGGCCGTTCTCAGGCCTCAGCTTCTCTTGCCTGCCGCGGAGCCCCGGCGCCTGTATAACCCGCGGGACCCGCTCCCCTCCACGGCCGGCTCAGCCCTGGCGCCCTGCTGGCTGCTGGGGAGGGGGCGCGGCCCACCTGGGGCGGTTTCCGCGGGTGGGCAGGGAAGCGCTCTGCTGTGCTGGGGGGAGTCTGGGACCCGGTCGCCCAGAGAAAGCCACGGGTGCGGTCGCCCAGTGCCTTTCCGGGAGCACAGGCTTGAGGGACTGCGAGTGGGGGTCCTGGGGGAGGAGCCCGCAGGCCTGGATTTGGTGAAACTTGGCGCTGACAGGAGCCGTCTGAGAAGTTCCAGATCCAGCCACATCGGCAGCTGCAAGTGCCCACCCCCTCTAACCCTGGGCCTGTGGCATTGCCTCGCCCGGTTCCCCCAAACCGGGAGAGCCCCCGAGGCCTGGGGGAGGGGCTTGCTCAAGGCCACAGGGCAAATGGGCCACAGAACCCGGGCTCGCCCCCGCCCCACCCCTCTTTCACTTTCATTGTTGTTCTCCGCGGGAAGCGGGAAGCCGGAGGGATCGGCCCCGCCCCCGGCCCCGACGAGCGCGGCCGCCGGGCAGAGGTCAGGAACCGGGCAGGCCCTGGGACCAACCACCAAACGGGAGCCGGGGCCCCAGGAAGGTGCTGTCGACAGCGTCCAGTCCCCCACCCCGAGGACAACCCCGCAGCCCCCGCTGCTTGTTAGACCTCCCCCGCAAAAGAAGAAAAGCAGAAAAGAAAAAAAAATCCACTTTACTGAGTCACACCCAGCTGTAAACATGTCACCGTGAGAGTCCCGCCCCCCACCCCCAGGCCGCACAGTCCGCGATGAAATGACAGGGGAGCGGGGAGGGTCGCCGGAGCGGGTGCCAAGCAAGGCAGGGCAGGCAAGTGCAGCAGGCGCTGAGTTTCCGGGAGGAAGCCCGGAGGAGGTGGGGTGGGGCAGGAGCGGGGGCTGGGGACCCGGCCGAAGACCAGGGGGCCCAGGAAGCCTCTTCCCGAAGGCCTCCCCCTCTCCAGCCCCTCCACTCCTGGGAGGGCATCTGCTGCGGCCAGGGAGCGCCCTGCCCCAGAACCCCGGCAAAGGCATATCCAACCCAGCCGTGTCTTGTTCCCTGTGAGCCTCCGGGTCCGGCGGGGTCCTCAGGGGAACAGGTGAGGCCCCCCCAGCTCCTGAGTCCAGCCCTAGGTCTGGGCGGCTCCTTAGGGGGCGGCATGGGGCTCTTTCCCTGGGGCCTAGGTCCCCCCGTGGCCGTCCCACTGGAATGTGGCAGTGAGGTGGGCAAGGAAGGCGCTCGTCCCCTGGCCGCATTGTCCCTCCTGCTGCCCGTGGGCGGCCCGCTACACAGCCGTCTCCTGGTCCTCCCGCTGGATCATCTGGTAGTGCTGCCGGTTCTCCAGGTAGGCGGCCAGCTCGGTGTCCTGAGCCTTCTCAGCCCGCTGCCGGGGAGTGTCGCCCTGGAGGAGGGCGGAGCTGCGATCAGCAGGGGCCAGAGGCAGGCCTAACCCCTAGCAGGCTGAGAGGCAGGGGCTCTACCTCCCTGTGGCCTGGTCAGGGAGGGAGGCCTCTCTGCCCACCAGCTCCTCCCCTGCTGGCTCAGGTTTCCCAGGGTCTGGACTGTGTCTTCCCAGGGACAGCCCCCAGCCCCAGCTCCCGCCTAGGACCTTGGGAAAGGTTTGGTTGGTGCCCTCGTGGGCTCCCTGCCTGCCGTCTGCTCACCTGCTGGTCTGTCTTCATGAGCGAGGCCCCGGCCTCCACGATGTAGTGGCAGATGGTGCGCTGGCCCAGGGCCGCTGCTTGGTGCAAACAGGTCTCCCCGCTGGGGGAGCAGGGGCTGGCTGTGTACCCCATCCCGTCCCCTGATCCACCCATCTGTCTCCCAAGGGCCATCAGAAAGGGCAGGAAGTTCAGGGCTCTGGGGCAATAGGGGTGGCCCAGGGGATGACAGATGTGACCAGGAAGTTTATGGGCTCTGACCTGACAAAATGGGAGGGGTGGGGAAAAGGGTGGTTTCCGGGGTGACCACGGTTCTGCACTGCCCAGATACTTACTTTTCCTCCACCGCATCAAGGATCTCTGGGGGGGCTGGAGAAGGGGAGGTGGTGGTCAGAGAGGCCTGGCAGCCCCTCCTCCTCCCACCTTGGCCCCAGGCCCTGGGCTCCACTGCCCGGCTCACCGTGGTCCAGCAGGTAGCGGACCACATCCTTGCTGCCAGTGCTGACTGCGTGGTGCAGGAGCGTGCGACTCTGCTCGTCTCGGTGCATGAGGTCGCCCCCAGCTCGGTGCAGCTCCTGGAGCTGAGGGCAGGAGGCATGGCAGGGCTGGACCTCCTGGGGCCACCCCTCCTTCCCTGAGCTCACACGCTGGCCCACAGCCGGGTACACCAGCACAGGCCTGAAACGAGTGCGCTCACACATCTTACTCCTGAGTTGCCTCTGTGGGTCTCTCTGGAGCACACCGGAGGAGGGGCCTCTCACCCCACAGCCTGTGGGCTCTCTGGCAGCACTGGTGACCAAGCCCTGGAGCAGTGCTTCCTCTGACCTGCTCCTTTCTAAGCACCAGGGACAGGTGGACTGAGCTAGGAAGCCCCTACTAGGAGCCATCTATTGTGGCCTAGACAGAGATACAGTGAAGTGGAATGGGACGATCACTGGAGATCCCACAGAGGGCCAGACGATGACAGATGACAGCACCTGAGCAGGTCAGCTCTTGGCCCAACCCAGAGGCCTCGCTCCCCAGGGCCCGAGGGAGCTGCTGGGGGAAGGAACTGGAGCCTGGAGCTAGTACCTTACAGAAGTCGTTCCTCTTGGCAGCCTCAATCAGCTCTTCACCTGCACGGAATACCTGCCTGTTACTCTGCAGTCGGAGGCCTGGGCTTGGGTTGGTGCCTCAGTGGACAGGACTGTGCCGGCCAGGCATGTGTGCCCAGGGCTCCGTTGGTGCGTGAAGCTCAAAGGCTGTGTTTGTGTAAGGCTGTGTCTGGGCCCTATCCCCACCCCACTGAGCCTCCTGCCCCCAACCAGGCAGAAAGGAGGGGCCCCAGAGGGAGAGGCCTCACCTTGAGGGGGTGCAGCATCCCCTTGCAGTGACCTGCAACAGAGCATGATGTGCTGTGACCGGCTACGGCACAGGCCAGCTGGTCGCCCTCCCCAACCCCAACTGGGGGCATCTTCATCCTTTCCACAGTTTATTGAGTGCCTGCTACACACCAAGCACTATTCCAGGCACTGGGGATACAGCAGGGAAACGAGACAGAGGAAGGCCTTGCCCTCATGGAGCTTACATTCTAGTTCAGGGATACAAACAAGTCAAATAAATAAGGAGTTCTGAGAGCAGGGGTGCTCTTAAGAATTCAGAACAGGTGATGTGGCACCCCTGCAGAGGGGGTCCTGGGAGTGATCTCTCCAAGGAGGAAACAGCCAAGCTGAGATTCGAAGGGGATGGGGGTGGGGGAGCTCCGGAAAGATGGGGGAAGAGTTGGAGGCAGCGATGACAGAAGTCCAGTGGTGGCAAACACCTGATGCCTCAAAGAACCAAGAGAAGAGAGTGGGGCAGGACCATGGAGGTGAACTCAGGGAGGGGGCTGGGAGCCCAGTGCAATGACGGGGGGCCTGGGGAGAATCCACGTCCAAAGGGCTGCTGAGAAAGAAGCTTCTAGGTTGGGGAGTGGCCTGGTATGCTCTGCATTTTTAGTTGACCGTGGTATGGAGATGGGGGTTCGAGGGCACGAATGGCCACAGGGATATAAGAGCTGGGGGCCAGGGCGTGGCAGCCGGGAAGGGCTGGTGGCAGTAGGGGTGGGGAGGAGTGCTCAGGTGGTGGGTCCGGGGGCTGCCAGGACTGGCTGAAGGATGAGGTCCAGAGGAGGGAGAAGTCAGGGAGGGAACCAGGGTGGACGTGAGGCCGCTTCCCCACAGAACCACAGGGCTGAAGGCCGTCAGGTGGGCTTTGGCCAGGTTCAGGTTGACACCATTTAGTTAACTGGTGGAGGGGCTAGAAGCAGGGATTCAGAAGTCATCGGCTTACAGGTGGGGCTGAAAGCCAGGGGCTGGAGGGACGGGACACCAGGACTCACCGGGGCGTGGGTGAGCAGGGTGAGGTGGGGAGAGGGGAAGTGGGGGTTGGGAGGTCAGGCCGGGCCGATGCCCCCAGCAGCTCAGGGTCCAGGATATAAATCTCATCCTGTGCGATCTCAGTCACATAGTTGAGGTGCTCCTGTGGGGGGAGGTCAGGGCGGGAGGTCAGGGCACCTGACGGTGGGGGCCGAGGGGCAGCAAGGCTGGTAGACCTGGAGAAGCCTCTGCCATGAGCACAAACACTGAAAGGAGGTGGCCAGGCAAGGGGCCCTGCCTGTCCCTCTCCCACTCCTTCCCATTCCTGACACCTCCTCCGACTGCCCAGACTTTACCAGGTGAGCTGGCGCCTGACCAGAATGCCTTTGCTTCTGTGTCTCCCTGGATGGCTCTGGGCTTCCAGGCCCTCCTACCCACCCAGCAAGCCTTTGGTAGGTACCCCACTGCCTTTCTGGCTGGCACCGCCCTATACTCTCCAGTGTGGAGGGCAGGGCCGCACGCTGTCCATGCACACAGGCAATAGTAAAAGCTCTCAGAGGCATGAGGACAGAGGTGAGCCCATCGGGGGAGCTAACAGGGAAGGCGTCCCAGGAGAGGCGACCCTGGGGCCCGGAAGCAGCTGTGGCTGGAGCAGGCCTGCAATCGCTCACCTGGGCTCGGTCGATCCTGTAGAAGCGGCTGGCAGTGGTGGCTGTGGGAGAGAGGGCAGCTGAGGATCAGGGAGTGCCATGTCCAGGCCCAGGTCCTCTGCTGCCCCTACCTGGGATCCCCTAGGGAGGGAACACGAAACAGCTTGGCACCCTGGGAGTAGACTCACCGTCCAGGAAGCACCACTTGGGGGACAGTTTCTGGCATGTCGGGGACTTGGCTCCAGCACCATCGGGCTCCTGTTGAGAGAAGCAAAGGCCAGGCTGGGATAGAGTGGGGGCCAGGGAGGGAAGGGAACTTGGAGTAGGGGGAACCAGCACAGAGGAGGCTCCGCAGGGCGAGCTGGCTGCGGGAGGAAGAGGCCTGGCCTCACTTCCCACCACCCTCTCGGTGGGCACCTGGGGAAGCCCCCACCCCTTACCTGCTGGAGTCTCTCAATGTGGGCACGGCAGAGCTCTAGGTCACTGTCTCCTGGGACCACCACAGTGCCCAGCGGCACAGCTGGAGAACAGAGCACCTGTCAGCAGCTGGCTGCACCCCACAGCCCTGCCCAAGGGGGCCCCGGCTGCTTCAGCCCCTCCTGGCCACCCTGCCAGGCCGCCCCACCGCACTCACAGGCCTCCTTGAGCTGCTCCTTGTCGTAGTGCAGGGCCTCATAGTCGTGCATGCTGACGCGACTCACCTGGATGCGCAACTGCTCTGGCACCGGCTGCTGGCTGTCGGGCAGGGCCGGCAAGCGGGGGCTCAGCAAGGGCCCTGCCTTGGTGCCACCCTCGGCCTGGCACCAAACCACTTGCCGAGAGAAGGTCCCGCTCCACTCCCAACACCCCTGGGGCAGAGGGACAGTCAGCCCCTTTTACAGATGGGGAAATCAAGGCCCAGAGAGGGCAGGGTCTGGCCTTGGCACCCAGGGCACGTGGCAGGGTGGGACGTACTCGCTGTGCAGGGGGGCGGCGCTCCGCCGCTTGGCCTTCTGCACCATGGTGGCCTGGTTGCGCAGGGCGATGCGGATGCGTGAGGCTGCAAGCTTGCAGGGCTCGCCATCCACCTGCACCGGGATGGCCTTGGATGTGGTGAGCACCACCTCGCGACACTGCGTCAGCCGCTCGCCGTGTCCGCCCACCTGCAGCGCGGCCTGTGGGCACAGGAAGCTTGGGTCAGATGGCACCAGGGCTGGGGGCAGGGGGGTCCCAGACTCTGCTCCTTCCGAAGCAGAAACTCTAGCCAGAGAACAAAGGTGAGAGTGACCCCTGGCCAGAGGGCAGAGGGGAGGCTGAGACCCCAGGTAGGAAAGGGAAGGGACAGAGGCAATGAGGGTGACGCTCCAGTCAGAGTGGGGAGTGAAGGTATCCCGAGGCATAGTGAGGAGAGGGGGTAGGTGCCGCTCTCAAGCCAGAGGAATGAGACAAAGAAGGGAGGTGAGGGTGAACTAGGCCGCCGTGGCCCATGGAGGTGAGTATGGGTGACCCCTTCCACCTTTGGGCTGTGCTCCCAGGCACCATGGGCCCAGGGCCCACTCACCAACGACGTCATGGTGAAGCCAATGACCTCGAGGTAGCCGTCGTCATGCCGCTGGGGCTCAAAGTCGTGGTGCTCCCCAGGGTGGCCCCAGGGCATGGTGCCCGCACAGTACCTGCAAAGGCGGGCGATGACATGGGCCTCAAAACACAGTCTCTGCAGGACAAGGACAGCAGGGCTCCCCCCAGCTCCGGTAGCCCCCTCCTCACCTGGGGATGTTCAGGAAAACAACACACTGGGGTTTCAGGTCCTGGATCTTGGGAGTCAAGTCCATTCCATCACACTGGAGGCGGGCGGGGAGGGTGTTGAGGTGCATGTGCCAGGTGGCCTCCGCCTCCCTCCCTTCCGGCCCACCCACCCACGGCAGCCTGGCCCCGCTCACCACCACTCGGATGTGCTTGGCCAGGTCCTTGGAGCTGCCCATCAGGAAGTCAGAGAAAGCTGTCTGTGGGAGACAGAGGGCGTCACCATCTGCTGACAGAGATCTTTCCTCACCAGCACCCGGCAGGGCTCCTGGGGCCTGGTGGACACAGGTGGGCACGGGCACGGGTGGTAGAAGAGGTGGGCACAGGCGGGGGTGCAGACCCCACTCACCCCGGCGTAGAACATCTTATTCCGAAAGCGGCTGTTGAATTTCTCTGGGTTGGCCTCTGGGTGGAGACAAGCAGTGGGGGCCAGTGAGTCACCCCAGCCTGCCCAGGTGGGGTTGGGGGAGGGCTGGGATGGATGCCTTCACTGGCGGGAGCAGGGTCTGACCCTCCCGGGGACACTCCTGTGCCCACCCTGCCCTGGCCTCAGTGGGAGGCTGCCAACCTCGAGACTCGTGGAACTCCAGGGTGACGTGGGCGTCAAAGCCCAGGCTGAAGTAGTTGTTGAAGACATCCAGGGGCAACTGGAAAAAGGTCAAGGGACCAAAATGAGGGCTGGGCCTCACAAATGTCCCCGCTCCAGGGGCCTCGTGTGGCCGAGCCAGCTCAGCCCATCTGTTCACAGGCTTTTCCTGGTCAGCAGCGTCCGCTAGGGCTCAGCCCAGCTCACCCGCTGTCAGGCACAGCCCTGCTCTGCCTGGTGGCTCCTGGGGGATTTCCCTGCGTGCCTGCAGCATCTCTTCCCTGTCAGCTCCCCTAACACTTCTTCCTGACATGCCATGTGGAGCACAACAGCGAGGCTTGGTTTTGCTCACTGCTTAGAGAAGTGCCTGGCAGGTAGCAGGCGCTCAGTGCATGTCTATGGAATAAAGCAGCATCTTCTGACCAGGCGTGGTGGCTCATGCCTGTAATCCCAGTGCTTTGGGAGGCCGAGGCAGATGGATCACCTGAGGTCAGGAGTTCAAAACCAGGCTGACCAACATGGTGAGACCCCATCTCTACTAAAAATACAAAAATTAGCCGGGTGTGGTGGCGGGTGCCTGTAGTCCCAGCTACTCAGGAGGCTGACGGAGGAGAATAGCTTGAGCCCGGGAGGCAGAGGTTGCAGTGAGCCAAGACTGTGCCACTGTACTCCAGCCTGGGTGACAGTGAGACTCTGTCACAAAAAACAAAAAACAAAAACAAAAAAAAAAACAAGAAAAAAAAAAGAAAACAGAAAAACAAAAATTAGCCAGGTGTGGTGGCACCTGCCTATAATCCCAGCTACTCAGGAGGCTGAGGCAGGAGAATCGCTTGAACCTGGGAGGCGGAGGTTGCAGTGAGCTGGGATTGCGCCACTGCACTCCAGCCTGGGTAACAGAGCGAGACTCAGTCTCAAAAAAAAAAAAAAAAAAACAAAAAAAAAACACAGAAAAAACAGCATCTTGTGAGGCAAGTACTATTATTCCCATCGTACAAGGAAGAAGTGGAAGTTGGAGAAATGAAGAGACACGCCCGAGGTCCCAGAACCAGCAAGTGGAAAAGTGGGATCCAGTCCCCAGTCACCTGCCCTGCCCCCCACCAACCCTGGCCAACTTACCCGGTCGGTGGCGCCTTCATCTCGGTCCTCAGGCCCTGCCTCGGGGTTGGGCTCAGCGTGGAGGTCCCAGCGGTCCAGCTGTACCACGTTCCCCTCCTCCACGTGGGAGAGGATCTTGGACACAGGCTCATCTGTGTAGCCCTGGGGGAGCAGGCAGGGACTGAGCCCTCTGTGGCTGGAGAGGCCCCAGCTGCACCCCCCTCCTATGGGTGCTTACCCCACCCCAGTTGAGGGTTCGGGCCAAGTCGTTGCCAGTACCCAGGGGCAGGATGGCAACAGGGGGTGGCGGCTTCAGGCGTAGCTGGTCCAGGGTGGAGAGGATCCAGCCCACCTGGGGGAGGAAGAACAGAGGCAAATCAGGCCCACAGGGACCCCGGCTTCAGGCCCAGCCCTGGTGCTCGGCTGGCCCATGCGGGGAGCTCACCGTGCCGTCGCCCCCGCACGCCAGGATCCGCAGGTTGTGCACTTTGCGGTACATCTCCAGCCTGGGCTCATGGGAAGATGGCAGTGGGGTCAGGGGATGTGTGCTGTACCCCAGGAGTGAGGCAAGTTCCCCCCCATGTCCCCCACAAAACCTTGGCAAGTACTTACGCCTCCTTGGGCCCTCCCTGGCTCAGGTCGAAGACTTGTCGGGGATTGAGATACCAGAGGAAAGACTGGATGATCTTTGCACCCTGGATGGGATGGGGAGCCAAGAGACAGTCAGGCAGTGGTGGGACGAAGTGGGAGCAGCAGAGGGAGAGGGGTGTGACTGTGGGAACCAGGGCCAATAAGGGGTGAGGGGTGGAGAAAGGACAGGATTTTCTCAGGATCCCTGGGAAAGAGGGATTGGGGTAGAAGCCAGAAACGGGCTCTGGGAACAGCTGCTGGCAGACGGGCTGGACCCCAACCCCCGCCCGAGCCCTTAGCTGAGAGGCAAGGCCGCGTTCACCTGGTTGCCCCCACTCTTGGGGTTCACAAACACCAGCAGGGGCTTCATGAGCGGGGAGGGGGTGGGCCTGATGATGAAGGGTCTCCAGCGGCCCTCCTGGGAGACAAGGTGAGAGGCTGTAAGCTCCTTCCCGTCCAGGACACCCTACCATCATCCTTAGCAGGCCCCCTGGGTGACTTTGTTCCCTCTTTGTACCCTCACGTACCATCTCTGGGCCAGATCTTACCAGGCCACAGAGCAGAAACTGGCATCTAATCCTGCCTTCCTCAGAGGCCCCAGAGCCCACACAGACCCCCACCAGCTGGCAGCATTAGCTGGGGGTGGAAGTTCTGTACCCTGAGCAACAGACCCCTCTCTCCTGCTCCCCTGCAGCCTCTGCCCAGCCTGGGGCTGACCTCAGGCCCTTTCTTGCTGGACTTCCTCTTGAAGGATGCCCTCTTCTTCTTCTTGCTTGCTTTCAGAGTATTCTGCAAGGGAAGCAGGGGTGTTGGTGACGAGGTGGGCAGGCTGGGGTAGCTGGCAGACCCCAAGTGCGTACGGGGCATCAAGGGTGCAGGCAGTACTCACCTGGGGCCTCCGGGCGCGGAGGATCCAGGTGGGCGGGATGACCACGGCTGCGTGGACCCCCAGCGAGCACGGCTCCTCGATCTGCTGCAGCATGAAGCAGGACACCTTGCTGTGGTACTGAGGAGAGCGAGGGGCCGGGCTCAGCGGGACCGTGTTCAGACTCGGGGACCCAAACCCAGCAGTGCAGGGCCTGGCCCTGGGGGCGGGGGCACCACTCACTGCCTGCTTGCACCACGAGCAGCTGATGGCCACAATCTCCTTGCTGTGGAAGGTGAACTTCTGCTGGAATCCCTGAGGGTAGACAGGATGGATGGGAACCAGGGCAGGCGTGGAGCAGCAGACCCAGCCCCTCTCCTGGTGCCAGCCTCTCTCCACCCAGAGACAGGGCCTCGCTATGTTGCCCAGGCTGGTCTCAAACTCCTGGGCTTAAGCAATCTGCCTCAGCCCCCCCAAGTAACTGGGAACAACAGGCATGTGCCACCATGCCCAGCTTTGAACACATTTTTTGTTTTTGTTTGGAGATGGAGTCTCGCTCTTGTTGCCCAGGCTGGAGTGCAGTGGCGTGATCTTGGCTCACTGCAACCTCCACCTTCCAGGTTCAAGCGATTCTCTTGTCTCAGCCTCCTGAGTGGCCGGGATTACAGGCGCCCACCACTACGCCCAGCTAATTTTTTGTATTTTCAGTAGAGACAGGGTTTCACCATGTTAGCCAGGCTGGTCTCGAATTCCTGACCTCAGGTGATCCACCCACCTCAGCCTCCCAAAGTGCTGGGATTACAGGCGTGAGCCACCACACCCAGTCTGAACACATTTTTTAAAATAAAAAAAAATATGTATAAGATAAGCCTGAAGAGCAGGGTGGCTTAGCCCGGGCCCCCTGACTCCCTGAAGTTACCTGCACGGCACCACATGCATACCCGTTCTGCCACACTGCAGGCTAACTCCTGCCTCACTCGGATTTTCCCTCCTTCCTACCCCCGAGGCCTGACCAGACCCCCATGTGCTGTTAAAGAAATTTACTGCCGCTTCCGAGTACCTATCACATTCATTCCCTGTTCATCACACAGGCTGTTATGAAAGGCCTGCAGTGGGCCAGGCGCTGAGAATCAGTGAAGCAAGCCTCTCCATCTTTGAGAGCCTGCACTTACTGAGGGAGGCGGGCAAGAAGCAAACAAGAAAGTGAACCAAACAACTGTGGACTGGGTTAGGCGGTCGCCTGGAAAGCCTGGCTTCAAGCCACACTGTCCTCAGGAGGGTGGGAAACCGCTGCCCAGCTTGGCGCTCGGCACACAAGTATCCATGGAGTCACCGAATGAGTAAGTCTATACGATTCTCCAAAGGGCCACTTGCAGCTTCAAAGCAGGCCAGGTGTGCCACATGGGAAGAAAACTTTCCTCCCTGCTCTCCTACTAAGCCCAGAGACCAAGAGCAGGCCAGGGTGCTTGAGAACTGAAGGCACTGCAGCCAGGCTGAGGGTCAGCCCCGGACTCTGCACACCAGGGTGTGGTCAGTGATCGGCAGGCCACACCGGCCACATGGCCTGGGCTCAGGACCGCAGGTGCAGGTGGCGATGTCCTCGGGCAGGGCCTCTCACCTTCCCACAGTGCCGACACTTGCCGTCCTGGCGTCGTCTGTGTACCCAGTGGTGCCGTACAAAGGTTGGCTGGGGGAGAAGGGGAAAAATTTCACTGGGTGAGGGGTGGGCAGGGGCACAGTCCTGAGGACTGCCCACACGGCTCAACACACGGGGCTGCAGGAAGCGCTCTGCAGTCCTGCGCATGAGTGGAGGAGGGGCTAAAGACTCTCTTCATGGCCTGGGGGAGGCTCAGACTCAGAGGGACAGAGAAGGCTGGGAAGCACCAGGAGGCACAAGCTGTCCCACCCACTCCGCAGGCAGCGCTAGTTAGGCCTCCGCATGGCAGACCTCAGACAGACCTCAGTGAGCAGCAGCCTAGAGGGAGCCGAGCCCCCTGGTGGCACTCCAGAGGCACTGCGCAGAGGCCCATGCAGGAATCTTAGGGTGGCCCCATCCCTGACCACCCTGGGCACTTACCTCGCGGACATTCCTGGAGCCTGATTCACGGAAGGACGGCTTACAGCGGAAATTTATCTGTGAAACATGGCAGTGACCACCAAAATGTCAGAACCTCCCTTCGGGGTCAGGTATGTGGTCACTCCCTCCAGGACAACCCAGAGTCATCCTCACAAGGTGGGGATACCCCCAAATCGTCACGAGAGTCCTTGAAACACGAGACACCTCCTGTGAGAAGCCCTCCTGCCTCTCTGCCTCCTCCTCACTAGCCAGAGGGATCTTTCCTTCTTCCACCCAGGACCCAGGATGAGGGGGAGGTTGGGAGCTTTGGGTCCGTCTCCCCCACTAACATGGGACCATGGTTTGCTCGTTGTTTTTTTTTTGTTTTTGTTTTTTGAGACAGAGTCTCGCTCTGTTGCCCAGGCTGGAGTGCAGTGGTGCGATCTCGGCTCACTGCAACCTCCACCTCCCGAGTAGCTGGGATTACAGGTGTGCATCACCACGCCTGGCTAATTTTTGTGATTTTTAGTAGAGATGGGGTTTCACCATGTTGGCCAGGCTGGTCTCAAACTCCTGACCTCAGGGTGATCCACCTACCTCGGCCTCCCAAAGTGCTGGGATTACAGGCATGAGCCACCGCACTCGGCCGCATCCTTTCTTCCTCGCCCTCTGGCACTCCCGACCCGGGCACACGCAGCCAGCCTGGTCCTCACACGCAGACTTGCACTGCCTGGCCCCTGGAGACCTTTAGCTAATTTGTGGAACCCTAGGTCGATTTCCACCTTAAATGATGAGTGTACAGTGCTTGGGGCTGCATTTCTATTTCCCTTCTCATAACTGTCCCTACTTCAGCCTTATTAGAGGTATAAGGAAGCCTCACTTTACAATTCAGAGGCTGGGGAAAGCAGCCTGTGTGAGCCTGCCTGAACCACTCCTAGTCTTACAGTCTCTCCCGTATGATGGCCTGGGTTTCTGCAGGCTGGGAAGCGCTGCCCCTCCATGCGAACCCTTCTGCCCCTGGCCTTGACCCGTCTGCCCAGTGCTGCCTCCACCTCTAGAAGCACAGTGCCCAGACATGCCCCCAGCTGCAAATGCACAGTGGACAATGGCCCTTGGGGAAAGGTCTCCACAGAGGCAGGGTGTAGCCACAGCTGAGTTATGAAGCTTCAGCAAATCAATGGCCTCTTCTAAGCACTAGTTTGGACATGGTGAAATGGTACAAGGGCCACCATTCGTCAATTCATTCCATTGAGTGATATTCAACGAACCCACTAGGCGCCAGGTTTGTTCCAGGCAGTGGGGATACAGCAGCTAATCAGTGAGGAGCCAGGATTCGAACGCAGGCATTTGGCTCCAGGGTCCTTGACTCTTCACCCCCGAGTGCTGGGTCACTCCTGGCAGGCCGTTTGTATAACATGTGGGTGTGAGTGCGCGCTGAAAGGGCCTCAGCACCCAAAGGGCAGGGGCGGGCAAAGCTGAGCTACCCACCCACCTTCTCCAGCTGCTCGATGCAGGGCGTGTGCACCACAATCTTGCAGGCTGCGCACTTTCTTCGAGACACTGACTTCTGCTGCAGGACAGGAAGAGAGGGCCCCTGAGGCACCAGGTAAGTCTATCTCGGAGGCTGCCTGCCCCAGCACAGCTGCCCTTTGTGTGCACTGGGAAGCCCCAGTCCTGGCATCCGGACAAAGCCCCTGCACCCCTCACCATCCTGGGGCGGCCCACAGCAGGGGTGCCAGGGAGCGGGCTCAATCCCACGTTCCCGGAAGGGCTGCGGCTACTGGCTCCACCAGCAGGGGGCGGCGTGCCCCTACGAGCACTCACCAGCATCCTGGCTACACAGTACTGCTCCCCAACGTAGCAGAAGTCCCCGGACACGTTGGTCTCGAACCAGATGTGCTCCCCATATGTCGCTGACTCCTAGCCACGGGATGGGCTTGCTCAGCACACGCTGGCCGCCCAGCCCTCCCTCCCATCAGCCCCCGCCCACCCGCCCTCTCCCAAGACAAACCCACTCCAGCGCCCCGATCGACCCTGCTCTGTTCCGTCTGCCCCACTGTCCCAACCCTTCCAGGCTTGGCTCTCCCAGCTGCCTTTAGTGCCTCCACCCGCCAGCTGCGCCTTGGCCAAGAGCCCAGAGGGTCTGGGACCCAGGGGTGTTCAGGCACTCACGCTCCAGTCCACTGTACTCCGGATCTGCCGCTCTGACTCGCTGCACGGGGCCCCAGGGGTGGGCGGAGGGGGGGCCAGGTGCTGGAGGCCCGACTTGGTGATGGCTTTCCTAGAGAGGAGAAGACAGCTGAGGAGGGGGCTGAGCACTTGCTGACCCTACTTCCTCCCACCTCCTGGGGCCTCTGCCCTTTCCGTGACCTCGGCAACAGGGAGGGCGGAGGAGCCTCCCAGCAGCCCCAGACACTAAGAGGCTCCCTGCAAGAGACATGGCCTTTTGGGGTACGCTGGCTTCAGGGTACTGCCCAGAGTGTTCCCAAGTGGGGAACCCTCAGCCAGGCAGAGCTTCAAGGCCCATGCCCAGGCCAGACCCACAGGAGGTCACACCACTCGCCCTGCTGGCCACAGCTATACCTACGCGAGCAGGGCGCTCCAGGCCTGGGGTCCGGCCGCCTTGCGCCGTAGGGCTACCTGGCGCCTGCGGGACAGTGGGCGCACACGGGTGGGCAGCATGGTGCCGGCGGTGGTGCCTGAGGCTCTTCGGCCCCCAGGGCCAGGGTGCTGGCCTGAGGGCCGCCGCTGGCTGAGGCGCCGATAGTAGCCGTGCAGGCCCCAGAGAGCGTGGTCATATACGGCATCCGCGGGGAGCAGGTGGGAGGAGGCTCGGCGCAGGTAGCGGGGTAGGGGCAACAGCGGCTGGGCGCCCCGAGGTGGGGGTGGCCCTGGTGTCTTGGTGCCTGGCTGGATGGCGCTCGATGCCTCGGCTACCACATCCTCCTGGACACCCTCCTCCTCATTCATGCCCACAAGCCCGGTCAACAGCAGGGGTGCACCCAGAAGCTGGGCCCCCACGGTGGTAGGCTGTGGAGTGAGCACCTTATCCACGATGAAGCGGGGGTTGCAGGAAGGGGGCACAGTGCTGGAGCGCCGGCGGCTGGAACCCTGGGCCCTCACCCCGCAACTCAGGAGGCAGCCCTGGAGCTGGGCGCTGGAGCGGCGCCGCTGTGCCAGTGAGGAGGAGGCCTGCCCAGCGGGGGAGCGACGCCGGGCCTTGCCTGTGGGCAGCCCCACGCTGCTGGGCCGCTGCTGCCCCTCTCCAGGGCCTGGCACCTTCCCCCGGAAATGTCTCCTAAAGAAAGTCTCCATGGCAGGCGGTTGGCTGTTGGGCACAGAGACCGGGAGCATCAGGAGCTGGATCAGGCCACGGTCTGTCCTGTGTCCGGGAGCCCATTCACAGCCTCTGCCCCATGAGAAGGGAAGCAACCAGGAGCCCATTCACAGCCTCTGCCCCATGAGAAGGGAAGCAACCCCTGAGGGAGGGAGGGGTCACTGCAGCCTCTGACCTCCATGTGAGGATCCCAGGGGTGCTCAGGGGAGCCCACGTTTACAGCTGTTGGGGCACTGATGCTCTCCCCCATTGCACCCTAGGGAGCCCTGGAGTCCCAGGGAGGTGGGTGCTTCAGGCTACCCCTTCTTCCCCCATCCAGGCACCAGAATCTACAGAGCTCTGGGCCTAAAGGCCTCCACCTGCCCTGCCGGAAGCTGATGGAAAAGAAAACAAAAAGAAAATGGGGAGTCGGTCTGCCTGGATGGACGGTGGGGCCCAGGGCAGGGCTTCCCACTTGCTGGGCCTTTGTTTTGCCACCAACATGGTGGGGGCAGGTTAGGTGTCCCCTCATGGGACATGGAGCAAACCAAGCTATAACAAAATGAGGCTCTCTGCAAAGGAACTTAATCCTGACAGGACCCCCAGAGTCTCTCAGCCCATAGCCTTGGGGTCAGGCTGAAGGTGACTCCTGGAAATAGAGAGGGTCTAATGTGTAGCTCAGGGGAGACCAGGTCTCAGGGAACTGGAGAGTCACTGTCTGGCTCTCCTGGGAGAGAGGCTGCTCAGTCTCCCTTCACACCCAGGGGGCCGTGACAATAGGCTTGGGCCAAAAGCAAAGCCTTCTGGATTCTGGGTGTGTGCGTGCCTGTATGTCTGAAGTGCTGATGGTAAGAACTTTCTGGTGCTCGACTGCTCTGTCTCACCTTTCTGAAGGGACAAAGTACGGATACCCCAGGGTGAAGCTGGGTGATGCCGGGAAACCCTTCTGACTCTGCTCCTGATGGAGCCTGTGACTGCACATTCTTCTGCGGCCCTGATGCTGGAAGCCCCCATACTCACAATTCCAAACGCTGCACAGCCCAGAGCTCCCTCCTGCAGGCAGGCAGGAGCTGTGGGCATCATCCTAGCTCCCACCTGGACCTGGCCTCCATGGACCCATCCTGAACTCATGCTTTGCTCCCTCTGCCAGCTCACCTCAGCCCTGCCTACCCTTCTTCACAGCCAGCATCGAGCTCCTGTGCCCTACCTCTCCTAACAGTGGGGGAAGGGCAGCCTGCCTGGCATGGATCAGGCTGGCGATGCCTCCAGGTACCTGAGGCCACCTGTGCCCCACAGCAGGTGATCTCCTGGGCCCTGGTCCTGGGGAGAGACTGGTGGGGGATGCATCCTAACCGCTGGCAGCCACAGAGGTCAAGGTCACAGCCCTGGGACAGTGCTGCCTGGGGCTGACAGAAGAAGCCCTGTGGTCCCCTGAAGGCTGGCATTAATTAGGCATGGTGGGTGATGCCCTGGACGCATGTTGGGCAGGAGGAAGGATGAAGGCAAAGATGAAGGGCTGGAGGAGTCAGGCCCAGGCCGCACGTCTAGCACCTTCTCCTTCCATACACTGCACTGATTTGCTACTGCCCTGCAGGTCTTGAGCAGCTTCAGGCCAGGTACAGGGGTGTTGGGGGAGAGATGGACAGGGTGGAGGTGCCTAGGGAAGCAGAGTTCTGCACAGCTCAGCTCTTGGTCTCTGCCTATTGGAGTTTCCAGCTGCCTCAGATGACAGGGAGGTCAGGGCAGTGCTCTTATGACCCCAAATAGTGCCCCACTCAAAGCAGACCACCTGGGCCGGAGGGAGCTGCAGGGGCAGGACAGCAGGCATGGGTGGAGAGCGCTGGGTCTCCCCCAAAATCACCAGTGTCACGGCTGACATTTACTGAGCCCCTATGTGTCAGGCACTGTGCTAAGCCCCTGACAAACACTTAGATCATTTCATAAACTGCAACCCCAAGGAATAGGTACTGCATCACACTGCATTCCTGATGAGGAAGTTGACGCAGAGGTGACCGCCTAGAGTCCACGGCAAGTCAGTGTGGAGTCAGTGCTGGAGTCCAAGTCTACCTAACGGCAAAGCCTGCGTCCCAGAAATGGGGTGGGTTGCAGGGTCCTTCCTCCTGGAACATGAGGCTGGGATGGGGTAGGAAAGGGAACCAGATAGGGAATAATAACGAACACCTGCTACGTGACAGGCCCTGGGCTAAGTACTTTATCATCTCGTGTAATCCTCACCACAGCCCTGTGAGGTAAGCAGGACCTGCAGCTCCATTCTAGAGATGGGGAAACTGAGGCTTCAAGAGGGCCAGTAACATGCCACAGTCCCACGGCCAGTCAGCGGCATTCGGGACCTGAACCCGGGTCTTCCCGACCTGGGGCCTGCTTTGTGTCAGGGGAAGAGGAGCCTGAAGGCCCAACTGCCCCCTGCCGTCAGGGCACCGGCCTGCCAGCCCTCCCCAGGGTGTCAGCTTTCCTGCCTGCCTGGTCAGGCCGCCCTGTGACAGCTGCCCAGCCTGGAGGAGATTAGTCACCCGGACACACCGCCTGATGCTACTGTCACCCAGAAAACAAAAGGCCACAGTCAGTGGGGGGAGGTGCCGCTGCACCCGTGGGCAGCGGTGAGGGCTGAGCCCAGCTTGCGGCCCCAGACCTGCACTGACAACAGGGGCCAGGACCCCCTCGAGAGACAAGGGCGGCTTACAGGAGCTCCTGTGGTGCCCGGCTCCACACACTGCCAGGCAGCCCAGGTCCACATCTGTCCAGGAGTCTCCTCGGCGGCCGATGATGCCGCCCCTCCCAGCAGAGTGGGGTGGGCAAGGCCGGCAGTGCTGTGTGACTGTGTGCAAGTTGGCCCCTCACGGGCCTCAGTTTCCCTGTGTGTCTGGGGAGGCTGTCAGAGTGGCTGAGCTGACAATTTGTCACAGGCTCTCCTGCTGGGCACCCATGCCTCCGTGCTCCCATGCCCCTCCCCGCAGGCCTGAGTTTCCTGTTCCTCTGGTCTCCATAGAAACCTCTGTCCCTGGTCAGCAAGAGCCTGACTCCTCACTTCCTATCTCTGCTGGGGCTTCTCCTGGGCCTTGTTGGAGCCCGCCCTGGGCCTAAGCCTCTCCCATAGCGCAGCTCTGCGTGACAGTGTCTTCTCACCTCGTGCTCTTGGTCACCTCCACCTCGCCACACAGTACGTGTAAAGGTCACCCTGAGGGCTTCAACACCAAGAGCACAGCAAAATGGCTGTCCCTCGGTCTCCGGGTGGGGAGCCTGTTACACCAATGGGGACAGGATGGGAAAGGACTCAGGGGACCCCATCAACCCTTGGCCGGCTCTGGGGCCTGACAAGGACAGGGCCTGGGAAAGGACAGAGGAAGTCAGGAGACAAGACCATTGGTGTCTGGCCGTGCACCCTTGCTGGACAGTGGCTGTGGCTGCAGGTGGCCGAGCTGCAGTGGCTGCTATCGGGGCAGGCAGGCCGGAGAGCTTCATCAGCTACAGCTGGAGCGGACAGGACACCCACCCTCCAGAGCCCAGGCCATCTCACGCCCTGTGCTAGTTTCAAGGGCGTTGGCATCCTGAATCTGCCACTGCCACCCTAGACTGATCCACTAACCTTTCTGAGCCTCAATTTTCTCATCTGCAAAATGGAGCTCACACCACCTGGTTCAGAAGATTGGCCTAAAGGAGGTCTGGATGCGATGACAGAGAGAGAGTGCCTGGTGATACCTGGCAGACAGCAGGGCCTGGCAGGGCCTACACCCACCATAGACACCAGAGCATGTGATTGTGCTACCTCCTGGGGTCTGTCTGCCCACAGTGAGGCCAGGAACCCAGAAAGGGAAGCAGGAGTGCCCAGGGTGGCCACCACCCACCGCATGAGGAACAGAGCCGGCCACAGGTGTCACCTGGGTATCTGCTCGTGCCATGAGGAATGCCCTCTGCACCCGGTACCAGGCCTGGCCCCCTGAGTTGCTCTCACAGGATACCCCATGGGACTGACCCAGAGCGCCCACTCCACACCCTGGGCAGGGCCTCGTCCGCCTTCTGCTCCGTGAAGGCTGGGCATGGTGCATGGCGACCCCACCTCCAGCAGCCCCAGAGCAAGGGCCTGCAGCTGCCTCCCCAGAACCCCCTCGGCTCTGCTCCCACAGACCTGGGTTGGAGGGAAGGAGGTGGGGAAGCTGGAAGGGAGGCCAGTCCCTCCCCAGTCAGCCTAGGGGCTGGGGAGGCAGAGTCCTCCTCCCTTCCCCAGGCTGAGACTCACCACAGGGATCCTGTCAAAAACAACAAACAAAATGTACCTCGGGGAGCAGGTGGGCCAGGCTGGATGGTAAGAAGGCGACCAGGCCAGTGAGTGTTTAGTCGGCAGGGTCTGCCCTGGCTCAGCAGGAGCTCGGGGGGACCCTTTTCCATCAGCTTCAGGAACCTGGCAGGGCAGGCTCCTTGCCTAGGGATGGTGGGGCCCGGGTCCGCCCGGATCCAACCCTCCCCGCACCCACCCAGCCAGATACAGAGGGAGGAAGCAGAAAGCAAGGAGGGGCTGGGGGCCCCTTTTGACCTGATCTGGAAGGCAGGGCGCAGGTGGGAGCTGGGGTCCCCAAGGCCGGGCTCTGGATCCAGCTCCGGGCTGGCGGCCTCTGCTGAGCAAGTCCTAGTTTGGAGAGCTAGCAGCCGTGGCTGCTCCTCTGCCCCCTCCCCCTTGTCACCCTCCTCCCTGCAGCCTGAGACAGCCGTTATGAAAATAACCCGATTGGTAACTGAACGCACTTCCTCTCCCAGCAGCGGCTCCAGGCCCTGCAGCAGGCGACGGGTGGGCGGACGGGCACACAGCGCACGAGCGTGCCTCCCAGCTCCTTTTCCCAAGGTTCCCAGAGCCAGGCTGGGTGACAACCCAGTGGCCTCCCTTCCACCTGGCACCCAGTACAGCCCAGCCCATGCCTCAGCTTGGGAACGAGGTCTAAGGAGGGAGAAGTGGGAGCCAGGCCCTTTTAGGGAGGGGGCCCCCCACTAATGCCCCCTATTTAGCCACCTAATGCCTTCTCACGCCCACTGGACAGGTTTTCTGAGGTCTGGGGAAGCTAATCACACCGGCTCCAGACAAAACAATCACAAAAATAAGTATCTGTGGAGTGTTTCACAACTTACAAAGTACTTTTCACCAGCATTACAAACGGGAGGCTGGTATTTCCCCTGTGCAGACAGCACTACTGTCCCACTGAATAGATGGGGCAACTCGAGGCTTGTGGAAGCCCGTGACTGCCCACAACTCCGATTTGGTTGAGCTGGGACTCCAGCTTCTGGGTCTTCTGGCTCTGCCAAGCTAAGGAACGCCCAGAAGACACCAGTCTGTGTTATATGTATCCTGACTGGAATGCCACCCCCCCAACTCCCAGTCCTGACATGGTACCCTAGGGTCTGGAGTGGCAGCTGTCCAACTGCCTGATCCCAAGACCTCTTTAAACTCTTTTTTTTTTTCTTTGAGATGGAGTCTTGCCCTGTCACCCAGGCTGGAGTGCAATGGCGTGATCTCAGCTCACTGCAACCTCCGCCTCCCGGGTTCAGATGATTCTCCTGGCCCAGCTTCCCGAGTAGCTGGGATTACAGGCACCTGCCACCATGCCCAGCTAATTTTTGTATTTTTAGTAGAGACGGGGTTTCACCATGTTGGCCAGGCTGGTCTCGAACTCCTGACCTCGTGATCCGCCCACCTCGGCCTCCCAAAGTGCTAGGATTACAGGCATGAGCCACCGCACCCAGCCTTTTTTTTTTTTTTTTTGATGAGGAAAGGGGCGAGGAGCTTCCACGCCCTCCCTGGGCACACCATCCTCCAGGAACCTCCATGTGTTCAGCAACTTGAAAGCTCCCAGACCCCTTTACACTCTCAAAATTGGTGAAGATCCCAAAAGAGTTTTGTTTTAGGGGGTGACAGCTATTAATATGTATCATATCAGATGTTAAAACTGAGAAATGTTTAAGATACTTACTAGCTTAAAACAATAAGCCCATTACGTTAATATAAACAACACTTTTATAAATAATTTTCTAAAAAAAAGTTAGCAAAAAGAGTGGCATCATTTTACATTTTTTGCAAATCTCTTTAACATCTGGCCTAATAGAAGGCAGCTGGATTCTCCTGTCTATCCCTGCATTCAATCTGTTGTGACATGTTGTTTTGGTTGAAGTATATGAAGAAAATTCTGCCTCACACAGACATGTAGTTACAAAAAGAAGGAATATCTTTAACAGCCTTTCCAGGTAATTATAGATTTTCTTTGCTACTACACCAAAATATGACAAATGACAGTTTCTCAAAGGTTAGTTGCAATGTGGAATCTAAAACCGTATCAGGCCGGGCACAGTGGTTCACGCCTGTAATCCCAGCATTTTGGGAGGCCGAGGTGGGCGGATCAACTGAGGTCAGGAGTTCGAGACCAGTCTGGCCAACATGGCAAAACCCCGTCTCTACTAACAATACAAAAAAAAAAAAAAAAAAATTAGCCGGGCATGATGGCAGGTGCCTGTAATCCCAGCTACTCGGGAGGCTGAGGCAGGAGAATCGCTTGAACCTGGGAAGCGGAGGCTGCAGTGAGCCGAGATCACGCCACTGCACTCCAGCCTTGGCCACAGAGCGAGACTCCATCTCAAAATAAATAAATAAATATAAATAAATATAAATATAAAACCACGTCAATGAACTTTCCACTGGACTACCTTGCATTTTGAATTTTGTAACATCAAGCACCAGTCATTGGAAAATACTGGTTTACTGAGTTATGCAGATCTTCCAAATGGTGACACATTTTATTTTATTTTATTTTTGAGATGGAGTCTGGCTCTTATCGCCCAGGCTGGAGTGCAATGGCGCAATCTCAGCTCACTGCAACCCCAGCCTCCCAGGCTCAAGTGACTCTCCTGTCTCAGCCTCCTGACTAGCTGGGATTACAGGCATGGGCCACCATGCCCAGCTAATTTTTTTTTGTATTTTTAGTAGAGACGGGGTTTCACCATGTTGGCCAGGCTGACCTCGAACTCCTGACCTCGTGATCCGCCCGCCTTGGCCTCCCAAAGTGCTGGGATTACAGGCATGATTCACAGCACCTGGCCTTATTTTATTATTTTTTTTTTGAGATACAGTCTTGCTCTGTCGCCCAGGCTGGAGTGCAGTGTTGCGATCTCAGTTCACTGCAACCTCCTCCCAGGCTCAAGTGATTCTCCTGCCTCAGCCTCCCGAGTTGCTGGGATTACAGGTGTGCACCACCATATCCAGCTAATTTTTGTATTTTTAGTAGAGATGGGGTTTCACCATGTTGGCCAGGCTGCTCTCAAACTCCTGACCTCAGGTGATCTGCCCGCCTCAGCCTCCCAAAGTGCTGGGATTACAGGTGTGAGCCTCCACACCTGGCCCACATGTTATTATACAATACCAAAAATCACACTAACTTCACTACTGATCTCATCAGAAAAATTTTAAGCCTGAGGAAGCCGTCAGGCTCTAGGAAGTGAATAAAAGGTTTCCAAAATTCTCATTTTTGCTCAAAAGCTCAAATTTTATCATTGGCAACAAATATTTTATTACTTATTTTTAAAAAATATATGTAGAGATGAGGTCTCACTATGTTGCCCAAGCTGGTCTTTAACCCGTGGGCTCAAGTGATCCTCCTGCCTTGGCCTCCCAAAGTGATAGGATTACAGATATGAGCCATGGTGGCCTGTGCCTGGCAACAAATAATGACACTGTTTTGGAAATGACAAGCTCATGTCATGCACTTTTGAGAAAATGTCTGCCAAATACCTACATCTGACTAGTTTGTCTATCAGGTGTCCAAGTACAAATGGTGTTCTTAAAAAAAAAAGCATCTAGTACAGCTTACAACTGCATCGAGTTAAGAGCTTTTCCTCATCACAGTTTGGTTTGCAGCAAAGGTGCCTTATATATATTTCATATTCCTTCATGTAAAATATCAGAAGATATAGGTACACAAGGGTCTAGACTTTATAAAATTAATGATCTTCACTACTTTTAAAGAAATGTATGTATGGAGTAAGGACTCTGATGTTGGGGCCCCTGCCTAGATTCGCGTTGAGGGGCTAGCAGTTTTACCCACCACTGCTTTTGTGCCATCAGCACAGCAAAAAAAAGGCAGGAACCAGGGTATCTCTGAAAATAGTTTTGACTTTATCAAATCCCTGAAATGGGTCAGGGCACCCCCAGGACCATACTTTTTAAGACCACTGATTCAGAGTGAATCTGCCTTCTCCACCCTGGCAGACGTGGCTCCTGCGGTGTGGCACTAAGCCTCCTGTACTGTGACACGAAGCCTTAGTTCTAACCAAGCCAGCCTATTCTCTGTGCCCCAATCTGGCTGTGCCTGACTTACTGCTGTGCCGCCGCACCTGGCACACCTTCTGCCCCGAATACTGGCCTCCCTCTCTACCTGATAAGCAGCTGCCTGCTCACAGCCAACGGAACACCCCTCCTACTCACAGCTCCGCACTGCCCATTTGGCTCCCCTGCCACTAGAGCCCTGGGAGGCCTGCTTCTTTCAGCCCACATGCCTGCTCCTCCACCAGACCGCGAGCTCCTGGGGGGCCGGGGCCAGGTCTAGCGCATCTGGGCATGCCCGGCATGGTGCCTGGCAGTGAGTCCAGCATTTACTGCTGATCAGTGCAGGAGGAAAGAACAGGGAATTCCACAGGGGAGGGGCCAGCACCTTAAGGGAGGAGAAAGGCTTCTTCCACCTTGTGTAACCACATGCAACGGCTGACCACAGGCTCCAGCTGGCTCAGGCCACTTCTCTTTGTTGGGTACAAGGGGATGGCAACAGCCTTGGTTTGGGTGGCCACCTTCCTCTCCTCTCTAGAGGACCCCAAGAGTGACACCTGGAGGCCCCTTTCTGGGCTGGATGCTATCGCCCGCTCCATGTTCTCCATGGCTTTCTCATGAAAACTAGATAGTCGGTTTGGTGACATGAAGTCACAAGGGGAGGGTGGTGGGCAAGGAAAGGGGAGGAGGGGCTGTCTCAGAGGCTTGGGGGCTAGGCGGGGATCCTAAGCTGGCCTGAGCTCCTTGGTGAAATACCCCCAGTCTCTTCTTTCACATCCGAGTCCCTGACTCAGCCCCTGCTAGGCCTCAAAGAGATGTTTGCGCAACAAATGACCAACCCATTCCTTTAGTGCCTCCCTCCAAGCCAGACTCCCGCTGCCATCAGAATTCATCCTAAAGCACCCAATCACCTTTTACTGACTCTACTGTCAGCTGAGCAAAATGCAAAGACCTGGGGCTGGCAGGCAACAGGCCTCCCAGCCTCCTCTCTGCTCTTTCATATTTTTAATGCTGTATTTGACACTTACATAACTCACTCCACCAGACACTACTCTAAGTGTTTTTACAAATATTAAGCTACGAATCCTCCTAAGAATAGTTGGTATTCTTATCCCCATGGCCCGTATCCTCATATTGCAGATGAGGAAACTGAGAGACAAAGCGGTTAAGTCATTTGCCTGAAGTCGTCCAGCTAACATGTGGCAGTGCTGGGGTTTGAACTCAGTAGTGTGTTCCATGGCACATACCCTCGACCCCTCAGGCTCCACCCTGGATGCTTCTGGCAAACAAAACACCGCGGGTCCCTTTTCCACGTGGCACCACGTGGCATCCGGTGGTCTCCCTACCTGGAATACCACTCCCCTCTCTACTCAGTGAATTCTCCCTCATGGTTTTCCTCTCAGACCCTGGGCAATCAGCACTAATGTGCAAATCTGCATCCCCGGACAGGCTGTGAGCCCCAGGGCCTCACATTGCTTCTAATGGCATCCCCAGAGTGTAGAAGTGCTGGGTGTGGTTTGAAGAGTGAGTGGAGGGAACAGCGCATGGTCTGGACTCAGCCTCATGGATCCCGCTGACAGCACAGGCTTCAGGTGGGCACAGAGCCCCAGGAGTGGGCCAGCTCCCGAGAACTTCCTGCTGCACTGGGTGGACAAGTCTGGTCTGGGCTGAGCTCTGGTGTCTCAGAGGCAACACTGAAACCGATCCCTGATGGGAATGCCAATATATCTCCCTTAGCCTCCCAAAGGGGCCCCTTTGTTATAAACCCCTCGCGGGCCCCCACTCTTCTCTGGTGACCGTCCCATCCTTGTCTTCTCCTGTGTCTGCAGAGGGCTCCCATTCCCCATCTGCTGGGAGAAGCATTTCCCCCTCACCCCTCATTCAATATTAACACCCTGGCCGGGCGGGTGGCTCATGCCTGTAATCCCAGCACTTTGGGAGGCTGAGGCGGGCAGATCACCTGAGGTCAGGAGCTCGAGACCAGCTTGACCAACATGGAGAAACTCCATCTCTACTAAAAATACAAAATTAGCCGGGTGTGGTGGCCCATGCCTGTAATCCCAGCTACTTGGGAGGCTGAGGCAGGTGAATCGCTTGAACCTCAGAGGCAGGGGTTGCGGTGAGCCGAGACCGCGCCATTGCGCTCCAACCTGGGCAACAAGAGCAAAACTCCATCTCAAAAAAAGAAAAAAAAAAAATTTAACACCTCCCCCCTCAACTTTCTGACCATGTTGCTCCCTCCCCCATCAGCCCCCAGGGCCCCACCCCACTCTCCAGGCTTCCACACTACTCACACAGGGGACAAAGGCCTTCACAGTAGGTTTAGCTTCAAAGGCCCAGAGGATCTGCCTCTGACCAGCTACATGACCTCAAGCTAAGCCTTTTAACCTGCCTCAGCCTCAGTTTCCTGATCTGATAAATAGGGCTAATGCCCACCCTCGTCTCTCTCAAGGGAGTGTTGCAGGCTTGAAGGAGAAAGTGTTTGTTCCTGGGAAACAATTCCCCAGTTTACTGAAAGTTTTAAGAAAGAAAATAGCCGGGCGCGGTGGCTCATGCCTGTAATCCCAGCACTTTGGGAGGCTGAGGCGGGCGGATCACGAGGTCGGGAGATCGAGACCATCCTGGCTAACATGGCGAAACCCCGTCTCTACTAAAAATACAAAAAATTAGCCGGGCGTGGTGGCGGGCGCCTGTAGTCCCAGCTACTTGGGAGGCTGAGGCAGGAGAATGGCCTGAACCCGGGAGGCAGAGCTGGCAGTGAGCCGAGATCGCACCACTGCACTCTAGCCTGGGCGAGAGTGAGACTCTGTCTCAAAAAAATAAAATAAAATAAAAAAATAAACACAGAGGCCTAAAAATTAGGACAACTACTTCGGAGCACAATTTGGCAACATCTGTCTAAGCTGAAAATACACAGACCCTGTGAGCAAGCACTGGTGGAGAGAACACAGAGGGATCGCTTGCAATAGCGAAAAACTGCACACCACCCAAGTGTCCGTCAACAGAGCCTGGGCAAATAAGCTGCTGTTACACAATGGAATCGGACGTGGAGGTTAAAATGGATCCGTGAGAATTCATGTTTAGGATGGTTAAATCTCCAAAACAATATTGAGGGAAAAACCTAAATGCAGAATATGCCTGGTATACCATTTAAACCAGAGTAAAATCATACGAAACAGCACTGTATGTTGCTAGGCATGAATACCTATGTAGGACAATTTTAAAAACAGGCACAAGAACATCACACACACCAAAATCAGAATTGTGGTTTCCTCCAGGGAGTAAGACACAGGGGCCTCCATCTCTATCTAAAGCAAATATGGCCTAATGCTAAGCTCCAACCAAGCTAGGCAGTAGGTGTCACCTTATTCTGCACACTTTTCTAACGCCAAGATATTTAATGTGTTTAGAAAGATTTCAAAATCATTTCTTAAAAAGACTCCAGAGGCTGGGCACAGTGGCTCAGGCCTGTAATCTCAGCAACTCAGGAGGCCAAGGTGGGAGGATCACTTAAGGCCAGGAGTTCGAGACCAACCTGGGCAACATAGCAGGACCTCGTCTCTACAAAAGAAAGAAAGAAAGAAAAAATGAGCCCGGTATGGGGGCCCCCACCTATAGTCCTAGCTACTCGGGAGGCTGAGGTGGAAGGATTGCTTGAGCCTAGGGGTTTGAAATTACAGTGAGCTATGATTGTGCCACTGCACTCCAGCCTGGGTGACAGAGGGAGATCCTGTGTCCTACAAAAGACCCCTTGAGGGAGACCAGCCCCCTAGAGCTCCCTGGGTCTACCAGGGATGGTTTTGGCAGCCTGTCCCTCACCCTTTCAGGGCCCTCAGGATGGAAGGAAGGTCTCCCCCAAGGGGATGCCTTCCAGAGGTGGGTGGGTGGTGGCAGGCTGTGTCAGTGGGGTGTCCGTGTGGGTTGGGGAGCAAGAACCAGCTTGCCCCCTTTCACAACCGCCCCCGCCTCTCTCTGTAAAATGTCAGCAAGCTGGGGAAGGGGGCGGAGAGACAGGCAAGCTGTTAACCCGCGAGATGCTGGGGTGTGGGCGGTGCGGGCCCAGGCTCCCAGACAGCTATTTTGGCATGTGCTGAGATGGGCTCATCCCTGGCAGGGGAGAGGCCTCTACGTGGGAGCTCTGAACTGATGCTCTGCCAGGAGCAAGGGGAGGAGGTCTCAGTGTAGATGAGGAGGATGCTGGGGCCCTCCCTCTCCTCTCAGACCTCTCACCATGAGGCACTGGGTACGAGTGAAGCGATCTTCCCTGCCCCAGACCAGCCACCGACCCCTGGGTGGTATGGGGGCTCCTCTGAGCATGTCCATTGGGCTTTAGACTCCCTGCGCCCTTAAAGCAAGGAAAAAGATCAGACTTGTCCTCCACGCCAGACCCAGCCCGGACGCCACATGATGACGGGCTCACAGCCCCAGTCTCTTTACCAAGGGTCTCTCCCAGTCCAGCCTGCTCCCCTGACTTGAGGGATCTTGGTGGCCATTCTCCCTTGGGGGTCCAGGTCAGATTATCTCATGGGTCTCACACCGTTGGCACCGGAGGCAAAGACCTTTCACTAAACCCCATGGAGCACTCAAACCTCTTCTTAGGTCTTCCCAGTTTAGGGATGGCAAATAATAGAAGAAAAGAGTACTCCTAAGTAGAGTGGCCCAATGTCATGAGAAGATCATTGGGCTGGGCTCCAGTGTGAGCTGGGGGATCCTGGCCAGGCCCCTGACCTTTCTGAGCCTTGGTTTTCTTATCTGCAAAATGGGAATCAAACCAACTACAAAGATGTTATGAAGATCACATGAAACTGATGAATTTACAAGCTTCTGGCAGCTGTTAATCACCAAAGACAGAGGAGCTGGAACGCCACTCCTGTCTCTTCAGCCTCTCCCTCCCCTCCGCGGCCACAGAGCCCTTGGTCTCACTCGAACCTGCTTTCCCGACCTAACCACGTCTCTGGTGTTTCAGCGAGGCAGGGGGTGAAGAGGAAAGATGGCAGAATGATAGCTCTTCCAGGGCATTTGGTTAGTTTTGGCCTACCCTCCACACCTGTGACCCAAGTGCCAGCCAAGTCCTGTGCTGAAACCCACACTGCAGGCTGGATGTGGGGCTGACCCCGACACGGAACAGAGGAGAGCCAAGAAGAGCAAGGAATGAGTGCCTGGCACCGCTCAGGGGTGGCCCAGGAACTCGGGGAGCGGAAGAACCTGGCCGCAGGTGTGGCAGATCCCGCTTCCTGCACACACTGCCCCCGCAGCTGACTTAGAGGGCTGTTCAAGGAGGAGGCAGAGGGGGCAGGGAGGAGAGGTGGTCAGCCTGTCCTGGGTCCTGTGATGAGGCCTTAATGAACATGGCCCTGGAAGCCCAGCGCGGGAGTCCCAGATGACCCCGGCTAGCTGCGAGAACTTGGCTGAGTCAAGGCCACCTGGCTGGGCCTGGGCCTCAGGGGACGGGAGGGGTGGGGCCAGGAGGCTAGAGGCACCCACCCAGCCTGCCCTGGGCCGCACTGATTGGCTCCGCCCGGCAGCTAGAGCTGCAGGTAACTTCCAGCGAGTGCCTGTGGGTCCCCGTGGGCCTGTGGACTGGCGGAAGGAGAAGCTCCTCGCCCACCGGCCTCCCACAACGGCAGCTGTCGCCCCCTTGTGTCGCTCCAGAGGCACTGCAGGGCAGCCTCCAGGGGCTGCTTCCACACCTCCCAATTCTCTCCTGCCTTAAAGTGGGTGGAAGGGCTCCGGATCCCTGCTTCTCCGAGGGGCCCGCGCGGCCTAAGACTCAGGGCTAACCTATGACTCCACTTTCACCTCTGCCCCGGGGGGGCCACTGGCGAATTCTGGAGAGGCCTCCAGGGAGCCGAGGAGGGCAGGCCCGTTTCTCTCACTCTCCCCCAGCCCAGCTGCCTGGAGCCTCAGCTTTCTCTCACCAGGGGTCACTTAGTCCTTCCTCTGTCCTTGCCTGAGGGGACACCAACTCTCAAGCTCCTGTGCCAACCGAGAATCCTGGGCAGCTCCACATCCCAGGATCTGACCTTTTTGGAGTATGGCATGGAGACAAAATGACAAGAATTGTCATTCCCTCCCCTGACAGCGTTTGGCACAGAGGGAGACTGTGAGAATTCTACACTGGGTTCCCAGCAGGGGCCAGCTGTATACTCTGGCACCTGACCTTGTGTGGGGAGCAAACACAGTGAGATGAACGCAGCTCGGCCACTGAGGCCCATTTTTCTTTCCCAAACTTGCTGGAACCCAAGGATTCTAGGTTGTCCCTGCCTCTCACAGCAACCTGGGCTGCTCCCAGCATTAGCCCAGGTGAGACAAACCACTCAAAGAGGTTTCCTTTCGCTCCCAGACACCCTGGCACCATAGACAGGGTTCTCACCTCTGCAAAAGAGGCGTCCCTCAACACGTCCCTCCCTATTCATTGCAGAACCAACTCAAACAGGGGCTGCTTCTGCTCAGGCACCCGCTGGGCACCCTCTGCAGCCCTGACTTCAGGGCCATGCTCGCTGGGGCCGTGTGGCAGTGCCTCTAAATGGGACCCATTGTCTCACACTGGTTCTGCAGGTGTGCCTCCTGCCCTCTGGGAGCTTGTGACTTTGAGCACCGTGAAGGGCAGGGGATGGCGGCACAGACGCTCAGGCTCCTAGGGGCTCTGAGGCCAAGGCTCCTTATGTCTACATGTGTGAGGTGCCAGGTAATTTCTGATGCCCCTGGGGTGTAAAACCAGCTAATCCAGAAGCCCTGTGACCTGCCAGGATCAGGCTGCTGAGACCAGGCCAGAGGATAAGCGGGTCCTCCTTCCCGGTGGGTCCTGGAGGAGGAGAGAGAGTCCACTTCTCTCCCACTCCTGGCTGCCCAATCCTTAGGGTCAACAGAAGCTTAAATGGAAAGGTCCTGCCTGCCCTCTGCTCAGGGTAGAGGAAAACTAAATACCCTGGGATCAGAGTAGGGGCCTGTACCTCCTCTCCTCCTCCTCCTCCTCAGGGAGGAGACTGATAGTTCCGGCAAGAAGTAAGGTGGGATGCAGTTGGGGTGGGAGGAATCCACAAGCTGGGGAGAATCATGGCTCACTGAGCTAAAAAAAAAAAAAAAGGGAGATGGCAAGCTGCCACCCCCCGATTCTGAGAGGATGACGCCAGTTGTGTGGGGCAGAGATGGACTTTAAGGAAAAGCCTCTTTCAGCCCCACAGGGGCTGCCATTCAGAGACTGTCCTACCCAGAGGGGCCAGGATGGCAAACATGTGGCCCATGTGCCATCAAGACCCCCTGCCAAGCCCACAGCAGACACTGCTAATTGTTCATGGAACTCTCCCCATGAGCCAGGGCCCGCATGCAGAATTCTCCACCTGGCTTCAGCAGCCACTGCCAACCTAGTTGTTACCCTTGATCTTCCCGTCGGGCCCCTCAACCCCAAGGCTGGATGTGTGTATGTGGGTGGGGTGGGGAGGGGGCGGGATGGGGGACATGGGGTGGATGACTGGGGAGAAGCAAGAGCTAGGTTAAGAGCTAGCATGGAGCTGGGATAAGATGAAGGGCTGGTTTCAGCTGGGGCTTCGAGGACTTTTACCTGAGGCTGCAACAAACAAACAAAGGTAGCAGGACCAGCCAAGCAGCATTGGAGGGGGCAGAACCCAGAGCAGGTGTACTATTCCACCCTTCCACATGTCTGCCCCCAGCACCCACCCCTTGGCCCCATCAAGTCAAAGGGAAGGAGGCCAGCCCCAGTGAGCTCCCAGGCCTGCCAGGAGAAAGTGCTTTCCCTTGCTGCTCTCTGCCTGATACTACTGGGTTCTCTGAATGTATTCATTTCTGAAGGCCCCACTATCCCCAGCACAGTGCTCCCAAACAAAGGACACTCCTTACATGCTTCCAGAGGTGCTGCTGAATTTTCTTTCCTCTCATCAGGCATCCTATAAGAGCACTTACACTCCCCAGCGTGACGGACTACTGTGCTTCTCAAACTTGATGGGACATGAGAATCACCTGGGAAGCTTCAAACAATGCCCAGGCCCCACCTCCAGACCTGATGGGTCAGACACGCCAAGGGAAGATCTAGGAATCTGTATTTCTTAAAGCTCCCTTGGCCATTGTGATGTTCCGTTTGGGATCCTGGTATAGAGAAAGGGATGTGGATTTTGGAATCACACCAACTTGACTTCAAACCTTATCTCTACCTCTTCCTTGCTATGTGACTCTGAGCAAATCCCCTCTGACTGTGTTTCTTTCATCTATAAAAATGGAGAAACAGGCCAGGTGTGGTGGCTCACACCTATAATCCCAGCACTTTGGGAGTCCGAGGTGGGAGGACTGCTTGAGGTCAGGAATTCAAGACCAGGCTGGGCAATGCTGTGTGAGATCTCATCTCTACAAAAAATTGGTTTTTTTTTGTTTTACAAAAGGAAGAATACCACCTACCCTGCTTATTTTAGAGAATTACATAAAGGTATCTGTTGGTTCTCTGGTTTCTTGTTCTTCCTCCCGAATGTGCTCATCCCTATACCCACAAACCTGTGCCCTTCAGAAGGGGCACAGCCACAGGTCAGAAGAACCCAACACTTGATACCCTGTGGGCAGCAACAGGAAGCCTCTGGTGGCGCCCCTCCCTCCCCCTGCGGAGCCTGTGAATACTGGAGGCTACATCCTGCAGAGCTGGGTGTAAACTGCTCCATCTTGCAGGGCTGTGGGTGACAAAACAGAGCTACTGGAAGTTTCACTCCCTGCTCTGTTTTATATGACATTGAAGCCTGCGTGGTAACACAGGAGCCCACGGAGCTCCATCTGCCAGTGTAAGAATTCAGATCTGTGCATGTGCTCAGAGACAGAGTGCAGGTGCAAAGAGTGGGCCCTAGCCCGGGTGAGACGGGTAGAGGGCACAAGTCAGCATCACGGGTATGCTAGCCCACACGACAGGAGAAAACCGCCCATGTTATTGGTGGGTAAAGTCTACCCAGGGAAGGGGCAGAGCAAAGCTAAGGGGCGGGGTGGGGGTGAATGCCACCAAGTCTAGGCAGCTGCAGAAAAGTGAGAGGGAGGCCTTGGGCAGACTCCAAGTGGTCAGAGTTCAGTCTGAGGTGGCTCTGGGGTCCTTGGCTGATTGGCTACAAGCTCCTTGGCCACCAGGGAAGGGCAAGGCTCGGTCAGGAAGAAGCGCAGGGAGCCAGGTCAGGTACTCCTGGGGCCTCACGTCCCTTACCTTACACCACGGCTACCAGGGCAGGCAGCGGCTCACGACCAAGAGCAGCACACTTGCCATGAACTGCCTGCACTCAGTCTTTCCACACTCTCCCCCCGGTTCCCCGCTAGAGTCCTGGTCAAAGCTCTGTCACAGGCACAAGATGGTGACATTTGGAGTGCTGGGGGAGGGGGCAAGATGAAGCTTGAACAGCCAGCAGATTCCAGACTCCAGCCCACCCCATCCCTTTCCCAGCATGGGCTGGAAGAGGGTAGAGGGAGACATGCTGCCTGCCTAGCAGAGGGATGGGCTGGGGTCTCTCTGCTAATTAAGAGCAAGGTAGGGCAGATGATCAGGCACCCCCAACCCCAAGGAGAAGCTTAACATGTTAAACAATTAAACCAGTGACCAGAGCTTGGGGACAAGCCATGTGTGGTGACGGTATCAACGGGGCTACGTTCTGCAGATGCCACGCAGTGATGGTAGGCAACCTGGTCCCACGAAAGTCCAAAGGGCGGTGTGATCCCCACCTCAGTGGTGCCAGGAGGCTCAGAGAGGCCCTGTTCTATCAGTGCCAAGAAGGCGTGGGTGACCAGTCCTGGGGGCCCAACCTGCTTGTGCCGGGGGCTGGGGTGATTCCATCTTCCTGCTGGAGGGTTGGGAGCCGATCCTCCCACGGTACTACACATGAGGCGCACTAGACTGCCGGTGCCAGGGAATGACCCCCACCCGGTGACAGTGCCAAGCCGACCGATCCCGCCCGTGTCCCGGCCCTGGGGGATGACTCCCAGTGGGTGCCCACGCCAAGACGGCTCGTGCCGCCGGTGCCAGCCTCTCCCCGACTCAGTGTCAGTACCGAAGTGGCCCGGACCCCCAGTGGCCGAGGAATGTCCCCCGGTGAGGGAGCGGTAACCTGCCGGTGCCTCGGTGCCTGCCCCGCCGCCGCCCCGCTCACCTGTGCCCGAAGAGCCGCAGCCCCGGGAAGCGCCGCTTGTTGAGTCGCCGCGGCGCCTTGTCCGGCTCGGGACCGGCGTCGCGCTCGGAGCCGCTGGACGAGGCGGAAGCCGACTCGGAGTCGCTGCTCCGGGCCTCGGGGCTACCGTCCCGCGGCTCCATCCGGCCCTAGCCCCGGCCGGCGGAGGGCCCGCGGGAGACGCCCATGCCGGGCCGGCGGCCGGGGCTCAGCACGCCCGCTCCGCGCCGCCCGCCACCTCCATGGCGCGCGCTCGCTCCGCCCGCCCCGCGCCGCGCGCCCCCGCTCCCCACGCCCAGGTGCCCGGGAAGCCGCTGCCGCCGCCGCTCCAGGAAGTGCCGCCAGCCGCGGCCGCAGGACCCCGCATAGCTGGCCGGGCCGCTGCCTGCCCGCCGCCGAGCACGCCCCCTCGGCCGCACGGTGGCACCGGGCCCGCAGCGCCCTCTGCCGGACGCCCGCTGCGCTGCAGCCCGCTGGGGCGGTCCGAGGGGCGGGGCGACGAATGGGCGGGGCAGCAGAAAGCCCTGCCCCCAGCCCGGCCCGGCCCGCCTGGATGGGACTGAATCTCCCGGCCTGGCACACTCGCACTGCGCGCATCCAGACGCGCATCTTTCCTCCCCCGATCCCTCCGCTACCAAACAACTGCACGCTCACAAGTGTACACTCGCGAGGGCTGCTGTCACCACCTCCCCTCCGCTCTCGCACACCCTACTCATAGCCACTCACAATCTCCACCCATACCTCCTTGGCTCCCCCAAATCGCACCCAGGGGAACAAAAGTCACACAGTGCTCCCCATGCACGCAGAACAAACACATCCCTTACACAATTATGCCCACTCATTACTTAAACGAACACTTCCCACCCCAGCCTCTCGCACTCAGTGACCAAAGTCACTTAATGACTCGCACACACACCAACAAAGAACTCACAAGTTTCTCCTACAAAGTCATCCTTCCACAGCTATTCACAATGGTTTCCAACCTTCTCACCCAGGCCCAACACATCGCATTTTCCTGACATAGTATTCAACAGAACCTATAGATCTCATATGCTACGGGAATCACCTGCACAGCCCTTACACACTCACAAATACACAGAAGGACAACAGGTACCACACTCCCATTCACAAGCACACATGCCCACACAGAACACACACCTTTCTCCTACATACAAATACTCCCAGGACAATGGTTACCGGTTGCCACATCCCTCACACATATGTATGTGTGTGCATATGCACACACTCCCATCCAGAAATATACCTCACATGCACACACAAAGACACCCCACAATGCAGCCGAGGCCGTCCCCCTCCAGAAATGAGAGCAATTGGAACCCAAGCAGTCACCTGTAGGGGCACAGCCATCACACACACCGGGGCTGTTTCTGATGGCCCCCGCAGGGCTGACGAAGGGAGGCCAGGAGCTGGGAAGCATGGTCTTCCACCTCCCCAAACCCTACCACCCTGCTGCCCACACCAGCTGCCCACTACTTCTGTGTGCACGCCTCTCTGCCAAGCCACATCCTGTGTCACCTTCGCTTTCATCCTCCCCTCTTGGGTTCTGGCAGCCCGTTTTCCAGCCTTAGTCAGCCGCAAATAGCCAATGCTTAGGGCTGTGACCTGCGGACAAGCCTGTGATTTTGAGGAAGAACCAGCACCCCGAGGCCCAGAACCCTCTCCCAGTTTCCTGCAAGTTGGGAGAAGGTCTGATCAGGGAGGTGGGGCTCCAGCCCTCCAGCCAGCAGCTGGTGCCAGGGTGGCCAGGAGGAGGGCAGATCAATCCCCAAGTATGCCTGACAACTGGCCTCTGGGGTGCATGGGTCCTTTTGGGGAAGTTTCCCAATGGCTCTTACTCCAAGCTCTGAGAGAAGAGATCAGAGGCAACTGAAGACCCCACGGAGTCTCCACAAGGCCTTGCAGCTGGGTCAGAAATCTCCAGCATCCAGTGCCACACTCCTGGGGGGGCTCCTCTTCCCAGATCCCCCCACTGCTAGCTTGCTCAACTCCTGGCCTCTCTCGAGCTCAGTTCCTCCACACAGTCCAAACATCAGAGCTCCCTGCACCCTGCCAATAACTCCTTTGCCCTACTCTGTGCCTCTGCAGAGTGCTGGATGACAGATGGGTGACCCTACTTCTGTCACCCCCATCTCAGATAAAAGGCTCATAGAGGGACAGAGGTCCCATGCCCACTCCCAGGCCACCCCTTGTACCTACTGTGTCTGGGGTGCCTCTGATGGGATCTGTGGCACGTCCCAGGAGCGGTAGCGCCACATCTGCCTCAGTGACCCCGGCCGCTCCCCTTCTTCCGTCCCCAGCGCCTCCACTGGGCCCAGAGCTGAGGATTCATTGCAGCTTCCCCCGGCACTGTGGCCAGCCCCCGGTGCGCTCATCCTGCCCGGCGACTCTCTTCCTCTTTCGGCACTTCCTGACGGGGGTGGGGTCGAGGGGGGGGCCTGCTAGAGGCCGCTGGCCGCCCAAGCTGAGGACCACAGGCTCAGGGCTCATAGGCGCCTTCCGCTGGCTGGGGCCAGCTGCCGTGAAGAGCTGCACAAGAAAGCAAGGGGCAGGTGGGGACAAGCCCAGACCAGCAGCCAGGAGGCAGCCATGGGGCTTGCTTGGGCTGGAATCTGCACCTGGGCTCCTGTCTGGTTTTCCTCTCCATTTAAACTGTCTGATTTTCAACTCTTGGTCCTGCTGAGGTCTCCCGCTTTATGACAACCACCAGGTACAATGGCTGGGTGTGCCCAGCCCTCAAAGAGCGCTCTCTTCCTAGCACTTCTGTGTGCAGCATACCATCTTACACAGGGCTGGGCATACAGGAAGGTGGTGTAGAGAAATGAGCAATGAGGATGGAGCCTGGAGACATGAGCATGTGTCCTGTTCTGCCTCTTACCAGCTCTGTGTGGCCTGGATCAGGTCATAAACCTCTCGGAGTCCTCTAAATAACTTTTGGGACAAGGTAGCCTATAAACAAATAAACTAATGAATACATGTGCCAGGGAGATTTTCTGAGCCTCAGTTTTCTCATCTGTAAAGTGGAGTAATAGGCCAGGCATGGTGGCTCACACCTGTAATCCCAACACTTTGGGAGGCCGAGGTGGGCAGATCACCTGAGCTCAGGAGTTTGAGACCAGTCTGGCCAACATGGTGAAACCCCATTTCTACTAAAAATACAAAAATTAGCCCGGCGTGGTGGCAGGTGCCTGTAATCACAGCTACTTGGGAGGCTGAGGCAGGAGAATCGCTTGAACCTGGGAGGTGGAGGTTGTGATGAGCCGAGTTCGCGCCACTGCACTCCAGCCTGGGTGACAAGAGTGAGACACTGTCTCCAAAAAAAAAAAAAAAAAATTGAGCTCATGGTGTTATCTGAGGAATAAAGAAGAGATAGGAAGGTTGACAAATTAATTCATTCAATAAATACTTATTGAATGCCTTCTGTGCATCAGGCACCGTATCGGAGAACATAGCTCTAAAAACAAGGAAGCAGGGCTCTGTCCTCACAGAGCTTAGATTCTAGTGGGGAAGACATTCAGGAAACAAACAATCTATGTACAATATAATGTCAGCAAACAAGATGTGCCATAAAGATTGGGAGGCTGAGGCTGGTGGGTTACTTGAGGTCAGGAGTTTGAGACTAGCCTGGCCAACATGGTGAAACCCCCTGTCTACTAAAAGTACAAAAACTAGCTGGGTGTGGTGGTGGACATCCGTAATCCCAGCTACTCTGGAGGCTGAGGCAGGAGAATCGTTTGAATTCGGGAGGCGGAGTTTGCAGTAAGCTGAAATCACACCACTGCACTCTAGCCTGGGCAACAGAATGAGACTCTGTCTAAAAAAAAAAAAAGATGTGCTATAAAGAAAAATGAAGCCAAAGGAAGGGAGAAGAGTGATGAGAGTGACTTAGGCAGGGGGAGGGGATCAGGGAGGGCCTCTCTGGGGAGGTGATATTTGAGAGCAGACCTGAATGAATGGGGAGCGTGAGCTATGTGACTTACCTGGGAGAATAGCATTCTAGGTGGAAGTAGAGTCAGAGCAAAGGCATGGAACAAAGAATGTATTTGTGTCTGGAGAATTGCAAAAAGGCCAGCATGGCCAGAGAACAGGGAGCCAGGGGGAATGCGTTAGGAGCTGGAAAGATCTCCAGAGGCCAAACTGTGCTGGAGTTCAAGGCCATTGTGAGGATTTGGTAAATAAATACTAGGGCATATATTCACTCTTTATTCTTAGGACTGGTTCTAGGAAGGAAACTGTACCTTCCTCAAGCATTCTTTAATCGCCCTGCTCTATAACTAGTTCTTTAGTTGTATATGTGTTTGTTACTGTGAATTTCTTGAGGACAGAAACAGCATCAGTTCAGTTCAGTAAACATTTATGCTACAGAACCCTTCAAGATGCTATCCCGACCCTTAAAAACCTCCATCTGGTGCTGTAATCACCTTTGTGTCCCTCATGATGGGAACATAATATTTTTCAGTAAATATTTGTTTAATAAATGCATGCTATGCAATTAATAATTAATACTCAGTAATCATAAAACAATGGCTAATAGTTCCTGAACATTTCTGTGCCAAAAATCTTACTGAATATGTAACGTAGCTCTTTGAATCCTCTTAATGACTCTAGGAGGTAGATCTTGTTATTTTCCTCCTTTTTTTGCTTTTTTTTTGTTTTTTTTTGAGACTGAGCCTCACTCTGTCACCCAGGCTGGAGTGTAGTGGCGTGATCTCTGCTTACTACATCCTCTGCCTCCCAGGTTCAAGCGATTCTTGTGCCTCAACCCCCAGAGTAGCTTGGATCACAGGCGTGCGCTACCATGCCCAGCTAATTTTTGTATTTTTAGTAGAGACGGAGTTTCACCATGTTGACCAGGCTGGTCTTGAATTCCTGACCTCAAGTGATCTGCCCGCCTTGGCCTCCCAAAGTCCTGGGATTACAGGCATGAGCCACCGCACCTGGCCTTATTTTCCTCCTTTTACAGATGGGGAAATCAAGGCACAGGGCTGCTAAGCTTACCTGTCTAAGGTCACCCAGCTGGTAAGTGGTAGAAGTGAGAATCTAGCCCCAGAATCTGTGCTCTTAAATAAAACATCCTATTGCTGCTCTAAGGTAGGGGATATGGCCATGTAATGCCCCCAAGGCTCAGTCCCCACTTTTCCACGTTTCCTCTCCAACCCATTATCTCTGAATGCCTCAAGATGGGTTCTATATGCTGTGGCCTCATCGGAGACTGTGTCCACCAGACCAAGGTCTATTCTGGAAGGAGGCTGTGCAGGGCCCTGCCTTCCTCTTGCAGGCATTTTGCAAGTAGCTCGAGCAGTTAAACAGAGGAAATGGGGCTGGGCTTGTTTTCCATCTGAGGCGTCTGGCAGCCCTGGAGCTGCAGAGAGCAGGAAATGGGGCTCCTGGAGGGGAAGCAGGCAGGCTGGAGGCTTCAAGAAGCAGGGCAGTCCTGACTGTGAGACTAGGGCCACCTTGAACTTGCACTCCTTGGCGCTGTCAATGTCATCTCTGCTTTCCAGGTGGGGTGGGGAGGACACGGCTGGAAGGGACAGGTGCATGGGACTATGGAGGATGCCCTTGGCAGTTCCTAGGACAACATGTGCCAGCCCTGGGAAGCTGGGGACCCCTCAGAATCCACCCAGGTACACACAGGAAGAAGAATCTGGGTAAGAAAATTATTCTGGGCTTTGTTGAGGCCCCAGAGGTTGGTGTTCTACTTTCTGTGGCCTGGATGAGCAAGTGGGAGCTGGGGAAAAGAAATGTACCAGGGCAACAAACACTCAACCCACGACCTGGACATCCTCTGCTGTCAAAACCCGCCCAGCCAGCCTCCTTGGCCTGACCTTCGCGGCTCCTTACGTTCTCTGGCTGTTCTTGCTTTTCCGCCTCTTTGTCCAGGCTTTCCCTGCAGAGATTTTCTCTCAGCTCATGCCATGCTAGTGCCTGCCTCATAGTAGGTGCTAAATGAACCTCCCCTCCTCCCCCTTTTCGCATTCCCTTCACATGTGGCCCTAACCCCTGCCATTCCCTTTGCCTATGTTGCACTCCTAGGTTGTCTTCCCTGAGTATTTGGCCAATCACATTCTCCATCCTTCAGACCCAGCCCAAGCAGCAAAAGTGGGAAGGTAGAAAGAGCCGCAGACATGGAGTCCATTGGTTCACACTCCAGCCCTTGCTGTGTGACTGTGGGCCAGTCATTACCCTCTCTGGGTTGGACCAGATGATTTCTAAGATCTGCTCTAGATCTGACAGTTCCATTTGAATCTTCTTTCCTGATTTCCAAGTTTTTGGTCATTCATTCCTTCATTCATTTGTACGACAAATATTTCATAAATATCTACCAAGTGTCAAACACTTCTCCTGAACTGGCATTCCACCCCACCTGCTGATCCCTTACCTATGATGCTCACTTTTGTTCCCAATGATATTCCTGTATCATCTGACTTTTTGTGCACTTAGTCTTGCTTCCTTACAAAATTCTTGAACCTTATGTTGCTCCTAGCTCAGTGCTGGGTACATGAGTTTGTGCTCAGTGACTTCCTATGGAAGTTGCCATGGGTTGAATACAGGTGTTCAGAAGGCTGGGCAGAGGGAGGGAGGGAGACTGGCTTCTTGTTTGCCTAAGTGGCCATGGTGAGACATGGAGAGTTTGGAGACAGAGCCTTGCTCTGTTGCCCTGGCTGGAGTGCAGTGGCATGATCTCAGCTCACTGCAACCTCCGCCTCTCAGGTTCAAGCGATTCTCCTGCCTCAGCCTCCTAAGTAGCTGGGATTACAAGTATGTCCCACCACACCTGGCAATTTTTGTATTTTTAGTAGAGACAGGGTTTCGCCATGTTGCCCAGGCTGGTCTCATACTCCTGGCCTCAAGTGATTGGCCCGCCCTGGCCTTCCAACATTCTGGGATTACAGGCGTGAGCCACCATGCCTGTCCTACAAGGATTTTGAAGTTTAAGTGCATGCCTCCCCATTAGCTATGCCTGTGATCTGGGCACCTGCTGAAGCCTTTGGGAGCAACCCAGAGCCTGGGATCACCTGCTGATCACTGGCCCCTGCTGAAGTGCTGGGCCTCTGCCCCCACAGAGGAGACAGATGTGTCTGAGCTGGGTTGCAGGTGCTGCTGGCTAGTGACAGATGGACATTTGACTAGGTTCCTTTTGGGTAGCTTCACGAAAGTCATGAGCAGGAGGAAACCTGGAGGAGGGGCTGGAGACCCTCTCCTGCTGAGGCAAGAGAGCTGCAGGCACAGCACTGGCGGCCCAGCAGCCAAAGGTGGTCCTTCAAACCACCATGTCTCTTGAAAGCTGTCCTTTGGCACCTCCCAATTTCCTGGATTGGAGGTGAGAGAGGAGCCTGCACAGCTCTCCCCTTAGTCTGGGTCAGCTGCATCTGCTCAAAAGTTTCCATCTGTCCCCACCCTGGACTACACCAAGCCCCCACGACACGGTCAGTGTGTCTCCTGCCTTCCAAGCCTCCCACTCACATCTGTAGGGTCATAAGCCCTGATTGCATAGCTACCTTTCAGCCCCCTTACTACCTATCCTATTACCACACCCAGAGATATGTACACTTTGTACAGAGCCAAAAGCAAGATCCTCAAGGATGAAAGTCTAGGCCTTTGCAAGCCTGACAGAGTAAAAAGGGCTTTGGAGAGAAACAGATCTCAGTCTGGATCCTGGCTCCACCAGTTACTGGCTCTGTGATCTCAACACATTGCTTAACTTCTGCCAACCTTAGCTCCTCATTTGTAAGCTGCGGCCCAGTGGCCTCCAAAGCACTGCCTACTCTGCAATCTCTGATTAGCCTTTTCCAGGCATCTATAGGCCGAGAGCCCTTGTCAGTCACACTGGAGCCCTGCAGAAGCCTAGAGTCCAGTCCCAGTTCCTTCCCCACCCTCTTTGTATGTCATTGAAGAGAGGTTTTCTCCAGTTGGTACTAACCCTTGTCCCTGGCACCCTGGACCTTGGAGGGGCCTTTCTGAAAACTCTGAAAGGCACCAACTGAGGCAAAAATGAGACTCCACTCCAGGCTTCCCCATGCTTGGCCCACAGGCCACCATCTCAGCAGGCCACCAAATAAGTTCTTCAAATGCCATTGATCAAACTGGCCTTCCCAGGTTCCCTCCAAAATGCCCAAGTGGCTGTGCCCCTTGGTGCGGGGACTGGGGGACATGGGCTGCTGGGGGCACGTCCCAAGCTCCTTGTGCCAAAATGAGGTCAGATAAGACCCTCTCCTGGGATCCCGATCCCTGCACGTTGGCCTCTGGGACAGTGTGGCACTGCCCTCTCTGGCCTTTGACTCACTGATCAGCAAGAACTGCAGGTCCCTGAGGGGAGGGAAGGAGTTCCGGGCTGGGCCTGGGCCCCGCCCTTTTCAAAGGAAAGAAAATTGATGGACCCCAGGCTTCCTCTGGCCGTGGTCCCCTCCCCCTGCTCAGCTCAGCTCTCTGCCCCTGGTTTTGCATTGTTAATTCAGGACAGAATGTGATCTCTGGCAGCTCCTTGCTTTATCCTGTTGCTATTTAAATTACAAATCGGCCCCATCTCCCTGTCACTCTTGGGTTATTTTTAGCTTCTGGTAAATAGCCGCAGGGAGAGTTGGATCAGGTGCCCCTCCCTTGAGGAGTCGTGGACCCGCAGCAGCGTGCCCACGGCAGGGGGCATCCTCATCTGCCAGTTGGTGCCCAGTCCCTGCCCCCAGCCCCTCTGCAGGGGTGGAGAAGGGGGAGGACCGTAGGCTGGGACATGCGCGCATGCTCAGCCTTGCTTTTAGTCTCTGTTAAACTTTACCACCCCTGGGTCCCACCACCATCTGTGGCTCGGGGCCAGCCTCCATCTCCACACCTTACAGGGCCTCTGGAACCCACGGAGGGGTCCAGCTACACAGGACAAAAGCTCTAACTTGTTTTACCCGTGCTCTGAGTCAGGAAGTTGACATCTGGTATCTTCTTGAATCTTCCCAGCCACATTCTTGATAAGGTATCATCGCTCGCATTTTCCGTGTGAGGAAACAGGGTCAGAAGTGAAAGCCTCTTACCCAACTAGGAAGGGGCAGGGCTGGAATTGGAGCCCAGGTCTCTCTGACCCAGAAGGATGCACGGGCATTGCATGACCTCTCTTGGTGGGATGCATGTGCCACGGAGCCCCCCGCCACCATGCTCAGGTTCATTCCGATGCCTCAGTTCTTGTTTCCCATGAGCTTGTCCTGTCCCATCTACTGGATCGGGGCCACATCCAGCCTGCTGCTTGTTTTTGTAGGGCCCAGGAGCTAAGAGTGCTTTTTTTTTTTTTTTTTTTTTTTTTTTTGAGATGGAGTTTTGCTCTGTTGCCCAGGCTGGAGTGCAGTGGCGCGATGTTGGCTTACTGCAACCTTTGCCTACCGGGTTCAAGCGATTCTCCTGCCTCAGCCTCCCGAGTATCTTGGGTAACAGGCACCCACCATCACGCCTGGCTAATTTTTGTATTTTTAGTAGAGGTGGGATTTAACCACGTTGGCCAGGCTGGCCTCGAACTCCTGAGCTAGGTGATCCACCTGCCTCAGCCTCCCAAAGTGCGGAGATTACAGGCGTGAGCCACCACGCCCGGCAAGAATGCTTTTTAAGTTTTTAAATGAGTGGGAAAAAGCAAAAGAATGGTATTGCGTTGCTGAAATTCTATGAAATGTTAAGTTCAGTGTCTATGAATAAAGTTTTAGCAGAACCCTGGCGCTTCTTCACTTACACGTTGTCTATGACTGCTTTTGCACCACAATGGCAGAGTCGAGTGCCCTGCAAAGCCTAAAGTATTTACTGTCTCACCCTGTATGGGGGTCACACTTTTGTTAAGGGAAGGGACTGTTTCCCATATTTCCATCTCAGGTAATGCTTGGCCCACACCCAGGACACCAGGTACAGGCACTGGTTCTTCCTAGAGGCCCTTCTGGGGCCAAAACAGAACTCAGCACAGGGAAGCCCTCCGCCAGCCACATCCCAGTGAGTCATCTCACATTGGACACCCCCTCCCTCCATTTTTTTTTTTGTTTGTTTGTTTCCTGCCCTGCCCTTTTCTCTTTTTCCTTCGGCTTCTTCACAGGCAAAACCAGTGGTTTCCAAACCTGCTCCACTGTCAAAATTACCTGGGAGAGGTTTTTAGCATGGAGGCGTCCAGGCCCAACCCTATACACCTGTAGCAAGACCTCTAGGGAGAGGGCTTTAGAATCCATTTTAAGGCTGGGCGCGGTGGCTTATGCCTGTAATCCCAGAACTTTGGGAGGCCGAGGTGGATGGATCACCTGAGGTCAGGAGTTTGAGAACAGCCTGGCCAACATGGCGAAACCCCGTCTCTACTAAAAATACAAAAATTAGCCCGGCGTGGTGGTGGGCGCCTGTAGTCCCAGCTACTTGGCAGGCTGAGGCAGGAGAATTGCTTGAACCCGGGAGGTGGCAGTTGCAGTGAACCAAGATCACGCCATTGCACTTCAGCCTGGGCGACAGAGTGAGACTCTGTCTCAAAAAAAAAAAAAAAAAAAAAAAAAAGAACCCATTTAAAAAGAGACCCCCAGGTGATCCAGTTTGGAAGCCACTGAGTTTAACTCTGGAATTGCAAATCCTGCATCTTTGAACTGATCTTTTTAGACCAAGCCCTGCATCCCTTGCCCCACTCTGGCTTTACCTAGCTGGAGCCTGCTCTCCCATGGTCTCTTGAGCCCAACCCTGATCATTTACGCTGAGAGTGACTTTTCCTTTCCCCCAGATGGAGATGCAAGATCTCAGGCACTACTGCCTTGCCCCCCACTTTTTTTAGAGACAGGATCTCACTCTATCTCCCAGCCTCGAGTGCAGTGGCGCAATTGTGGCTCACCGCAGCCTCGAATTCTTGTGCTTAAGCAATCCTCCCACCTCAACATTCTGAGTAGCTGGGACTACAGACGCATGCAACCACGCCCAGCTAATTTTAACAAAATCTGTAGAGGCCAGGAGCAGTGGGTCATGCTTGTGACCCCAGCACTTTGGGAGGCCAAGATGGGCGATCGCTTGAGCCCAGGAGTTCGAGACCAGCCTGGCAACACGGCGAAACCCCATCCCTACAAAAAATACCAAAAATTATCCAGGCATGGTAGTGTGTGCTGAGGAGGCTGAGGTGGGAGGATCACCTGAGTCAAGGCTGCAGTGAGCCATGATCATGATAGTGCACTCCAGCCTGGGTGACACACACAGTGAGACCCTATCTCAAAAACAAAAACAAAAAATTTTTTTGCTGTAGAGACAGGGTCTCACTGTGTCACTCAGGCTGGTCCCAAATCCCTGGGCTCAAGTGATCCTCCTGCCTTGGCCTCCAGAAATGCTGGGATTACAGGCATGAGTCACCATGCCTAGACCTGCCCTGCCCTTTTATGACTTATTGGAAACCAGGACCCATTTAAACCAAACAAGGACATACCCCATTGAAGTTCTTCCCTTGCCTTCTTTCCTGCCTTCTTGCCCTTCCCCCCTCCCCTGCCTTTCCAGGTGTCTGAGTTTCTGCTGGCACACACCCGCCATCTCTCCATCCACCTAAAGAAGCTGCCAGGGTTGCTTCCAGCCCATGCTGGCACTGGGAGGCGAAGGAAACCTATTTCTGAGAAAGCCCCACACCCCTCTAAGCTTCTAGTGTCCTGCCAAAGCCCCCGTCCTCACTTACGTCAGAAGCAGCCAGGCCTTCAGCCCGCTTCCGCTTCCACTCCTCGCCCTCAGATTTTTTTGCCCCCACATTTCTGTCTAAAAGCCTTTTCGCTCTGGAAAGGGCTTTCAACTGCTTTTCTTAGCAACTCCGCACAGCAGGGTAGGAGGTTTAGCTGCCAGCCAGAGCTGCACGGAACTGTGGCATGTGGAGGATGTGAAAAGGGCCACCATGGGCCTGAGCTCCTGCCAGCCCCCGGTCCCCCAGTCCCCCTGCCAGGAGGCCACAGGCCACCCAGGACAGCAGCCACAAGAGAGGGCTTAGTTGGAGAGCACAGTTTGTTCCCCTGGGGTCCCCTGGGCCTGGAAGAGCTGCTGGCTCTTTCCCAGGGCTTGTCTGTCTGTCCTCTACCAGGGGCTCTCCTTGCCTTGATGCCTTGTTCGGCTCTGAGACTGAGACTGGGTTCCTAGACTAACCCCAGGGAGTGAGGAGATGCCCTATCCTTCTCATCTGTCCAAGGGTGACAGCAGAGTCCACCCTGGTGTTGTTTTCTGCCGCCCTCACACAGGTAACCTGGAGGCAGGGGTTGGGGGGACCTCAGTGGGATTACCTGGCATCCTTGGTGATTACAGGCCCCAAGTTGTTTGGGCTGTGGAGGGGCCTCCCTTCTGGGGCCACCCAGGGGAATCCCAGCCCTTGCCGCTGTGTGCGTGTGTGTGTGTGTGTGTGTGTGTGTGCGTGCACGTGTGCAACATTTTCTATCTCAGCCCTTTAATTATTCAATTATTCTTTGCTCTCTGCCCTCTAAGTCTCCACTCCACTCTGGCCTCCATTTGTGATTTTTTTTTTTTTTTGATGGAGTCACCCTCTGTCGCCAGGCTAGAGTACAGTGGCGCCATCTCTGCTCACTGCAACCTCTGCCTCCCAGGTTCAAGTGATTCTCCTGTCTCAGGCTTCCGAGTAGCTGGGATTACAGGTGCCTGCCACCACACCTGGTTAATTTTTGTATATTTAGTAGAGACAGGGTTTCACCATGTTGGCCAGGCTGGTCTTGAACTTGTGACCTCAAGTGATCCTCCTGCCTCGGCCTCCCAAAGTGCTGGAATTACAGGTGTGAGTCACCGCGCCCAGCCTCCATTTGTGATTTGTCTCTGACCCACAGCTAAGGCAAAACTCGGGGTCATCCCCTTATGTTAAAAGTAAAGAACTGACGCCCAGGGAGAGATATTGTCCAGCTCAAGGACACACAAGTCTCTGGCAGAATTGAGAGTAGAAACCAGGTCTTCTGACTCCCAGGCTGACATTTATCCCAGGAGTCTCCATTCTTTGCTGCATCCCCTGTGAGTCCCTCTGCACTTCCTCCTGCCCCAGGGGGACATTCATACCTACAGCCAGAGGCATGGGATGGATGATGCACTCCCCTGGGCGTGGTGTTCTGGAAGAACTTGGTAATGGAGCCCGGTGTACCCACGATTTCTAGTATACCCTAGAAGGTGGAGGTAGGGCCCATGGGAACCTGGCCTGCTTCCCATTTGCTCTGAGCATCTTGCTTCTTGGAAAATCCCCTCCCCTTCTGTCCCTTCCTCCCCCAAGTGATGGAGCCCTGATGGCCCCAGAGCCATTAAGAATACTGAGGCCTTTCAAGCTCCCAGGGCTGGGCAAGTTTTATGAAACGTCTTCCCAGAAGCCACTGGGAGAACCAGGGCAGCCTCAGACATATCCCAAACACCCCATGGTTGTAAGTGGACAGGGAACTTGTCCTCTCCAACCAGGCCGATGGCTGTAAGGACCGCAGCTGCCCTAGTGGCCCTGCTAGACTCTCCAGGGGAGGTCACTCTGGGCCAAGGGCTTGAGAGGGACAGCAAGTCCAAGTTGAGGCTGTGGTTTGGGAGAGGAAGAGGAAGGTAAGGTGTGTACTGGGCTGTCCCAGCTCCAACCTCTGTGTAACTTTCCCACCCTTGTTCTGAAGGGCTGTCCTCCCTCATTAACGTCCTACCCCAGGTCACCAAAATGACCTCTGGGGCCCACTCCAGCTGGCTCCTCCAGGACCCTCTGGGCAGAGGTGGCAGGCCAAGAGACTCTGACACTGACAGAAGACAGTTGAATTAAGAAGATGTTGGGTGGGGGTGGGGAGGTTCCCTCTGCCCCTGGAGGTTGCCAGCCAGGGCCTGCTGGGGCATGGGGGTTCAGGAGGGAATTCTGTTCCCCATCTCTGGGCAGCAGGGTCTCCACAGTGGTGGCAGGGAGCCTCTCAGTCATTTCCACAAGCCTGTGCCTGGCACAGACTCAGCCCACGGGAAAGCTCAGGGTAGACCTGTTGAATGAAGAGGGGGTTCCTCTTTCCCCCAGAAGGGCCAGGGGGCATCTCCTGGCTCTCCCCAGCAGATAGAGGTTTGTAAGAACAATGTCATGGCTCTTTCCTCTCCTTAGCGCCTGGTACACTGTTCCCTCAGCCACTGCATATTGGATGAATACGGCTTTCACGGTTCAGGCAGAGAAGGAGTCTCAGAAGCTGCCTCCTTCCCGCTGTACACGAAAAGACAGAGATCCCTCGGCAGTCATCTCTAAACTCCCAGCGCCAGGCAGGCGGCGGGCGCACAATAAACGTTTGTGCAATGACGCCTGCAAGAGGGGTGGTCCCAAGCGCCGCGCTCCCCTCTGCCCACGTCCTCCTTACCTGTAAGACACCTGCTTTCGTAGGTGCAGCTGGCGGAAACGCTCCTCCACCGGGGGCCCAGCGGCCGTGCCCCGGGAACCCTCGGGCCAGGGCTGCGCGACCTGGGCCTCCTCCCCGCGCCGGCATCGCCGCCGCACCACCTCCTCCTCGGCTGCCCGGCCGCCGCCAGCCCAGTCCCAGCGCTGCCCTCCGCCGCCCTGCCCCTCGGCCATCGTGCGGCCGCCTTCCGCCCGCGGCTCCTGCGGCCTTTCGGGCACCCGCTCAAGTTCGAGTCTCCAGTCCGCCCGGGCCGGGGACGCGAGGCGGGGAGGGAGGGGAGCGCCGGGTTCCGCAGGTCCCTAGCGACGCCGACGCTTAGACGACAGGAGCAGCGAGATGCTGGGCGCTGCGCCTGGGAGAGGCGGGCCGGGGTCCTCCTGCGCTCCGGGGGGGCGGGGGCTCCTGGCTGGAGTCGGGGTGCTGCGCTCTGCGCGCCGCGGCGCCCCCCGGACGGCTGGAGCGGAGCCGGAGCCCGGGCGGAGAGCGAGCTCCTGCAACCGCCGCTGCTGCCGCGCACCCGAGTGTCACCTTAGAGACACTCTCCAGCCGGTGGGGTCCGGAGGGGAGGGCGCCGCTCCGCCCAGCCCGCCCGCTCAGGGCACGAAGGGAGCGAGCCCGGCCCAGCCCACCACGGGCACGAACCTAGCTCAGGGCGCAAGGCCCGGGGTGTGGGGCGCCTCCTGCGACCACCTCTGCGCCCCCGCCCGGGTCCTAGTCCAGGCAGCTCGGCAGCTGCCAATCATCACCCCGCCGCCTGTCACTCAGCTACTGCGATGTGTCCCCTCCACCCCCACGGCTGCCTGGTCCCTCGCTTTCGGGCTTCGGCATTCGCCGCTGCAGCTGGCAGGTTTGGAGCGGGGGCGTGCAGAGGCGGTGACATGAGCCAACATTAACCCCGTCGGCGCCGCTGGAATTTAGAGACCCACTGGGTTTGGGGAAGGGGCACAGGAGAGGGAACATACCCAGGGATACCTTGAATTTGGGGATGGACCCGATGGCGGGTAACACTACCTTCAGGCCTAGAGCTCTTCTGGATCGTGCCTAGAGAGGGCCCCAGATGGGGGTGGTGTCTCCTCAAGGCAGGGAGGCCTCCTAGGACCTGAATTACTGAGGCTTCAGGGCCAGGGTCTCTTAGATTTAATCGGCCTGCTGGGTCAGGAGAGGCTGATGAGATAGGGGAGAAGCCAACTCCAAAAGGAAAGACTGGAGTTCTCCTTGAGGTCCATCTTGGACTCCCCCTTCTTCTTTCCCTCCAAATCCCATGGTTCCTCCTTGGGTCACCTCCTCTTGTCCTTGCAGTGTTCCTCAGGTGAACCCTCCATCTGGATTACAGTGGGGCCCTGGTGAACTTCTCTGATGGAACACCTCCTCTTCACGGCCCCAGACTCATCTTTCTGGCCATAGCATCTACTCTTCTCCCGTGGTATTTCCTAGCTTCCTCATGCCTATACTTTAGCCTGCACTCAAGGCCTGCCTTGATCTTCCCCCATCCTGCAGCCCAGGCTCTTCCGTTTTCTCCCACTCATTTATGCTCCTTATTCTGGGAACTTGCATCAGGACTGTACAGTCCCCTCCATCTGATATCTCCTATTGTCCCCTCCATCTGATATCTCCTATTGATGTACTTCAAATTCTGAGGCTTTGCTTAAAAGCCTCCTCTTCCAGGAAGTCTCCTTGGATGGCTCCAGCTGAACAACACTCTCTTTCCTCCCAGACCCCATGGCCCTCTGCCTCAGATGTCTAATCTAGTCTGTGTCTTTCTTTTCACTGAAGTTGTGACTATGAGTGTGGGAAGGTGGGAGGGACCAGACTCACAGAGGTAGAGAATGGGCTACAAAGGGAGACAGCTGTGTCATAGCTGCCCTGCCCTGTGCCTTTGCTCAGACTGTTCCCATTGCCTGGAGTATGTCCCCTTCCCTGTCCTGCCTATGGAAGAGGTGTTAAGTGCCCTTCAAGGCCCATGTCAAGTGCCACCTCCCCCATGAACCCCTCCCCAATACTCCAGTACAGATACAGTCTCCCTCCTTCAGCCCCATAACGATTTCCTGGGCCTCCCCTTTACCCTTGAACAATAACTAACATCTCATTTGATCCTCGCCACAACCCTGGGTGGCAGATATTATCACTTCCTCCGTCTTATGGAGGAGGACACGGAGATATCATTCAAGTGATTTATTTGCTCAAGATGGCTCAGGCAGTGAGTGGTGGGGCCAGGATTTAAATTCAGGGCTTCTGGCCTCAGAACTCACGCCCTTTTCCACTTCATCATGCTGCCAGCCACAGAGTAGCAGCCTCCTGCAGTTTGCCCTCTTCGCTCTAATCTGGAAGCTTCCCAAAGGGCAGGGAATAGCTTGCTTCAGTTCCACCTCCCATCTCTGTCTCTGTCTAGTACTTCCCTGTCGGATGAGTGGAATTGCATTCAACTTCTTGGTCACAGGGGAGCTTCCTCCCGAGAGCCAAGTTCTAAAGAAGTCTTGCTGCTGGAGTGGGTAGGGTGGGGCACTTGTCCCCGACCCCCTACAAGGGGGTCAGCTGCCCTTGGGTTTGCTCTTTCAGGAGTCTTGGCTCCTATTTCCAAGCGGCCTGGGCCAGGGGAACCTCCTACACTGTGAATTATGGTAGTTCTGGCTGGGTTTGACATTCCCTCGCCAGCTGCCTAGCTGCTGGGTTTCCAGGTTGGTTTTTTGTTGAGCTCTTTCCTGCCGCGTTCTCCCCACTCAATCCTTTTTAAAGTGAGGCTTCTTTCCTCTGTCCTCACAGCTCCCCTCCCCCTTAGGACCAGCTGCTGACTGCATTATCGTTTAGCTGTGGTCTGTGCTTTTCACACAGAGGAAGGAGAAAATGAGACTCCCTCCCCAGACCAGCCCGACCACCTTCTGCAGCCTCTCCCAGCTGCAGCTCGCTCCTCTGAACATCTCCGTCTCCAGCCCATTCATTATCTCTGTGCTCAGAAAATAATTGCTAATGTCTTTTGAGAATTTACTGCATAACTGACCAGTGTGCTAAGAGCTTTATGTGCAAGCTTTCATTTACCCCTCCTAGCATCTTTAAGAGGGTGAGCACCATTTAACAGATAAGGATACTGTGGCTTCGAGAGATTAAGTGATTTGCCAACATCATACTTAGTGTAGCACAGGTATCAGAGCCCACAAAGTATCTCATGCTGCTTTGGAGCTGAGTTCCCAGCCTGCCTACGTCACTCCCTGGAAAGACCCCAGGGGTACCTGTTACTGACATCAGATATGTGCCCAGTTTGGCCAAATGGCTCCTGAGGTCATCCAACCTCTCCGAGATCAGAACTTTGCCTGGGATTGGGACCTTGCCTCTGCCCATACCAGCTCCAGGCATTGCCCACAGCTACTCTCCCTTTTTCCAGAGCTTTGGTTTAGGTATAACAAAGTGTTTGTTGTGGCAATTTGAGCAGGATGACTGCCACCGCAAAAGCCATCATATGTGCGTGGCAAAGCAGGCTGCCAAGGGCTGACAATAGAGCGTGGGGACTGCAGCTCCATTGCTGGGGACACACTGGGGTTGGGCCCCCTTGGGACGATGACACATGGCACTGAGGAGGTGGCATGTTAACAGGTGGCTTATTCATGGGGACTAACCTCGCCTCGCTTCTCAACACAGGCCGGTAAGATGGCTTTGGATGAATGGGCAGAGGGTAGTGATCACAGATGACCGCATTTTGACCAGCTCAGCAACCATGGGCTCGCTGGCTTAGTTACTTCAGGAAGCTCCAATGTTCTTAGATCTTGTGCAGTAATATGAAGCTGGCGGAGGCAGGGAGGCCTAGAGGACATGGGAAGTGGGACTGGGGAGAGGGGTTGAGGGGCAGCATGAACTCTGAAGCCAAACAAACCTATGTTCAGATGCCAGCCTTGACATTTTCCAGCTGCATGAACTTCACCAAGTCAGTCACCTCTCTGAACCTCACTTTCTTCATCTGTAAAAATATCCACCCCTGAAGATCACTTAAATTCCTAATTGGGATATTCAGATCCTCAGTCCAATGCCTGGCACAGGGTAACTGGTCAAAAATGGGAGATGCAGCCCTGGTGCGGTGGCTCACACCTGTAATCCCAGCACTTTGGGAGGCCGAGGTAGGCAGATCACTTGAGGTCGGGAGTTTCAAACCAGCCTGGCCAACACGGTGAAACCCCGTCTCTACTAAAAAATCCAAAAAAAAAAAAAAAAATTAACTGGGCTTGATGGCAGGCACGTGTAATCCCAGCTACCTGGGAGGCTGAGGCAGGAGAATTGTTTGAACCTGGAAGACCAAGATCGTGGTGAGCCGAGATTGCACCACTGCACTCCAGCCTGGGTGACAGAGCAAGACTCTGTCTCAAAAAAAAAAAAAAAAAAGGGAGATGGAATATTTTCAGTTCGTTCTTTCTTTCTTTCTTTCTTTCTTTCTTTCTTTCTTTCTTTTTTTTCTTTTTTTTTTTTGAGTTGGAGTTTCACTCTTGTTGCCCAGGCTGGAGTGTAGTGGTGCGATCTTGGCTCACTGCAACCTCTGACTCCCAGGTTCAAGCAGTTCTCCTGCCTCAGCCTCCCAAGTAGCTGGGATTACAGGCGCCCGCCACCATGCCCAGCTAATTTTTATATTTTTAGTAGAGATGGGGTTTCACCATGTTTGCCAGGCTGATCTCAAACTCCGGACCTCAGGTGATCCACCTGCCTCAGCCTCCCAAAGCCCTGAGATTACAGGCATGAGCTACTGCACCTGGCTGTCAGTTCTTTTTTTTTTTAATTTTTTCTTTTGTTTTTTTCTTTCTTTCTTTCTTTTTTTTTGAGACAAAGTCTTCCTATGTCTCCCAGGTTGGAGTGCAGTGGTGCGATATCGGCTCACTGCAACCTCCATCTCCGAGGTTCAAGCGATTCTCCTGCCTTAGCCTCCCAAGTAGCTGGCATTACAGTAACATGCCACCACTCCCGGCTAATTTTTGTGTTTTGTTTTTGAGACAGAGTCTCGCTCTGTTACCAGGCTGGAGTACAGGCATGATCTTGGCTCTCTGCAACCTCTGCCTCCCAGGTTCAAGCGATTCTCCTGCCTCAGCCTCCTAAGTAGCTGGGACTACAGGTGCGCGCCACCACACCCAGCTAATTTTTGTATTTTTAGTAGAAACAGGGTTTCACCATGTTGGCCAGGATGGTCTCAATCTCTTGACCTCATGATCCGCCTGCCTTGGCCTCCCAAAGTGCTGGGATTACAGGCGTGAGTCACCGTGCCCAGCCAATTTTTGCATTTTTAGTAGAGATGGGGTTTCACCATGTTGGCCAGCTGGCCTCGAACTCCTGACCTCAGGTGATCTGCCTGACTTGGCCTTCCGAAGTGCTGGGATTACAGGCGTGAACCACCGTGCCCGGCCTAGATTTCCAGCCCTTTCCTTTAGGAGCTGTGTTTTGTTTGAGCTCCATTCTTGGCATGGTGCCCTGCCCATAAGGGACACCCGTGAATACTTGCTAAATGAATAAATGAATGATGAGAGGTCACACTAAATGTCAGCTTTGTCTTTCCTTCTTCTGAGTGACTATTTCAAACTGTCCCTTTTCTCCCCCTTCCACGCCCATGCCAACCCTCCACACTGCCCCTCTCCCACACCTCAGTTATTGGAGTACTCCTTCAGTTTCCTGTCTCCTCACATTCTGCACCCACAGAATGCTCTCCCTTTTTGTCTAGTCCTCTCTGTCCAAAGGTGGACCTATCCACCTGCCCCTGGATCCCATTCCCACCCCCCGCATCTACCATCCTCTCTGTGGCCCTCTGGGTTTTCCCTCTGTTGGCTCTGTGTTCTAGAAATAACCATGGTCAATGATCTCCCATCTGAAAAACTGCTCCAAACCATATTTTTTATTTTATTTTATTTTTTGAGACAGAGTCTCGCTCTGTTGCCCAGGCTGGAGTGCAGTGGCGTGATCTTGGCTCACTTCAACCTCTACCTTCCGGGTTCAAGCGATTCTCCTGCCTCAGCTTCCTGAGTAGTTGGAATTACAGGCATGCGCCACCAAGCCTGGCTAATTTTTTTTTTTTTTTTTTGTATTTTTAGTAGAGAGAGGGTTTCACTATGTTGGTCAGGCTGGTCTTGAACTCCTGACCTCATGATCCGCCCACCTCAGCCTCCCAAAGTGCTGGGATTACTGGCATGCGCCACCACGCCTGGCCCAAACCACATTTTTAAAAAAGTTCTTTTTTAGAGACTGGGTCTTGCTCTATTGCCCAGCCTGGAGTGCAGTGGTGCAATCACAGCTTGCCGCAGCCTCAGCCTCCTGGGCTCACGTGAGCTTCCTGCTTCAGCCTCCACTCCAGGAGCGAGGACACCCCTGACCATCGCCCCGGGAAGTGCTCTCCTGGTCAGTTTCTGGGCACTCATCTCTCCTGGTTTTCTTTCCTCTCCGACCATCCCTTCTCTGCCCTCTGGTTCACTCCTCTTCCCTCCACTCTTAATGTCTTCTTCCCTGGAGTCCTGCCCTTATCTCACATCCCTTTATGCAGACCCAAGGCTTTCACCTACCACCTGGGCGCTGACAATTTCCTCATCTCTGGCTGGGATCTTTTTCTCCCAAGCCCTATAATTACATGTTAATGTGAATGTTCTACAGGCAACTCAAATGCCAGATGTGCTAAAATGAGTTCTAATCTTTCTCTCCAAACCTGCTCTTCCTCCTGAATCCCTGTCATGGTCAACAGCCTCATCACCCACTCAGGACCTCCAAGTGGGTCATTTCAGGCCCCACCCTTCCTCCAGACCTCACGGCCAATTTGATGTCAGAGCTTGTTGATGATTCCTTCTAATTCTGTCTGGAATCATCTCATCTTCTCCATTCTGCAGAGACTCAGGGCAGGGACGTCTGATTCTTTCACTCTCTGGCTTGAAAGGATGCGGTGGCTCCCACCCCTTCAGGATAAGGTGTTCTTTCTTTAGATCTCTGGAAGGGCCATGGTTTTCCTCAGGGCCAGGATGAGGGTAAACAAGCTGGCACCTAAGGTGTGACGTTTAAGGAGCTTGCCTGCCTGCCTGCCTGCCTGCCTGCCTGCCTTCCTCCCTCCCTCCCTCCCTCCCTCCCTCCCTCCCTTCCTCCCTTCCTTCCTTTCCCTTTCTTTCCCTTTCTTTTCTTTTCTTTCTTGACGGAGTCTCTCTCTGTCACCCAGGCTGGAGTGCAGTGGTCCGATCTCAGCTCACTGCAACCTCTACCTCCTGGGTTCAAGTGATTCTCCTGCCTCAGCCTCCTGAGTAGCTGAGATTACAGGTGTGTGCCACCACGCTTGGCTAGTTTTTTTGTATTTTTAGTAGACATGGGGATTCACCATGTTGGCCAGGCTGGTCTCGAACTCCTGACCTCAAGTGATCCGCCCGCCTTGGCCTCCCAAAGTGGTGGGATTACAGGTGTGAGCCACTATGCTCGGCCAGGAGGTGCCCTTTCTCAGGTCTGTCCAGGTGCCTCCTTGTATTCTGCACCCTGGTTTCCAGATATAACAAAGGGTTTGTTGTGGCAATCCGAGCAGGATGACTGGTGCGGCAGAAGCCATCACATGTGTGTATCAAAGCCCGCTTGCACCACCCTAGTCTTGCTTTTCATGGCTCCATGCCTTTGCATTTGCCATTCTCTCCACTCCAAATGCTCTTACCCCTTCTCTGTCTTACCAACTCCTCCCATCCTTGAAGCCTCGGTTCAAGGGTCACCCTCCTCCCGGCTGCCTTCCCTCACCTCCCCCTCCATCTGAATTACATGATACTCTGTGTCCCTTAATATCCTGTACACCCCTCCATCACAACATCCCCATGGCTGGTTTATTCCCCAACTTCCACCACCGGCCTGGGGCCTTTGAGGTAATGATGGTACATGCCTGCAGTCCCAGCTACTCAGGAAGCTAAGGTGGGAGGATGGCTTCAGACTGGGAAGTGGAGGTTGGAATGAGCCGTAATCATGCCACAGCATTCCAGCCTGGGCGACAGAGTGAGATCCTGTCTCAAAAAAAAAAAAAGTTATCATTAATAATAATAACATTGAGTCCAGGTGCAGTAGTTCGCACCTGTAATCCCAGCACTTTGGGAGGCCGAGGCAGGTGGACCACTTGAGGCCAGGAGTTTGAGACCAGCCTGGCCAACATGGTGAAACCCCATCTCTAATAAAAATACAAAAATTAGCCAGATGTGGTGGTGCACACCTGTAATCCCAGCTACTCTGGAGGCTGAGGCAGGAGAATCGCTGAATATGGGAGGTGGAGGCTGCAATGAGCCATGATTGCACCACTGCACTCTAGCCTGGGCACCAGAGTGAGACTCTGTCTCAAAATAATAATAATAACAGCGTGGGATCCAGAGCCCAGGCTTTAATGGCCTTGCTCTAAAGGCCTACGCTTTCCAGCAGTTAAAACTGATGCCCAGCAGCAGGCAGTGAGGTCTCTGTCACTGTCACTGGAGGTGGTCAAGCCGAAGCTTTGAGGGGAAGGGGCGTGGAGGCCAGTTCTGAGTTTTCATGATTCTGCCTGGCCTCGTCCCACTTTTCTTCTGGTGGGTGGCTGGTGGTAGTGTAGGCACCATCCCACCACCGTGCCCTTGCTTCTGTGTATGAAAGTATCGTGCCTGAGTGATAAAGTCCAAATGCCTTAGCAAGGCATTCGTGACCCCTCTGGATCCGGCCCTGGCTCATCAGTCAGGCTTAATTCTTAGCGTCTCTGGCCTCTACCTTCTGGCTATTGTAAATTATTTGACTTTTCTTTTCTTTTCTTTCAATAGGGACAGGGTCTTGCTATGTTGCCCAGGCTGGTCTCCAACTCCTGGGCTCAAGTGATGTTCCCACCTCGGCCTCCCAAAGTGCTGGGATTACAGGTGCAAGCCACCTCGCCTGGCCTGTTTGACTTTTCTGAAACGTTTCCTGTTCTGTCTCACCTTGAAGTCTTTTGCCCAGGCTGCTGCTTTTTCCTGGCATGCCCCTTTTCCTCTTTTCTGCCTTTTATTAGTATTTTTAGAGTGGGGGGGTTTTGCTCTGTCACCCAAGCTGAAGTGCAGTAGCACGATCATAGCTCACTGCAGCCTTGAACTCCTGGGTTCAAGTGATCCTCCTGCCCCAGCCTCCTGAGTAGCTAGGACAACAGGCATGGGCCATTATTATCATGATTAAAAAAAAAAATTGTGGCCGGGCGTGGTGGCTCACGCCTGTAATCCCAGCACTTTGGGAGGTGGAAATGGGTGGCTCACAAGGTCAAGAGTTGGAGATCATCCTGGCCAACACGGTGAAACCCCGTTTCTACTAAAAATACAAAAATTAGCTGGGCGTGGTGGCGTGTGCCTGTAGTCCCAGCTACTCGGGAGGCTGAGGCAGGAGAATTGCTTGAACCCAGAAGACGGTGGGGGGTTGCAGTGAGCTGAGATCCTGCCACTGCTCTCCAGCCTGGGCAATAGAGCAAGACTCTATCTCAAAAAAAAAAAAAAATTTGCGTAGGGACCAGGGTCTCACTATGTTTTGCCCAGGCTGGCCTTTAACTCCTGGGCTCAAGCAATCCTCTCGCCTTAGCCTCCCAAAGCGCTGGGATTACAGGCATGAGCCACCATGTCTGGCCATTTCCTGCCAATGTCTAACAATCTTTCCTGTCCCCTCCTCCAGAAAGGCTTGGTGCTCAGGTCTGGGTGAGGTCTGTGTGCCTTCCTAGCCCCGCTTGTGAGGCCCTCTGTAGCACATGGTATCAATATTGGCTTTTTTCTTTTCTTTCTTTTCTTTCTTTCTTTCTTTTTTTTTTTTTTCAGACAGAGTCTTCTGTGTCACCCAGGCTGGAGTGCAGTGGCGCAATCTTGGCTTACTGCAACCTCCACCTCCTGGGTTCAAGCAATTTTCCCTGCCTCAGGAGTAGCTGGGATTACAGGCATCTGACACCACGCCCGGCTAATTTCTATATTTTAGTGGAGACAGGGTTTTGCCATGTTGGCCAGGCTGGAACTCATAACCTCAGATGATCCACCCACCTCGGCCTCCCAGGGTGCTTGGGATTACAGGCGTGAGCCACTGCACCCGGTCCCGACATTGCCTCTTAATGCACAGCTGGTGCTTCTTGGAGCTCACTAGTTCTGGGCCCTGTTCTGAGCACTTTAGATGACTTACCTCCTTGAGTCCCCAATACAGCCTTGTTTTACAAATGAAGAAATGGGGGCTCAGAGAGATTCCGGTTACAGAGTGTCTTACTTATGTCCTATGTTGCCTAGCAAATCACTACCACCTGGCAGCTTCAGACAACACACATTCCCTATCTCTGTGTCCATGGCTCACAGTCTGGGTATGGCTTAACAGGGTCCTTCCCTCTGGGTGTCACCAGGCTGCAGCCAGGTATTGTCTAGGCTATGTTTGCATCTGGAGCTTGGGGTCATCTTCCGAGCGTGTTCAGGTTGTTGGCAGAATTTGGTCCTTGCTGCTATGGCACTGGGATCCTCGGCTCCTAGAAACCGCCCCTCCCCTCACAGCATGGCTTTCTGCCCCATGGCCAGCAGGAGGTGCTCTCTCTATTTAGGAAGGCCCAGTCCCTTCCTTCGTGGCTTTCACCTGATTAAGCCAGGCCCACCCAGGATCATCTACCTTTTATTATTTATTTATTTTTTTGAGACAGAGTTTTGCTCTGTCACCCAGGTTGGAGTGCAGTGGCATGATCTCGGCTCACTGCAACCTCCACCTCCCAGGTTCAAGCAATTCTCCTACCTCAGCCTCCCGAGTAGCTGGGATTTTAGGTGTGCACTACAATGCCCACCTAATTTTTGTATTTCTACAAAGAGATGGGGTTTCACCATATTGGCCAGGCTGGTCTGGAACTCCTGACCTCAAGTGATCTGCCCACTTCGGCCTCCCAAAATTCTGGGATTACGGGCATGAGCCACTGCGTGCCCGGCCTCATCTCCCTTTTTAATGAACTCAAAATCATCCGATTTGGGATCTTAATTACATCTGCAAAATCTCTTAACTGTTTCCAGAAAAGATCATCTAATTATGAGCGTGATGGTCTCTCATCTTCGCAGGTCCCCTCCATGTTCTAGGGGAAGGATTCAACAGGGTGTGTACACCAGTGGATGGGAATCTTAGAGGCTATATTAGAATTCTACCTGCCACACACAGCTAGCAAGTGGCAGCTCCAATACTCAAATGCAGCTCTTCTGACTTAGAAGTCTATGCCTTCAATCCAGCTGAGGCAAAGGATACAAGAACTAAGAAACTGGCAGGTCTTAGGAGGACCAAACTGGGTATAGTATGTGAAGTGTCTAGCACAGTGCCTGGACCACAGTGGAGGCTCCATTCTTGCAGTGGCCATCCCCAAAGGCCAAGATGGTGGCTTTGATACTCTGTCTTGATCCTTGGAGCAGCCCTGAGGTGAGTGAATTGCAGCAGATTCTTTGGCTGTTTGGTTTGAATTCTGCACCTGGCTAGAAGAGAAAGCCCAATAGAAATGCCTTCTTGGCCAGGTGCAGTGGCTGACGCCTGTAATCCCAGCACTTTGGGAGGCTGAGGTGGAAGATTGCTTAAGCCCAGGATTTTGAAACCACAGTGAGTTATGATTGCACCACTGGACTCCAACTTGGGCAATAGAGCGAGATCTTGTCATTCATTCATGTACACATACATACATACATGGGGTTCTCCTTAAATAGGCAGATAAAAAACATTTATCTAAACTATCTTCCTAATCCTCAAATAAAAGCATACACATATAAAAGCTATAAATAAAGCCCAAAGACAGAAGAGGAAATAACAAATCAGTCAACAAAATATTGGAAAATAAAAAGTGAACAGGCTGGGCATGGTGGCTCACGCCTGTAATCCCAGCACTGTGGGAGGCCATGGTGGGCAGACTGAGCCCAGGAGTCTGAGACCAGCCTGGGCAACATAGCGAGACCCTACCTCTACAAAAAAAAAAAAATGCCTTCTCATACTCCTATACCCCCACACCCCCTGCCAGAACATAAAATCAACCTACCCTTGTTGTTCCCCTGCCCTTTGGTTCTACTTTCCCTCCCCTCCAATGAAGAAAGGCACAAAGTCAGGAGTTGATGCTGCATCTTTTTTTTTTTTTTTTTGGTTTTGCTTTCTTAAAGCATGTGCTGAGCTGATGAAGAGAGCAGTTTGGCAATTAAAAAGGCCCAGCGGCTTGGGCAGCAGCAGGGGGGTGCCAGGTGAGGGTCAGGTAGTCCCTCTTTCCTGGGCCAGGGAGCAGCAAAGCCCGCACTAACTTCATAAAATATAAAACAAGGGAGGGGCGAAGGGAAGAGGGAGATTTGTAAAATACAATATCTTAGGGGATTGGCAATAATAAAAAATAAGGTTCATTATTTACAAACAATTTCTGTTCTTGGTCTCTGTACAGTGGGGGTGGGGTAAGGGGTGTCTGTGAGTGGGGTGCGTTGATGTGTCTGTTTGGGTGCAGGTGTGGGGGCAGGGAGGCAGTGGTCGTGTTGGGCATATGAGAGAGGAGGTGGGGTACCCAGTGAGTGGTTTGTCTGAGAAGGACGGATGGATGTTGGTGGGAAGGAGAATGAGAACAGAGTGGTCGGCCCAAGGGAAGAGTCCAAATGTCAGGGGCAAGGAAGGGCTGGGAAGTGGAGCCTTTTCTCCTGGAATGGGAAGCTCCAGGAGGCAGGGGCACGAGGCGGATCCGGGTTAGTGAGCAAGAACTCCTCTTCTGGGTACCAGGGGTCCGTCCTATGTCCTGGGTCTTGGCATGGCCTAGGAGAGTTTGATGGTGGTGTTGGGGCCCAGATCCCTGGAGAGAGAAGAGAGGCCAGCGATGACTGTCCAGCAGGAACCCTCTTACCCTCTGCAAGCTGGATCTAGACCAAGTAGGGATGGGGCCTTGGGAGGGTGTGGCCAATGTGGGGACCAAGGGTGGGCAGGAGGCAGGTGGAGCCTGAGACCTCAGGAGGGAAAGGGGCCACACACCCCACCTGTCGTGGAACCACTCCTTGGAGTGGGAGAAGTCGGGGCTGGTGCCGTTTCCACCGTCTTTAGGCCAGGCCTCACTCAGGTACTTGGTGGTCTCGTGGGTGCTGTCCAGGTGATCATGCTGCAGGTGGTCCCGGGGCCGCTGCTCTGCCGGCCCCCCGGGGTTGATTTCCCAGCCATCTGGGGGCTCCATGGGCAGCAGGGTGCTGCGGCCATCTTCCCATAAGCCTGCCCCGTCATCGTAGAATAGGAGGCTTCGGGAGGGCACTGGAGAGGGAGTGTAGGATGAGCGGTGTGCCCAAGATTCCCTCAACATCCTGGCCACATTCATGGCCTAGTGGTTAAGGACGCAGGCCCTGGATCTGAGTCCCAGCTCTGACACTTCCCGGATGTGTGACCTCAGGTAAGCCACACACTTTGCTTTAAACTTTCTGAGCCTCAGTGTGCTCTTCTGTAAAATAGGGATACTAGGACCAACCTCATGTAAATGAGAGGTTTAAATGAGGTAATACAGGGGAAGTGATTGAAACTGTGTTCAGGAAATACTCAGAAAAGTCACCTCTTCCTAGCAGAGGGTACTGAGTTTGGGCATCTGGGAGCTGTGTTCTAACCTCCACCACTTACTTGCTCTATCTCCCTTTTTTTTTTTTTTGAGACAGAGTCTTGCTCTGTCGCCCAGGCTGGAGTGCAATGGCAGGATCTTGACTCCCTGCAATCTCCGCCTCCCGAGCTCAAGCGACTCTCCTGCCTCAGCCTCCCGAGTAGCTGGGACTACAGGTGTGTGCCACCATACCTGGCTACTTTTTGTATTTTTAGTAGAGACGGGGTTTCACCATGTTGGCCAGGCTGATCTTGAACTCCTGGGCCTCAAGTGATCCTCCCACCTTGGCCTCCCAAAGTGCTGAGATTACCGGAGTGAGTTACCGCACCCGGCCAGTCCACCACTTACTTTCTGTGAGACCTGGAATAAGTCTCTTCCCCATTCTAGATCCTAATTTGCCCTTCAGAGAAGGAAAACAAACATTTGTTGGACACCCATCATTTGTTAGGCATTATCCAAGGCCCATAGACCTAAGTAGAGTGGTTAAAATCTTAGAGAAACTCTAGGGAATGAGGTTTCTTTAGCCCCGCTTCCCAGAGGAGGCAGCTGAAGTTCCAGGCACTCAGGGAAATTGTCCTCCCTGAAGGGAGGATGCGAACCCAGGTCTGCCTGGCCCTGGGATCTGCTGCCCCTCCGGCTCTGCAGCCATGACCTCATAGTCTGTGTGAACAGAGGTCCCTGGAACTGCGCAGTGCGCCAGCTCTGCAAACCAGCCTGCTCCAAAGCCATCTGCCTGCTGGGATGTGTCTTCCTCTCCACCCAGCCCAGGTCCTGGGCCTAAAACCCACTGCCTTCCCTCCAAGGGGCTCATTCATTGCCTCCTCTCACTGTGGCTTTATCCATCAACCCCAGCTCTCTTTCCACTCCTTTTTCTCCAGTGGCTTCTGTGGCCTTGGAAAAGCAGACACATGGCTCTCCAGACCTTGCATTGCTGCTGCCCACCCGCCTTTAGTGACCACCCCGTTCTCTCCTCCTCAGCCTGCACGTGTCCGGGGAGGAGCTTTCACTCTCCCTGTCTCTACTTCCTCTTTCCCTAACCCTCCCCACACCAGCTTCCTCCCCTCAAGGCCCTCAACGTCTAGCTCATCCTCCCTGCTATATCCCTCCTTCTTGAAACTCACTCCTTAATCTTCCCTCCTCTGACCTCCCATCTGTTTCCTCTTCCTCCTCCTGTCCTGCCAGACACGTGGTTCTTGGTAAGTGACTGACTGGTAAGTGATGAGGGACAGCCAGGAAGTTCCTCTGTGGGTCCACCTGAAGGATTCTCTGCGTCTGAAATCCACACTCTTCTTTGCTGGGCCCTACCCTGGTTCTCCCTTTGCCAGCTACTGTGATGTAGCTATTCTCTCCTCCGTGAGCTCTAAGAGACTGAGTGTGCTCATTTCATAAGCACAGACACTGTGCTATTTCATGCACTGTCTCACAGCCATGGCTCAGTAAGTGCAAAATTGCCACTCCCATTTTCTAGATGAAGAAATGAAAGCTTAAGACACATGCCCCTGGTCACACAGCAGGTGGCAGTGCCAGTTACGATGGACTTGACATCCCCATGCTCCTAACCACTGTACGTTTACTATCCCCCTTGGAAACAGTAGATATCTGAACCCACACCACCGCTACCCTTCTTCTGTCCATGGTAGACATTATCAGTGGATCATGACACTCCTTCCTGTCAATTCTGAATGGTGCCTCAGGATCCTTCTTTTTTTTTTGAGATGGAGTCTCACTCTGTCACCCAGGCTGGACTGCAGTGGCGTGATCTTGGTTCACTGCAACTTCTGCCTCCCAGTTTCAAGTGATTCTCCTGTCTCACCCCTCTCAAGTAGCCGGGACTACAGGCACATGCCACCATGCCCAGATAAGTTTTGTATTTTTAGTAGAGACGAGGTTTCACCATGCTGGCCAGGCTGGCGTCGAACTCCTGACCTCAGGTGATCCACCGCCTCGGCCTCCCAAAGTGCTGGGATTACAGGCATGAGCCACCGCGCCCGGCCCAGGGTCCTTCTTAACTCAGTGTTTCAGGCAGCTACCACCACCTTATTGGAAATGGCTTTTGAGCTGAAACTCACTTGCTGTCCCTATCATGAGATACTGATGGTGCCTAGCAGATGCCCCATAAGCACTGGCACCATAATGCATGGGGCCCAGGGCTGGAACATTCCTGTTATCCCCTAAACCCACCTCCTGCAAGCCACTCCTGAGCTCTCTGGGAGCTAGGCTGGGCATCGGGAGCTCTGTATTTTAGTCCCAATTCTACCACAAACACTGAGCAAAGCATAGACTCTCTTTGGGCCTCGGTTTCCCCATCTGGAAAATGAGGCAAAATGAGATAATGCTGACCCCACACTTGGCTTCTCTCTTATGTCTGGCTTCTGCCTGGACACTGGGGCTGGGGCAGGGCAGCCTCAGCCCAGGGAGCTGGCATGACAGGCGGGCACTCACTCTGGCTGGCCGTGTAGACGCCGTCTGCGGCCAGGGGGTCTTCCTTCACAGTCTGGGAGCCGGAGGAGAACTCGGGAAGGCAGGGCACGAGGGAGCCCAGCACCAGAACAAAGCACAAGGCTGCCACCTGGTAGCAAAGAGAGAGTGGCATCAGATCTGGGGTAAGGAGGGGCCACGGCCCTGACCACCCCACTCCTCCTCTCCCAAACCAACAGGCACAAAAGTCTTAGCGTTTTCCCAAGGAAGCAGCTGCTCCAGTCGACCACTCCCTCCTACATGTGGGGTCTCCTATCCTCTCTGGGGAAGGCAGGGACAGCCCAGGCCATCCCAGCCCATTGTAGGGGGGTCGCCACAGGCAGTGCTAGAAGTAAGAGGGAAGTGGCCAATGTGGAGTCCCCTTACGGGGTAGAGGAATCAGGAAAGGAAGGAATAGGTGCAGGTGGGGCTTGGGGCTGGGACGAGGGAGGGGGACACACCGCCACATCACGTTCTCAGCAGGATTCTGAGGAGCCTGGCTAGCGGGAGGTGCTGAGAGCCACGGAGCCCACACTACCCCTGCCCATAGCCTGGTTCTGCTGCCTGACAGCTCGAGGGTCTCGGAGGGCCGGGGCATGCTGAGCCAGGCGGCAAGAGACTGGCCATTTCCAGAAGAAGATAGAAGAGGGACTGGAAGAGGTCTGAAACACGCCCTGGGAGCCTTCCGGGTTTCCAGGGGTTTCCTCAGCCTTTTCACTGCCATCTGTTCCAGAAAGAACCATGTCCGTTCTTCCCTGAGTCTCCCCAAGCCCTTCCCTGCACAAGGCCTGTGGAAGCCGCCTCCTCAAGGAACCTGCCCAGCTGTCCCCTAGCTGGGGCCACTGGAGTCACCTACACATCTACACTGTGTTAACCAGTCGGGGACCGGTGTGAGGCAGAAGGCACCATGGGCTTGGAGAAGGAGTCTGGAGTCTGCTAGAACCAGCCCACCAGGCGCCAGGATGGTGTACCCTGGGACGCTGCCCACGATGTTACCGATCCTTAAAGCTCTGCCCAACCCTGGAAAAAGCCAGCCTTGGGAAGAACTCTCCTCCTGTGGGTCTGTGGTGGAGGGAGCCACACCTACCATGAGGCAGGTCCCAGTCTGGGTGGCGGCCATCTTGTAAGGTCTGGAGATCTTGTTGGTGACCAGAGTCTGGAGTTTCTGCAGCTGCTGGAGCAGGGTCCTGAGGAGGGCACAGCAGTCAGCTGGCAGGCTTTGACCCCGCAGGCATCTCTGCCTCCTGGAGCTCTCCTAGGGGGCTGGCTCCAGACTTGGCCTCCACGCCAGGTGCCCGTTTCAGTCAAGATAGGAAAGGTCACCTCCTGCGTGGCTCCTCTGCAGAGTGGCCTGGCGCCTGGGGCCTGCCTCATGGTGACTGGCTGGGTCACCTTGTGGAAGCTCAGGCCTGCCCTGTGATGCTCCTGGCCAAGGGGGTTGGAGGAGGGAAGGCCTGCCCCCAGCTGCACAGATGCCAGCCTTCTTTTGCTTAACCGACACCTGCCACAGTTTCACTGACCTTCCCTCCCTGGCACCCCCAGCACCCTGAGCTGATAAGAAGGAGCTGTTTGGCACAGTGCCTGGTATGTAGTGAGTGTCTAGTAAATGGTAGCTATTGTTTTTGTTAGGTTTTTTGTTTTGTTTTGTTTTGAGACAGAGTCTCGCTCTTTCACCCAGGCTGGAGTGCAGTGGTGCGTTTGCGACTCACTGCAACCTCCGCCTCCGAGGTTCAAGTGATTCTCCTGCCTTAGCCTCCTGACTAGCTGAGACTACAGGCGTGCGCCACCATGCCGGCTAATTTTTGTATTTTTAGTAGAGACGGGGTTTTGCCAGGCTTGTCTGGAACTCCTGACCTCAGGTGATCCACCCGCTTCGGCCTCCCAAAGTGTTGGGATTACAGGCATGGGCCACCGTGCCCAGCCATTTTTGCTTTATTGCTGTGTTTGCTTTTATCACGGCACTTCGTTTATTTATATATCTCCACATCAGTCTCCTTTATTAACTGTGGCCTCCCTGAGGGTGAGGACCGGGTCCCACTCAGCGTGGAATCTTCTGGGTGCATACAGAATGCGTTCAGCACAGGCTTGGTGGGCAAATGTTTAATCTCTCTCCACCCAAACGGGCACGTAGGGGTTGCAGTTCCCACAATGTACAGCAGGTGGCGAAATAACTACAAGGGCTTGGACCTACTTTGGGCCAGAAAGGAACCCCAGCCAGAGACAGAGGGGTGGGGTGGGGGGTCAGGTGGGATTCTCCAGGCCAATCAGGGAACAGAGGAGTGGCTGGATCCCGCTGGAGAAGCTGGGGGAGAAGGAAGGAAAGAAGGAAAAAGTCTTGTGTTGAGCACCTGCTGCATACCAAGGCTGTTGTCTAGGTTATTGTAATTAATCCCAGCAAATAATTATTAAAGACCTACCACAGGCTCATGGCTGGGCACTATCAGGAATTTGGAATGAAAATAATGGTGGGGTGTGGTGGCTCACGCCTGTAATTTCAGCACTTGTGGGAGGCTGAGGCAGGAGGATTACATGAAGTCAAGAGTTCAAGACCAGCCTGGCCAACATAGTGAAACCCTGTCTCTACTAAAAATACAAAAATTAGCCGGGTGTGGTGGTACACGTCTGTAATCCCAGCTATTTGGGAGGCTGAGGCATGAGAATTGCTTGAACCCAAGAGGCGGAGGTTGCAGTGAGCCGAGATTGTGCCACTGCACTCCAGCCTGGGCGACAGAGCAAGACTGTGTCTCAAAAAAAAAAAAAAAGTAAATAAAAATAAAAAAGTAAAAATAATGAAAGAAGGCCAGGTGCAGTGGATCACACCTATAATCCCAGCACTTTGGGAGCCAAAGCAGGAGGTATGCTTGAGTCCAGGAGCTGGAGACCAGCCTGGGCAACACAGCAAGACCACGTCTCTACAAAATACTTAAAATTAGCCAGGGGTGGTGGTGTGCGCCTGTGGTCCTAGCTACTTAGGAGGTTGAGGGGGGAGAATCAGGAGTTTGAGGCTGCAGTGAGCTATGATCACCCCACTACGCTCCAGCATGGGCAACAGAGTGAGACCCTATCTCAAGAAAATAAATAAATAAAAATAATGAAAGAAGAATAAAAGCTAACATGAATTGCACATTTCTAAATGCCAAGCATCAGGCTGGATCCTTTATTCGCAGGATCTTATTAATACCCTCACATCCATCCTATGAGATAATGTTTCTTTTCTTTCTTTTTTTTTTTTTTTGAGACAGAGTCTCACTCTGCCACCCAGGCTGGAGTACGGTGGCACCATCTCAGCTCACTGTAACCTCTGCCTCCCGGGTTCCAGTGATTCTTTTCCCTCAACCTCCTGAGTAGCTGGGATTACAGGCATGCACCACCACATCCGGCTAATTTTTGTATTTTTAGTAGAGATGGGGGTTTCACCATGTTGGCCAGGCTGGTCTCGAACTCTTGGCCTCAAGTGATTTGCCCGCCTCCGCCTCCCAAAATGCTGGGATTACAGGCGTAAGCCACTGTGCCTGGCCCTATGAGATAATGTTTCTATCATCCCCATTTAGACGAAGAAACAGGGGCCCAGAGATATTTAACGATTTCTCCAGAGTCACAAAAATGGCAGAGCAGCGTAAGAACCCAGAGCTGTGACTTGACGTGGCTGCTACCTGCCAGGCACTGTCCTGCTGTCTCTATACTCCTGTTTCTCAAACTTCATAGTACATGTGAATCACCCAAGGACCTTGTGAATGTGCAGTTTTTAGCTCAGTAAGTCTGGAGAGAGTTCTGAAATTCTGCATTTTTTTTTTTGAGACAGAGTCTGGCCCAGGCTGGAGTGCAGTGGCACAGTGTCAGCTCACTGCAACTGCCGCCTCTCGGATTCAAGTGATTCTTCTCCCTCAGCCTCCCGAGTAGCTGGGATTACAGGCGCCCACCACCACGCCCAGCTAATTTTCTATTTTTAGTAGAGATGGGGTTTCACCATGTTGGTCAGTCTGGTCTCGAACTCCTAACCTCAAATGATCCACCCCCCTCATCCTCCCAAAGTGCTGAGATTACAAGCGTGAGCCACCGTGCCCAGCCTGCATTTCTAACAAGCTCCTAGGTGATGCTGATGTTGCCTGTCTGGGTCAGCTGGCTTTGAGTAACAAGGATTTACACCAGTGGTTCTCAAACTTGAGGGTGCAACCTAATTACGTGGAGGGCTTATTAAAACACAGGGCGCTGGGCCCTACCCCTGGAGCTTCTGATTCAGTAGACCTGGCATGGGGCCCGAGAATAAGCATTTCTAATAATTCCCAGGGATTGTTGCTGGTCTGAGGACCACACTTTGAAAACATCTGCTCACTTAAGCAACTCCCCAGCCCTGCCAGGTGTAGGTGAGGAAAAATGGGAACACAGAGAGGGGCAGGATGTAAGTGGCCCAAGGCTGCAGGGTGTGTTTCTGGGGTCCCTGTCATCCTAAACTTAGTTCTCTCTCCTCTCCCCTGTCTCCCAGAGCTATGCAGAGCCAGGCACGGGTTGCAGAGGGGCAGGGGGCCAGGTTGGATGCAGGAGGCACTACCCACCTGTTGGCATTCTCCAGGGTCTCCACCTTCTTCCACAGTTCATTGTTCTCAGATGTAAATGTCTCCACCCTGTAGGGGCCAAGCAGGCACAGGCTCAGGGGCAGCCCCCAGACTCACAACAGCTCCTCGGCCCAGCCCACCACCATCACACTCCCTGTGCCCCCTGCCTCTGCTGCCCCCTGAGGGAGGGCCTAGGGGAGGGCAGGTCAGGCAAGGGAGTGGATTGCCCACCCCTCCCAAGCCCCTTACTTCTTTTCTAGACACTCCACATACTCCTTCTTCTTACGACGGCTCTCCTGGGCTGAGATCTAGAGGGGGAGGCCCGAAAACAAGGGTTAGCACTGCCACATATTCACTTCCTGGGCCCCCCAATTTCAGAGCTGGTATGCCAGGGGAGCCCACCCACCAAGGAAGCCCTCTGAAGCCCCAGGGTGGCAGGCTTTACCTTGTTCTTGATTTTCCTCCGGACTCTCTTCAAGGCCTTCTCCTCGGCTTTGGTGAGGGGGAGTTTTGTGGGGATGGGGTAGCCCTCAGCAATCAGGGTCCGCTTCTCCTCCTCTGTCAGGAGCAGTGGCCCTGATGTCCCCTGTAATTTCTGTAGGAAGTATGATGTGGTAGTTAGGAGCCAGGCAGCCCTGGGTTCAAATTCAAGCTCTGCCATGTGCTATCTATATGACCTGGGCAAGGCACACAATGCTCTATGCCTCAGTTTCCTCATCTGGAAAGGGAGTGGATCTGGGTGAAATTCAGTAACATGTGTCAGGTGCCAGGGCCATGCTGAGAGCTCAGGTGTTAGGCTCTTAGTGCATTGTTCGGGAGGGCTTCCTGGATCCCATCCCTGAGACTGCACCCTCAAAGCTTACTTGTCCAGGGTGCCCCAAACAGCATCTCCCTCAGACCCCTCCCTACAATCTTGGCTTGGGAGACTCCACACCCATCCCAGGGCTCAGGGCCTAGCTCCATGTTTCCTGGGGATTCTGGACCATCTGGGCACTTCCCCTCACACAGCGCTCCTTGGAGGCAGCCTGGGTCATCCCCTGGAGGTCAGGAATGTCAAGTTCTAGTCCTGGCTCTGCAATAGTCTCCTGTTCACCATGAGGCAGGGCGAAAGGATTTGAATTCCTGACCAGATGCGGTGGCTCACGCCTGTAATCCCAGCCCTTTGGGAGGCTGAAGTGGGCAGATCAAGAGGTCAAGAGATTGAGACCAGCTTGGCCAACATGGTGAAATGCTGTCTCTACTAAAAGTACATAAATTAGCTGGGTGGTGGTGTGCACCTGTAATACCAGCTACTCGGGAGGCTGAGGCAGGAGAATCACTTGAACCCTGGAGGTGGAGGTTGCAGTGAGCCGAGATCGTGCCACTGCACTCCAGGCGACAGAGCGAGACTCCATCTCAAAAAAAAAAAACAAACAAAAAAAAGCCAGACACGGTGGCAAGTGCCTGTAATTCCAGCTACTTGGGAGGCTGAGACAGGAGAATTGCTTGAACCTGGGAGGCAGATGTTTCAGTGAGCCGAGATTGAGCCACTGCACTCCAGCCTGGGCAACAGAGCAAGACTCAAAAATAAAAGGATTAGAACTCCCATCTGCCAGGTAAGCATCCCTCTGAATTCTGATGAGGGTGGGGATCAGTCTCGGGGCTCCCCAAACCCTCCTGACTGGCCAGTGTGCTCAGGTGGATGTATTCAATTCCTCATTTCTGGGATCAGCCCACCCCCAGCTCCTTACGTGAGGGGCAGTGAGGAGTGGGGAGGTGGAGATGGCCGTGGAGGAGCGCGCCATGGGCCTGACAGGGCTGGAGGGGGGCAGAGAGCGGGGACTCTGGGAGCCGTCGCTGTCACTGCCATGGCTGCTGGGGGGCGTCGGAGGCATCTGCACCAGGTCCTCTGGGGAGAGCAGGGGAAACCGAGTTAGCAACGTTGCACATCAGCTCCACTTGGACATCATGAGTTCAGCTGAGCATGAGCTTGCACCAGCCCTGACATTGTGGGACACGGACTGCCAGGCGCTTGGTCTCAGCTATGACATCAGAAGCCCCTCTGCAGGGTCAGAAAGACAGTTGACATCTGGGTAGCCAATTCCTGGGTGCTGCCTCATCTGACACCACAGAGGCCCAGCTCCTTTACAAGCTCGCCCTTGGCATAGACATCATAGGAGCTGAATTCGTGGGAGGTCCTCTGTGACCTCTGACTTCACAGGGTTCAGGGCCTTAAGCTCAGCAACTCCAGAAGATCACTAAGCTCTAGCTCAGCAACCCCAGAAGGTGACTGGGGCCTCTCTCTCATAGGGTCAGGCTGGGCAAGCAGGAGCGATGGCAGCAGTAGATTGGGCAAGAAGAGGACTGGACGAAGGCTGGGTGCAGTGGCTCACCCCTGTAATCACAGCACTTTGGGAGGCTGAGACAGGTGGATCCCCTGAGTCAGGAGTTCAAGACCAGCCTGACCAATATGGCCAAACCCCGTCTCTACTAAAAAATACAAAAATTAGCCAGGCGTGGTGGTGGGCACCTGTAATCCCAGGTACTTAGGAGGCTGAGACAGGAGAATTGCTTGAACCTGGGATGGGGAGGTTGCAGTGAGCTGAGATCGTGCCATGGTACTCCAGCCTGGGTGACAGAGTGAGACTCCATCTCAAAAAACAAACAAACAAACAAACAAACAAAAAACAAAAACGAAGAGGACTAGACGAAGAGTGGGCATGGATGGAGGGACAGTGGGTAGGGCAGGGTGGAGAGGATATTCTGGGTGGGGGAAGGTTGTCAAGAGATAGGGATGGGCTGAACCAAGGAAGTGGGGATGCTATCTGCCTATGACTGGAGGGGAAAAGAGCCCTTCCCCTGGACACACCTACCCGGTGTCACTTTGAGGAACTGGTTCACCTCCAGAGGCTCTGCTTTGATCACTGGCAGCTGAGTCATCTCTCCCGGGGCCTGAGGAACAGACAAGCCCAGCTCCATTAGCTGCCCCTGGGTCTGTCCCCACCATGCCATCTACCCACCTCCTCCCTAAAGCTGGTTGCCTGCCCTGCACAGTTGGGGAAGTGGCTGGGCTTGGAGTTCTGGGCACAGCTGCAAGGGAACAGAGGCAAGCTCTTGAGCTTAAAGAAGCCAAGTCACACCTAAGAGAAAGGATTGCTGGCCAAGCAGTGTAGCTCAGACCTTAAGCTCAGAGAAGGTGAGCCTCTGAGTGTGGGGCCACCTTCCACACCAACTGTGAAGGCCACACAGGCTTTGGTATGTGGGTTGCCATGAGAATAAAACAAGAGGTAATGTCTGGAACAGTGTAGCTGTTCAATGGCTGGTAGCAGTAGTACAGAAGGAGGCATTAATTGGCTGGGGGCTCCGAGGATGCTCCCTGAGAAGTCAAAGTCTGAAATGAGTCCCGGGGTATAAATAGAAGTAGAATCTAGACAAAGAAGTTGGAGGCAATGAGAGCTCCTAATGGGTTGAAGTAAGGGCTTGATAGAATCAGATGGACATTTTTAACAAACATGCATTTCTCTTTATTTCTATTCTGACTTGTTGTTCCAGAAAGGACTTCAAGAGCATGCATGGCTTTGTACACATGACTACCAACATGCAAGTAAGTGGTGCTCTGTCTGAGGAAGGCGTTGTTGGGGGCTGGATTGCAGGCCCTGGGCTGCAGCCCCAGAGAGATCATGATATTGTGGGTGGGACGCAGAATCCAGAATGTAGGCTGATGAGTAAGAATCCCAGAAGGTTCAAGTTGGCAGGGACCTTGGAGATTCCTTGGTCTACATCCCAGCTCAGCCCTCAAGTGACAGAGAGGGGACTGCGGTGCAGAGAGCTCACTGTTGACAATGCCAGCTCCTGTGCCTTCCACTAGGGGTTATGACCTCACTCGCGTGGGCTTCAGGGTCTGGCAGGCCGAATTTGGAAGGCATGTCAGTTGCTTCTAACTGCATGATTTTGGGCAAATTACTTAACCCCTTGAGCCTCAGTTTCCCTTTCTGAAGTCTCCTCTTCCCTGGCTGCTGCTGCTGTCACTCCATCCCTTCCTGCTTTGGCAAGGCCTGAGGAGTCTCAGAGCCAGTCTTGGAGATGGTCTCAAAAGATCCTGCATATTTGCCGCCGACCCTTGATCCCACGGGTCTGTGGTGGGGCAGGGAGGGGCTGACCTTTCTTGCCTTCAGCCACGTACAGTTAGAGCAAGTGAGCCGTGTGGCCAGCAGGGGGCAGGGCCAGCCACGCTCCCATCTAGGGATTTTAAGATGCTGCTCATCCTGTGGAATCCCAGGGCTAGAAGCACCTTAGGGGGTTCATGAGCCCCTTTTACAGAGAAGGAGGATGTGCAACATGCCCAGAACACAAAGGAGGCACCGAGTTGGGACTCAGGCAGGACCTCGGCTAGGAGCCAGGGGTCTGGGGTTCACATTCCCAGAGGGGTCTTGGGTTTATAGCTGAATGCTGTCATCTACACATTGGTGGAGGAGGGAGTTCAGCCTGAGAGTGTGGGTTAAAAATATTAATCTCATAAATGTAAACAATTGGAATATAGCACACTTTTTTTTGTAATTTCCTTTTTGGTCTTTTTTCTTTTTTAAAAATACTGAAGCTTTGAGAAAAGTCAGTGGCCTGGGCTGTCTCCACCTCTGAGACCCTGGACTGGGCTCCTGATGCCACCCCTGCCTGGAGCCCTGCAAGCTGTCTTTTTCTGCACAGACGAGAGCCTCAGTTACTCCAAGGGGGCTGTGGCTTGTGCCCGTTGCGGTATGGTGAGGGGGCAGCCAGGGGGGTAGGCGGAGGCCTGGGCTGGGCGGGGGCTTCCCACCCTCAGCCCTGAGGCTCATGTCTTCCTGTTCACAGAGCCCCAGGGCACAGGGCTTTGGGCACCTCTTCCCACAGACCCACCAGCCCTCCTCCCTCCCTCAGCCGCTACAAACAGTTCCCAGGCTCACCTGGTGGGGGATGGGCAGCCTGGACAAGGGGCTGAGGCCCAGCAGCGGGGTGGTGGCCATGGCGGCCGCGGCAGCCATGGCCGAGGGGGCAGCCAGAGGGTCCACGGGCAGCTCCGGGCTCTGCTCCTGCTTCACCATGATGGAGCACAGTTTGTGTCCCAGCGCCCATGCTCCATGCTCTGCATCTAGGGGAAGGGGAAAGGCTCAGGGGACTCTAGGGCAGAGGTCTCAGCCCCCTGCCTGCCCCCTGGGAGCTACCCTAGGCTGAACTGAAGAGAGCTGTTAGGGTAGACCAGGGGGCAGGCAGGAAAGAGGGTGGTTGTGAGGTGAGGAGGAGTTGTCTGGGGCCAGAAGAGGTGAGGACATCCTCTTCATTCAGCAGCTTACAGAATGAGCTTGGGCACCAGATTCACACTCCTCTTGATTGGCTGTGTGTGTGACCTTAGGCTAGTTGCTTAACCTCTCTGAGCCTGAGCTTCTTCATCTGCAAAATGGGGAAAGGAACAGGACGTACCTAATACAGAAGTTCTGAGGCTTAAGTAGTATAATGTACATAAGACACTTAACACTGTGAGTGTTAATACTTAACACTGGTGAGAAGTAAATGTTCAGGCTGAGCGCCGTGGCTCACTCCTGTAATCCCAGCACTTTGGGAAGTCAAGACAGGCAGATCGCTTGAGCCCAGGAGTTCGTGACCAGCCTGGGAAACATGGCGAAATCCCATCTCTACAAAAAATACACACACACAAAATTAGCTAGGTGTGGTGGTGTGTGTCTATAATCCCAGCTACTCAGGAGGCTGAGGTGGGAGAATCACTTGAGCGGCCAGGTGCAGTGGCTCATGCCTGTACTCCAGTTCTTTGACAGGCCAAGGCAGGTGGATCGCTTGAGTCCAGGAGATTGAGACCAGCCTGGACAACATGGTGAAAGCCTGTCTCTACTAAAAATACAAAAATTAGCCAGTTGTGGCGGCACGTGCCTGTTAGTCCCAGCTGCTCAGGAGGCTGAGGCAGGCAGGAGAATCACTTGAACCCGGGAGGCAGAGGTTGCAGTGGGCTGAGATCGCACCACTGCACTCCAGCCTGGGCAAGAGTGAGACTCTGTCTGAAAAAAAAAAAAAAGAGAGAGAATTGCTTGGGAGGAGGAGGTTGCAGTGAGCCAAGATTGTGCTACTGCACTCCAGCCTAGACAGACAGAGTGAGACCCTGTCTTGAAAAAAAAAAAAGAGTAAGTGTTCAATAAATACAAGCCAGTGTTAATACAACTACTGTTATTTAGTAAACATTTACTGTGCTAGATGCTGGGGATATAGCAAGAGTCACAAGCAGTTTAGCATAGTTGGAATGCAAAGGGGAGTGGAAGATGGGGTCAGAGAGGCCAGTGGGGGTGGCTTGGCCTTGGAGGCTGGGTTAGTTCAGAGATGTGACTTTATCCTAAAGCAAATGGGGAGCCGCTGAAGAGTTTTGTATGTGCTCAATTTTTTTTTTTTTTTTTATTGAGACAGGATCTCACTCATTCGCCCAGGCTGGAGTGCAGTGGTGCCATCATGAGTCACTGCAGTCTTGACCTTCCTGGCTCAATTGGTTCTCCCGCCACAGCCTCCTAAGTAGCTGGGACTACAGGCGCATGCCACCATGCCCAGCTAATTTTTGTATTTTTTTGTAGAGATGTTGCCCAGGCTGGTCTCGAACTCCTGAACTCAAGTGATCCACCCACCTCGGCCTCCTGAAGTGCTGGGATTACAGGCATGAGCTATTGCACCTGGCCCAAATTTGCAATTTTAAGAAAGATTATGGCTGGGTGCGGTAGCTCACGCCTATAATCCCAGCTTTGGGAGGCTGAGGCAGGAGGATCGCTTGAGCCCAAGAGTTCAAGGCTGCAGTGAACTATGATCAGACCACTGCACTCCAGCTGGGTGACAGAGCGAGACCCTATCTCTAAAATTAAATCAATTAAAAAAATATGGCCTGGCGCGGTGGCTCACGTCTGTAATCCCAACACTTTGGGAGGCTAAGACGGGCGGATCATGAGGTCAGGAGATCGAGACTATCCTGGCTAACATGGTGAAACCCCGTCTCTACTAAAAATACAAAAAATTAGCTGGGCATGGTGGCGGGCGCCTGTAGTCCCAGCTACTCGGGACGCTGAGGCAGGAGAATGGCATGAACCCGGGAGGCGGAGCTTGCAGTGAGCCGAGATTGCGCCACTGCACTCCAGCCTGGGCGACAGAGCGAGACTCCGTCTTAAAAAAAAATATATATATATATACACACACACACACACACACACACACACACACACACACACACATATATACACACACACACATATATATACACACATATATACACACATATATATGTATATATATACATATATATACACACACACATATATATGTGTGTGTATATATACATATATATATATATAAAAGATCACTCTGCCCTCGTGTGGGGACTAGACTGGCTGCAGGCAAGATGGAGGCAGGGAGAACTGCAGGAAGTGTTGAAATCGGCCAGGAGAGAGAGAAGGGGAGGCCTGAGCAAAGGCAGTGGCAGTTGTGATGGAGAGGAGGGAACAGATTTAGAAGGAAGCATCCACAGGACCCAGTGACTGGGGGTATGAGGCGGGTGGAGGAGGCGGCGGTGGGGAGCGGTGGGGAGCAGTGAGAGGTGAGGCTTAGATTTCCTGAGGGAAGAACCCACCTCCTGCCCACCTAGTGGGCCTCCTGGTTTCACCTGGGCAATAGGGCTGGCAGGCATCACCCCTTTTCCTGATGGGTGCCCACAGTCTTCCACTCTAAGTCAGCCCTGTTCATGGTGGCCACACTGCCTGGTAGCCATTGAAGCAGCGGGTAAGACAGGGGAGAGGGGAGGGGAGCCAACATTCAAGGCAGGGCTGGAGGGGACTCTGGACTTTGGGGCCTGCTGTGGTCGGGGAGAGGCAGTAGTGGCTGATTGACCACCTTGGAGGCCAGGCCGCACCCTGTTGGGAGCCTGAGTGCCCCAGCTCTGGGCCACAGGCTGCCCATGGGCTCCAGGAATACCCACAATCTTCCCAAATTACAGGGCCTGGCCACCGGCCTCCGGGAAGCTGCCCCCTGCAAAGGGCCCACAGACAAATTGCTTTAAAAATAGACGTGGGAGCTGGGTGTGGTGGCTCATGCCTGTAATCTCAGCAATTTGGGAGGCTGAGGTGGGAGGATCGCTTGAGGCCAGGAGGTTGAGGCCAGGAGGTGAGCCAAGATTGCAACACCGTACTCTAGCCTGGGTGACAGAGTAAGACCCTGTCACCCTGCCCGCCCCCCCCAAAAAATTAATAATTAAAAAAAGACTTAGGGTGGCTAAGGAGTTGCTGGGCTGACCTAAGAGGGGCGGATGTCCCTGCCTTCATGGGGTTTGGGGGGAGGTACAAAGGTTTGTCTTTGCCCCTAGGGAATCTCAAAGACTATCAGACGCAGCTCACACTTCTTGCGCTGAGCACAGCTCTAAGCCCTTGTCACACATGAGCTTCTATTTTTTTTTTCTTTGAGATGGAATTTCGCTCTTGTTGCCCAGGCTAGAGTGCAATGGTGCGATCTCAGTTCACCGCAACCTCTGCCTCCCGGGTTCACCGATTCTACTGCCTCAGCCTCTCGAGTAGCTGGGATAACAGGCATGCGCCACCACTCCCGGCTAATTTTGTATTTTTAGTAGAGACGGGGTTTCTCCATGTTGGTTAGGCTGGCCTTGAACTCCTGACCTCAGGTGATCCACCCTCCTCGGCCTACCAAAGTGCTGGGATTACAGGCGTGAGTCACGCGCCCAGGCAAATGAGCTTCTTTACTCCTCCCAACAACTCTCTGGGGGCAGGCACCATTGTTCTCACCATTTAACAAGTGAGAAAATTAAGAAATTCACTCAAGACCAGGTCCTTTAGAGGGAAAGAGGAATAAGAAGAACACTGTTCATTGTTACAAGCACCCATAGTGTTTCTGTTTTATTTTTTTTCTTTTTGAGACAGGGTCTTGCTCTGTCGCCTAGGCTGGAGTGCAGTGGTGCCATCATAGCTCACTGCAGCCTCGACCTCCGGGGCTTAAGATATCCTCCTGCCTCAGGCTCTTAGGTAGCTGGGACTACAGGCATGTGCCACCATGCCTGGCTAATTTTTTAATTTTTAATTTTGTGGAGAAGGTGTTTTGCTATGTTGCCCAGGCTGGTCTCAAACTCCTGAGCTCAAGCAATCCTCCTGCCTCGGCCTCCCAAAGTGCCGGGATTATAGGTGTGACTCAGCATGCCTGGCCCACCCATAGTATTCATAGGACTTTTATGTGCACAGTGAAAATAGTCACTAATTATTATTATTTATATTAATTTTTGAGACAGAGTCTCACTCTGTCATCCAGGCTGGAGCATAGTAGCATGATTTCGGCTCACTGCAACCTCCGCTTCCTGGGTTCAAGCGATTCTCCTGCTTCAGCCTCCTGAGTAACTGGGATTACAGGCACACACCTCCACTCCCAACTAATTTTTGTATTTTTAGTAGAGACAGGATTTCATCTGTTGGCCAGGCTGGTCTTGAACTCCTGGGCTCAAGCAATCCTCCTGCCTCGGCTTCCCAAAGTGCTGGGATTACAGGCCTGAGCCACTGCACTTGGCTGCTGCTAATTATTGATGTATATATTATGTGCTGGGCACTTAGCAGGGTATTTTGTATATATATATTTTTAAGCCTGACGAGAACTCTCAAGGCGTATATTATTTTCATTTTATCACTGAGGAAACAGAGGCCTAGAGAGGTTAAGTAACTTGCCCAAGATCACCCAGTGGCTGGTGGAGACACGGGGATGCACACCAATGCCCTTGTGGGTCCCAACCAAATAGCCCTGGCTGCCCTTCTTGACTGGCAAATGTGGTGGTGGCAAGGGTTTGCGGTTGAGAATCAGGGTGTGCTATTATGTCTCTGTTCTGCATTTTACTGTGGGCGTGACCTAGACAACTGAGCTTTTGTGAAGTCTCAGTTTTCTTTTTTATTTTTTTTTGAGACAGAATCTCGCTTTGTCACCTCCGCTGGAGTGCAGTGGTGCAATCTCAGCTCCCTGCAACCTCCGCCTCCCGGGTTCAAGCAGTTCTCCTGCCTCAGCCTCCTGAGTAACTGGAATTACAGGCGCACGCCACCATGCCTGGTGAATTTTTGTATTTTTAGTAGAGATGGGGTTTCACCATGTTGGTCGGGCAGGTTTCGAACTCCTGACCTCGTGATCTGCCTGCCTTGGCCTCCCAAAGTGCTGGGATTACAGGCGTGAGCCACTGCACCCGGCCAAGTCTCAGTTTTCTTATCGGTCACATGGAGATTATGATAAAAGTGATTCCAACCTCACCTGTCAGTCATGAGAAATAAATGTGATAATTAACATGAAGGCAATCTGTAGACTGGAGAGTACTATAGAAATGTTTATTGTTATTTGCATTTGTAGATATAGATACTAAGGATTACAGAGGTTAAGCAACATGTCTGTGATCACGTAGCCAAAAGCGACAGAGCCAGGACCACCTGTATTTGAGGAAATGCCCGAAGGGACCATTTCTAAGTGGGGCACAATGTGGGTCTTGAATGCTGATTACCTGAGTGGAAGAACTCAGGGTGCTCTTTGCTTTAAAGGATGGAGTTAGGGGGAGAGGAGAGCTTTAGAGAATGCTACCTTCAGGAATAAAAGAAGGAATCTCTCTCAAGTAGCGTCTCAGAGGACAACATAGTATGAGGAGGCAGTGAGGTTCTAGAGTCTTGGTAACTTGTCTACAGCTTATTATTATTATTATTATTATTATTATTATTATTATTATTATTATTATTTGAGACGGAGCCTCGCTCTGTTGCCCAGGCTGGAATGCAGTGACGCAATCTCAGCTCACTGCAAGCTCCGCCTCCCAGGTTCACGCCATTCTCTTGCCTTAGCCTCCTGAGTAGCTGGGACTACAGGCACCCGCCACCATGCCCGGCTAATTTATTTTTTATTTTTAGTAGAGATGGGGTTTCACTCTGTTAGCCAGGATAGTATTATTATTATTTTTGAGACAGAGTCTCACTCTGTCACCCAGGCTGGAGTGCAGTGGCTTGATCTCGACTCACTGCAACCTCTGCCTCCTGTGTTCAAGTGACTCTCCTGTCTCATCCTCCAGAGTAGTTGGGATTACAGGTGCCCACCACCACGCCTGGCTAATTTTTCTATTTTTAGTAGTTTCACCATGTTGACCAGGCTGGTCTTGAACTCCTGACCTCAAATGATCCGCCCACCTCAGCCTCCTAAAGTGCTGGGATTATAGGCGTGAGCCACAGCACCCCGTCTATTTTTTTTTTTTGGGACGGAGTCTCACTCTGTTGCCCAGGCTGGATTGCAATGGCGCAATCTTGGCTCACTGCAGCCTCCGCCTCCCAGGTTCAAGTGATTCTCCTGCCTCAGCCTTCCAAGTACCTGGGATGACAGGCAGCATGTAATGGAGGCACCATGTGATGGAGGGCATCATGCTGGGCTAATTGTTGTATTTTTGTAGAGACGGGGTTTTATCACGTTCGCCAGGCTGGTCTTCGTCTCCTCACCTCAGGTGATCCACCCGCATCAGCCTCCCAGAGTGCTGGGATTACAGGCATGAGCAACTGCACCCAGCCAGTTATTATTATTTTTGAGATGGAGTCCCACTCTGTTGCCCAGGTTGGAATGCAGTGGTGCGGTCTCAGCTCACTACACCTTCTCCACCCGGGTTCAAGCAGTTCTTGTGCCTCAGTCTCCTAAGTAGCTGGGACTACAGGAGCGCACCACCACGCCTGGCTAATTTTTGTATTTTTTTTTTTTTTGAGACGGAGTTTCGCTCTTGTCACCCAGGCTGGAGTGCAATGGCTCACGGCAACCTCCGCCTGCTGGGTTCAAGCGATTCTCCTGCCTTAGCCTCCCGAGTAGCTGGGATTACAGGCACCCACCACCGCGCCCAGCTAGTTGGTTTTTTTTTTTTTTTTTTTTTTGAGATGGAGTCTCGCTCTGTCGCCCAGGCTGGAGTGCAGTGGCGCAATCTTGGCTCACTGCAAGCTCCGCCTCCCGGGTTCACGCCATTCTCCTGCCTCAGCTTCCCAAGTAGCTGGGACTACAGGCGCCCGCCACCACCCCCGGGTAATTTTTAATATTTTTAGTAGAGACGGGGTTTCACTGTGTTAGCCAGGATGGTCTCGATCTCCTGACCTAGTGATCCGCCTGCCTCGGCCTCCCAGAGTGCTGGGATTACAGGCGTGAGCCACCGCGCCCGGCCCTGTATTTTTTTTTTAGTAGAGACGGGGTTTCACCATATGTTGGCCAGGCTGGTCTCGAACTCCTGACCTCGGGTGATCCACCTGCCTCGGCCTCCCAATGTGCAGGGATTACAAGCGTGAGCCACCACACCCGGCCCCACAGTTATTATTGAATTACCCCCACTGTCTCCTCTAAGTCAGCGGTTTGCAAATCTGAGTGTGCATCAGAATCACCTGGAAGGCTGGGCCCTACCCACAGGGTTGTGATTCAGCAGGTTGGGGGTGGAACCCGAGAATCTGCATGTCTAACAGATTCCCAGGTGATGCTGCTGGTCTGGGAACCACACTTTGTAAACCACTGACTTAAGTCAGCAAAAAACCCTTTTGAGAAGTGCTCCTCTGGCTTTGAGCTGAGGGAGAACAGAAAGGCAGGGAGGAGCACCTCCTAAGGGGTTTGTGGTGGCTCCTCTTGGAGCCTCTGGGAGTCTCAGGCTGCAGGCACACTCTCTTGTCACCCCAGAGCTTCCTCCCTCCTGGGCCTCCTGGGCCTGTGCTGTCCCCAGGTTCTTCCACCTCTTACCTTGGGTGGTGTCCTCCATCTTGATGGGCACAAGGGGGCTCTGGGGCGCTGAGTCGCCGCTCAGGGAGTAGCTGTGCTCCGCCTGGATGCCTGGCGTAGGGGAGTCCAGTTCCATGTCCAATAGAGGGCTCTTCTCATCCAGCACAGGGTCATCAAAGAAGCTGCTGAACAGGTCATTGGAGAAGTCCTCCATGTTCTCCGTAAAGTGGTCCAGGTGCTCAGGAAAGTGCTAGGGAAGGAAGAGGTGAGGGGAAGAGGGAATTCAGCTTTGCTTGGGAAGGGGGTGCAGGTGCTACTGTGGTGGTGCAGCACCCCACCATGGCCACCACTGTCCCTGCAACCTCCCATTACTGTGCCCATTCCCATTAATATCAGCAACATCACCAATCTCCCCAGTACCAACATTGCAACACCAACTCTCATCATTTCCATCATGACCGTTACCACTGTCATCCCATTCTCTCTACCACCAGCTCCACGCTCACCATTGTTATCTGCAAGGGTGAGCTCAGGATGGGATCAAAAACTCCCTGGACCAGGCAACAGGACACTGGGCTCTGTGACCTTTGTCAAATCACTTAAACTGCGTGAGTCAGTTTCTCAGTCCTTCTTACTTCCTTCATAGGCTGATGTGAAGACAAAGTAAAAGAACAACCGTGTGTCTACGCCAACAAGTTTGTTTTCCAAAGGCAATATTAGTGAATTTTGTATGATCTTTTGCTGGAATGTGGGAAGGGAGTGATGCAGGGCAGTGGGATTCTTGAGGCCTCCAGTCTCCTCAGCAGCACAGTGTCCATCTGTCCTCAAGACTTCGGGGTCTCTCTCCTTTCCCAAGCCATCCTTTATATGGAGAGGTTAGGCTCCGGAGCCCTACTATTTAGGTTCGAATGGTGGCCTCCATCCTTCTAGCTATGATTCAGTGCTGTTTAAACTGTGGGTGGTGACTCATTAATGGGTTGTGAAATCAATTTAGTGGGTCACGACCAGAATTTTAAGTAAAAATAAAACAGAAAAAAAAAAGTAGAAAATATCAGAGTGCACAGCACACAGTGGAGTTAAATACCTGGCAATTAAAAAAAATCACAGTTGTGTGTGTGAACGCACATGTGTGTACTTGGTAATGATGTAAAATATATTTCTTAGAAACAAAAAAGTCTGAAAAATCTTGGTCTCCATGATCTTGGGAAGGTCAATTAACCTCTCTGTTTCATTTCGTCCTCTGTACAGCTGGTAATATTAATAGTTCCTACCTTCCAAGATTGTCATGAGGATTAAACAAGTTAATCCACGTACAGGCCTTATAACAGTCCCTGGCACATAGTAATTACTCAATAAACGTTGCCTCTTATTGTTAGTAAAGCACTCCAGTGGCTGACATATGGTAGGTTCTTGTACATTATTTTTCTCTCTCTAAAGAATTATAAATGTGTAAAGAAATGTTTCTTTCTCTCTCTTTCTGTCTTGCTTGTGAGAGTCTCACTCTGTCACCCAGGCTGGAGTGCAGTGGCATGATTTTGGCTCACTGCAACCTCCATCTCCCGGGTTCAAGTGATTTGCATGCCTCAGCCTCCCAAGCAGCCGGGACTACAGGTGCGCACCACCACGCCCAGCTAATTTTTTGTATTTTCAGTAAAGATGGGGTTTCACCATGTTGGCTAGGCTGGTCTCAAACTCCTGGCCTCAAGTGATCTGCCCGCCTCGGCCTTCCAAAGTGCTGGGATTACAGGTGTAGGCCACCGTGCCTGTCCAATAAATGTTTCTATTGTTTGTTCCTTATTTATTGAACGAATGAATTTGCTGGTGGGTCAGAAGAGATGGGGGATGGGGGGCTGCCTTAGGTCCTGAAGCCCTGCCTGCTGAGTGGTTAAAGGCTTGTGCCAGGGGATTCCTTCAAGGTCTGGAGTTGTTGGCCCTTTCTGGCCTGGAATATTGGGAGCCTGTCCCAACCTGGAAGGTAATGAGCAGAGAAGCCTTCTGTATGAGCATAAGGTTCAGGGCCACATGAGTCTGTCTGCATGGAGTAGGAGATGAACACGAGCTCTGGAGTCACATAGACGTGCTTTTGACTCCTAGCTCCACCACTTGCTAAGTTGCTTAACTTCCCCGTGCCTCAGTTTCCTTATCCGTAAGGGGAAAATAATAGTTCCTACCTCATAGTGTTGCCATGAGGATCTAAAATTTTGTTAGATTAGTACTCACCTCATAGGAGTATGAGGGTAAAATGAGTAAATACTGTACATATAAAACACAGAACAGTGCCTGCTACAGAGTGAATGCTCGATCATTGTTAGTTATCGTCATCATGAAAACTGCAGCCCCTAAACTCTGTCCCCGAGCTGAGCTTGGAACCAATGGTGGGAGTTGTGGGGGGAATGTTTGGCCTTTCCCTCCAAACAAAGCCTGATGAGATAATCCAGGACAAAATGAGCTCAGAAGCCCCATTGGCAGGGGTACTCTCCCACTTCCCAGTTTGCCAGCAATCAATCATCATCCTACATTTCTGTTGTGCTTTTAACCCAAAGTGCTCTCCTATGCATTATTTCATTTAATCTTCACAATTATCCAATGAGACAAGACAAATGCATATTGGCATTTGACAGAGAGAGAAACTGAGGCCAAGGGCGCTAATGCAGCAGGGAGGTGCCCACCATCCCTCACTGTCCAGTCTTTTACAACTGCAGCAGACCCTCCCCGGTCCGGTAATTGCCCTGAAGCAGGGTTTGCACCCTGTTCACCTGCTGCCTTCCAGCACCTGGCTCATGATACTGGTGGAGGGACAGGGCCTTAGAACCCAGATGGCAATGCCATCAGCATACCAATTGTCCATCAATACCTGGAGTGAGGCAGTACCAGGAGGTCAGAGCTGAATGAGTTTCTAAGAATCACTGTGATCCCAGACAGAGGCCATTTACAGGGTATAACCACCCCCCAACCACCCAGCCAGCCACAGCCAGGGCCGCGCTGGCTACACCCTCCGCAGAGCCCGGGCCTGCCGGCTGGGGGCGCTTCCGCCAGTTCTCTCCCTTAGGGTCTCTCAAAGGCCTGGTGTTGGGCCCAGTGGGAGGGGGCTGTGAGCAGAGGGAGCCGGTGAGTCAGCCGCTAAGGTATTTCTCCAGCAGCTGCTTCTCAGGCGATAAGGGTTTGCCAAGCCCCTTCCTGGGGCCTGGGAGAGGAAAGATGCTTCCTCGGATCTGGGCTGGACTCCCTGAAGGCCTTGGCTCAGGCAGATGACCCAGGTTCTTCCCAGAGACCCTTTTAGGGTGCCCACAGGAAACTGCTTAGAGAGCTCAGCTGGCCCCATTGTGTGAGCAGTCCCCACCCCACCTGCTAGAAACAGCAGCCAAAACCCAGCAGGATGGAGCTTCCAGAGCAACGGGAGCCAAGTGGAAGGGGAGGGCGGCCAAGGGGCAGGCGGGGTGGGGGTGGAGGACACTCCGACGCCCAGGTCCTCTTTGCGCCGGGCTTCTTCAGGTGCTGGGTGGACGGTGGGCGCGTCCCATCATCCCTAGGCCCACCTCGCCCTCCTGGGAGCACTGCCATCAGGGACTCCCCTAGAGCGCTCTGCGGCCCTAGTTCCGTCTGATGCCTGGCCTCTCATGGCGGCTAAGGTAGGGTTGGTTTCTATCACCAAGTTAGAGGCAGAAGGGACGGGAGAAAGCTCCCCGACGGTCCCCTGCCCCTCGTTCCCCCCCTCCTATTTCTTAGTAGAGAAAACTCCAGTCCAGAGAGGGAAACACAGCTACCCAGGACGCACAGTGAGCGAGCTGGTGATGTCCGGGGCTGCAAAGTGAGCTGGTGAAGTCCAGGGCTGCCCTGGCGTGTGCGGGACCTTCTGGTCCTCTCACTCCTTCCACCGCATCCACTTGGCCCCATCCCTGGAAAGCCCATTTTGGAGACCTCAGACCTCCTCCGCTCCAGCACGCCCCCTTGTCCCCTCTACCCCCAACCACACCCAGCCCTCCCTCCACTTCACACACAAAAGTTCAGGTTTAGATTGTCCGATGGAAATTGGGGAGCAAGAGCAAGGGGTCGGCGGCCAGGAGTTCACGAACTTCAGGGGAGCCATGTGTCAACGCTCTGAGGGCGACAGGGTTCTGCAGGGGGTGAGCGTCCTACAGGGGTGCCTTTCCAGGCAACGGGGGTGGGAAGCCGGAGAAGGACATATTATGATTTGTTTCCCTCCTCGTTAAAGACTTTTTCCTATAGTCGTGCCAATATAAGCTCCTTCTCGGCTGTCACGCGCAGCCGGCGCCGGCTTCCCTCCCTTGGAGGAGAGGTTCCCGAGCTCTCCTGCTTGCAGACCTGCGTACCCCTCTTCTCGGCTGCACCCTCTCTTGGAGCCTGGCCTCAGCCGCCCGCCCTTTAAATTTTAGAGAAGGATCCGGGTGCCGCCGTCCTGGAGCGGCCCACAAAGGGTTAACCCGGGAACACCCGGGGCCGCCCCTCACCGGAATCCGGCCTGCTCACTGGTGGGAGCCGCAGAGCTCCTGGCCAATGGCGGGAGGCTGCGAGCAGCAGCCGGTGGCGGCGTGGAGGGCACCGGAGGAGTGCAGGGCTCGCGCGGAGGAGGGTCCCGGCCTGCGCCGACGGCCCGCGGCTGAGGGAGCGCAGGGTGCACTGGCTCGGGCCTGCATGGGACCCCTTCTGCGTCTGGGGCCGAGGCAGAAATGGCCTGGCCGTCTCACGGTGTCCTAAACCCCTCATCAGTAGCGCGGCCCCGCCCCCACCCCCGCAGGGAGAAGTGGAGACCGAGGGTCTCCCCGACGACCCCGACTCAAAGGGCGAGCCGGGCCTTAAATCCCCTTGCAGCTCCATCTCGAATCGTCCTACCGTGGGGCGCTTTGGTGGCTGTCTCTGGTGGCGGCAGAGGGGACTCTCCCGGGGCAGTAATGGTACCAGCTCTAGCCTTGTTTTACCCCTCCCTAAATTCCTTCCCCAAGGTCAGTGCAGAGACAGGGTAAAGCTCTGGGGGCGCAGCTGCCTGCTGGGGTCGGTGTAGGAGAATGGTTTCCCTGACCAGAAGCAGCCTCAGCGCGCCCTCTTCCCTCAGGTCCCTGGCTCCTTGGCGCCTGCACCCCCACTCCTAACTTCTGCCCCTCCCCCGGCCCAGGCTGGTTCAGTCTGTGCTTGGGGAAAGGAGGGAGGAGACCAGAGCGGGTCCAGGCTGAGCTGTGGGATAAGGGGTGGGGGGGAATCCTGAGCCCGGACATTCCTTCCGAGAGAGTGAGAGCTAGGGAGAGATGGGAGGAGAGGCCTCTCACATTTCCCCCTTTCTTTCCCCCCGCAGGCTGGGGCCCACAGACCCCCCCACACCCCAACACACACTGACCCATGCATTCCCGGACGGTTACTTGCCTCGTGGTCACTAGAAAATTGTCCCCATTTCAAGCTGAAGGGCCTTCAGTCTGAGTCACTGCTGTGCCTAGGGGGCGGGGAGTGGTGAGAGCAGGGAGAGGAGGTGGGCCCCTTGAGTCCCCGGTTGTCAGCAGACCCCCCTGTCCTTAAGCATTGCCATCCAGTAGCTGGGGTTCCTACGAGGCCCAGGCCTTGCCTTCCCAGAGCTAAAGCCGCCCTGTGAAGGAGAAAACGCACTGAACTGAAACTCAGGAGGCCCTAATTCAAGACCCAGGTGTGCTCTGAGACCTGGGCAGTGGCAGGTGTCTCCTCTCCTGGCCTCGGTTTCCTCATCCATTACAGTCTGTGTCTTTATGGAAGCGCGGTTGACAGGGGCCTAGAAAAGTGAATTAGTCTTCAGAACGTGGGCCTTTTTCCTCTGCCCTGGCCTTTTGGGGACTGGATGGTGTGAAACCAGTTCTCCTGGTCCCTGGAGCCAGTCCCTCCCTGAGTCTTCCTGGCAGAGTATGGGGGTTAAGGGAGCACGTTGTTCTGACCCCCGACCTCACTCTCAGCCCCCAGTCCCCATAGGCCTAGGGAAGGCGGCTGCTGAAGTTTCATATTTTCCCCTACCGAACTGGTCACCACAGATCCCAAGTCCAAATAAGCAGAAATACTTCGGTGTGTGTGTGCACGCATGCATGTGCACATGCTACACAGATGTGGGCTGAGGGGTTCCTTTGTACACAGGGAAACACCACCTCTCTGACACCACATAGTGAAAAGTACACTCATCGACACATTCAGCCAGTTCCATGTGCAGCCTTGTACAGGCGCTATCACACATACAGATACCCTCACAGAGTCACATAGGCTGACGCTGTCAGGTATGAACACAAACTCAACAAGACACACTCATCAGATGTGATCAGACAAACAGTGATTCACACCCCTACGCTCACACACATGCGAAGTCACCCCAGACACAGGATCACACAGACATGGTCACGCATACTCGCTGTCACACACACACCATCTCACATAACCACAGAACTAAATGTTGGCTGCCAAGCCAGCATCTCAGTGCCTGAGATGACTGAGTCATGTGAACACCAGTGAGGGAGATTTGGGAGCCCCGGGCTTGCATGGGGCTGGGACACTGAGGGCTGGGACTGAAGAAAGCGCCAACATGGGGACTGAGCTTTTCTTTGCCAGTGTGTGCTGGAGAAAGGAAGGAGAGAGGAATCAGCAGGCTGGCGCCAGCCGCGGGCTACTTCAAGGCAGAGCAGAGTCCTGGGGAGGGTGTGTATTCTCTGCAGCCCCCTAGCCCTGTTAGTCTGGCCCTTCCATTGCCCCTCCTGACACTGGTAACCTTGTCCTGGTCAGGCCATAGCTTCCTCATTTTCCCAGCCAGCCCCTGGCATCTTCTTACCAGGCAGCCCATGCGCTGTGGTCCAACCCTGGGGTGGGCACCAGGCACTGTCTGGGCAGGAGGAAGCGATGGCAGCGAGTGCCGCCGCCCAGGGCTGGGATTAGCTGTGTCTGGCACCTCCGAGGGCACAGCAGCCCACGGTCTGGCTGCTGGAGATGCTGGTCTATAGGCAGCGGCCAGGGGATCCCTGCAGGGCAGCTTAGGACACCGGAAACCGAGTGCCGGGGTTGGCGCAGGGGCCTCTGGAGAATAAGGGCATCTAGTCACATTCATTTATTCATCATTCATGCATTTGTTCGGTATTTACTCAGCACCTACTGGGTGCCCAGCTTTGTGGATACAGAGATGAACAAGATCCAGTTCCTGCTCTCAAAAGGCTTTCTGACCAATGGTGTGACAATGAAGGGTAAGTCCAAGTCTCAAACTCTGATCCCTCTCCAGAGCATTCTCCACCTTACATGAAGAGAGATCTTCTAGGCCACTCAAGGGGGCTCACACTTGTAATCCTAGCACTTTGGAAGGCCAAGGTGGGAAGATTGCTTGAGGCCAAGAGTTTGAGACCAGCCTGGGCAACATAGCGAGATCCCATCTCTAAAAAAAAAAAAATTTAAAAATATTAGCCAGGTGTGGTGGGTAATCCCAGTCACTCAGGAGGCTGAAGGAGGATTACTTGAGCCCAGGAGTTTGAGGCTGCAGTGAGCTATGATTACACCACTACACTCCAGCCAGGGCAACAGAGCAAGACCCTGTCTCTAAAAAACGGGATCTTCTAAAACTTAGAAGTCCTATGTCATTTCTCTGCTCCATTGATGAGGAACTTGTACTCATCATCAGTGAATCATGGCTCCCTACTACCCTTAGGATAGAGTACAGGTTCCTTGGTGTAGCTTCAAATGATCCAGCCGTATTGCCTATATGTCTTGCTGTGTCCAATTCTCGTTTGAATCTGCAAAGCCTAGCATTGGTCCCCGCACACAGTGGATGCTCAGGCATTCACGGAGTGACTGACTGACTGGATGAGTGTGTGAATAAAGGAGTGTGTCAGAGAGCTTATGGAGTCAGGCCCTTTTTTCTGTAGCAGAGAGCCTCCAGGAATGACCGTCCCGAATCTTGCTCTGATGCCAGCTTGCTTCTGCTCCAGGCAGAGTTTCCATGTGTTTGGACCCCTTCCCTCGGCTCCTCCCTAGTGGGGCCGCTGTACCCATTCTCCGGGTTGTTCTTCCTTCCCTAAGCCTTTCTGTTCTTAAGCCCCAGCAGACCAGGTACCTGGGAAGCACAGACTCCACTCAGTGCTGGAATTGCTGTCCCCCCAGACCCTGTCAGGCCTAAGGGTATAAACAGAACACAGTGGCCAACCCGCCAGGGCTGCTCTCTCGGCCCCTGGCCAGCTGGAAGGCCCTCCTCGCCTGGAGCCTACCGCCTCACTCTGGCTGGAATTCCCTTGGCCTCTCCCCTCTCCTCAGTGTACTCAGCATTCAGCCTCTGACATCCTCAGCGGTCCTGGCCTGAGTTGTCCTCAGGTTTTATTTTTGGAAGGAGTGGTATTCTCTCTCCTTATTTACTCCCTTCTTTCAGGGAAGGTGTGGGACCCCTGGGCTCAGCTGGGGATTAGGCTATTGACTCCAATCCCTGGGGTCTGGAGCTCTCTGGGCCTCCAAGGGAGGGGACCTCCAAAGACTCTTGACCCACCCGATGCTTCAAAGCCAGCTGTCTCTGCCTTCCTTCCCCCACCCAGTAGGTGACTAATGCTTGCCCTTGCCCTTCTTGAAGAGCCCTGCAACGGCCAAAAGAAATCATTACAATTTTCGAACTGAAAGGAATTTTGGCATCATTAGGTCCACCCCCTCTTACGTGAAGAGGCAAAGCAGTTCAATGGTTATAAGCAAGGGAGTCAGACGGACCTGGTTCTAATCCTGGTTCTGCTATACACTGTGCAGGCTTTGGACAAGTTACTTAACCTCTCTAAGCCTCAGTCCTGAGTATAAAATGGGAACGTTCATATCCACCCCACCAGGTTGCTGTGAGGATTAAATGAGACAACAATTGCGAAGTGCTTTATATAATGCAGGACATATAGGAGGAAGGCTCTCATTAAATGTAGCTGTTATTATTACAGATGAAGAAAACCGAGAGCTGGGGATGGGAGTGCACTTGCCTGGGGTCACACAGCCCAAGGTAAGCAGCCGTTTCCAGAGTCATTCATTTGTCTCTATCTCCCTTCCAAGGAGAAGAGAAGGACTGGCACCAGCCCAAAGGCACATTTTCCTTGAGTCAGTCGGATGGGCAAACCACTGGGTCTTCAGTGCCTCCCTCCTGCCATCATACCCTGGCCCACCTCTGTGGCAAGCATTTCCTCCATTGCCCCAGGGGCCTCTTTCTTGCTCACTGAGGGTCAGGGGTCTGGGGAAGAGACCCCAGTACTCAGCCCCAAGTGGCCCCCAGGCCAGTGGGACTCTGAGGGGAGCGGGGAGTGCTGGGTCCTGACATCACAGAGCAGAGAAGCTAGAGCCACAGTTATGCAGGCCAGCTGGGGCCCTTCCAGTGCATCCAGATGTCTCAGGAATGTGCTGAGCTGGGAACTACCACCTTCCTTGCCTCCCCACCCCCAACCCCTCATCCCCTTGCTTGCTCAAGCTCTGCCTCCGCCCACCCCCTTGGCTCCTCCTCTTTCATCTCTCCCTGGGAGGCCTCCTGTACACTGTCCCTCTGGCACCGTGCCACAGTCAGGCTCCCTGTTAGTCCTCTGAAGGGATTGTCAGAGGCAGGAGCCCTTCCCCTCCTGCAGACCCCAGGGGCTGAACTTGTGGGGTGGAAGGAGATGGGAGCTAACTGGGAGGAGAGAGTTCCAAGCAGATAGTGCATGCCAGATCCCAAATGTGGAAGTGATTTGCAGCCCTGGAGAGAAAGGGGTGAAGGCCTTGGGGCGGCAGAGGGCAGGGCTGGAAGGATGGTGAGTGGGGCTCTGGGCATCTTGTCCCAGCCAATGGGTAAGAGGGTCAAGGAGCTGGTGTGCCAGGCTGGGCTGGGCTCAGGAGGAGGGTTCAGACCCTCCTAGGCCCCTGGGGTTCATAGAGACATGCTTTGTCTGATAGTAGAGGGTCCTGAAGTATTGGAGGAGATGGGGGAATCTTGTTAGGGTCCTGGTGTTGGGCCAGGAGCCAGGACATGGTTCAGGCTGGAGCTCCCAGCCCCAAAGAGGAACAGCCTGTCCCTTTGCAAGGGCGGAGTTGCCTTGGGCCTCCCCAGGCCAGCCTAGCTCTCAGTGCTGGGGGTGAAGGAGCCAGAAGGGAACTGGTACTCCTGGCCCAGTGCGAGAGTCACATCAGGGCACTGAATAGTAGAAATCAGAGGAGAGAAGGGACCTGGAGTCAGCTGCTGTCCTGGGCTCAGGGAGGTCCCACAACTCTGTTCCCCCTGGGGGAGAGTCCCTGATCACCCAGACAGGCTGACAGCTGAGATCCGCCTGATGGACCGCAGGCCTCCTAGCACTGAGACCCTTCAGAGGAGCTGGTGACCATCACCTGGTGCAACCCAGAACTATCGTTGGCTCCCTCCTGCCTGCTGAAAAACTCCCAGCTCCTCAGCATGATACTCAAGGACTGTCAGAAACTGATCCCAACTTACCACTAGAGCTGGAGCCCCCTCATTTTCTCTCCTCTCCAGGCTAGTTGGATGGACCATTCCCAGCTCCTTAAACCTGCTGTGGTCCCCATGGCTGTAGGACCTTTGCTTATACCTCTCCTGGTGCCTGCAGTGTTTTGTCCTTTATCTCCTCATTCTAACTCTTCCTATCCTTTAAGGGGCCAACTCAAATGCTGCTTCCTCCAAGAAGCCTTCCCTGATCACCAAGCTTGAAGAGTAATCTCCCTCTCTGTTCTACCACAGCACTTACAGACTGTTAGGTCATTGGTTAATGTCATGCCCTGAACTCTAATTACACACAATGGGATCCAGCTGTCCTTCTAAACGTTACCCTTCTTTCGGGTAGATCAAGGACAGGTTTCATCTTTTTTGTTTTGGAGATGGGGTCTCACTCTGTTGCCCAGGCTGGAGTGCAGTGGTACCATCTTGGGTCACTGCAACCTCTGCCTCCTGGGTTCAAGTGATTCTCCTGCCTCAGCCTCTCAAGTAGCTGGGACTACAGGAATGGACCACCATGTCTGGCTAATTTTTGTATTTTTTGGTAGAGACGGGGTTTCACTGTGTTGTCCAGGTTGGTCTTGAACTCCTGACCTCAAGTGATCCGCCTGCCTCAGCCTCCCAAAGTGCTGGGATTACAGGCGTGAGCCACCGCGCCTGGCCGGATTTCATCCTTGAACCCTCTGCAGAGCCTCAAACAGGGCCCAGCATATACTCTGCCTAATGGTAATGATCATAATATAATAACAGCGAATATTTATGTACCAGGCACTGCTCTAACTTCCTGCATGTAGTATCTCATTTAAGCTTCAAAGGATAAAGTGGGTCCTCTTAGTACCCTCACTTTATGGATGAGACGCTGAGGCTCAGAGTAGTTAAGCAGCTTGCCCAGGTTCATTCAGTTAGCAAGTGGTCAAGCGGGGATTTGAACCCAAGCTCTGATTGCAGAACCCACGCTCTTAAGCACCCACAACAACACTGGTTGCTGAAAGAATGATCCTGCTGCCCCATTGCAGCACCTAGTCCAGGGCCAGATACAAAATATGGGCCCCCACTCCACACACTGGGTTCATCCTGGGGATCCGGTTTTGCTCCTTTCCTGGCCATCCCTCTCCTGCTGCCCAGAAAGAGCCCTGAGAAGTGGCCTGGGGCTTTTTGGCTTTACCCAAAGGAAAGAGCCTTCCATCTCCAGAGAGTTGAGACAGAAAAATAAAATCCCCGTGATCAGGGCTCTGCAGGGCTGGACAAGGTGGGATATTCCTGCGAGGGCTGTCAAATGCCATGGGCCTTCCTTTTAAGCAATGACAGCAACAATCAAAATAAAAACAGCAAGGGGGACCACAGTCAATTATAACTTAATTTTAAAATAACTAAGAGGGCCGTGTGCGGTGGCTCACGCCTATAATCCCAGCACTTTGGGAGACTGAGGCGGGCGGATCACTTGAGGCCAGGAGTTTGAGACCAGCCTGGCCAACATAACAAAACCCCATCTCTGCTAAAAATACAAAAATCAGCCAGGTGTCATGGCGCATGCCTGTAATCCCAGCTACTCGGGAGACTGAGGCAGAGAATTGCTTGAACCTGGGAGGCGGAGGCTGCAGTGAGTGGAGGTCGCGCCATTGCATTCCAGCCTGGGCAACAGAGCGAGACTCCATCTCAAAAATAAATGAATAAATAAATAAATAAAATAAAAAAAAGAGTGTAATTGGATTGTTTGTAACACAAAGGATAAATGCCCGAGGGGATGGATACCCCATTCTCCATGACGTGATTTTTTTTTTTTGAGACAGAATCTCAGTCTGTTGCTCAGGCTGGAGTTTAGTGGCATGATCTCGGCTTACTGCAACCTCCGCCTCCTGGGTTCAAGCAATTCTTCTGTCTCAGCCTCCTGAGTAGCTGGGATTACAGGTGCACACCAACACGCCCGGCTAATTTTTGTATTTTTAGTAGAGATGTGGTTTCACCATGTTGGTCAGGCTGTTCTCAAACTCCTGACCTTGTGATCCACCCGCCTCGGCCTCCCAAAGTGCTAGGATTACAGGCGTGAACCACCGCACCTGTCCCATCATGTGATTATTATGTATTACATGCCTGTACCAAAATATCTCATGTGCCCCATAAATATCTAACCTACTATGTACCCACAAAAATTAAAAATTGTCCAGGTGTGGTGACTTATGCCTGTAATCTTAGCACTTTGGGAGCCAAGGAGGGAGGATCGCTTGAGCTCAGGAGTTCAAGACCAGCCTGGGCAACATGGCAAAAAAAACATCTTTACAAAAAATACAAAAAATTAGCCAGACATGGTGGTATGTCCCTGTAGTCCTAGCTACTCAGGGGTTTGAGGTGAGAGGATCACTTGAGTCCGGGAGGTTGAGGCTGCAGTGAACTGTGTTTGTGCCACTACACTCCAGCCTGGGCAACAGAGTGAGACCCTGTCTCAAAAAAAAATTTAAAAACCAAAACAATAAAAACAGCAGTGGCAACTATTGTTTATAGAGGGTTTATGGTGTACCAGGCCCTCTGCAAGAATTTCTAATGGAATTCTCTTAAGAACCCTATGTTTTACCATGAACCCTACTTTTGGATGAGGAAAATAAGCTTGGAGAGGTTAAAGCACCTGCCCAAGCTCACACAGGTGACAAGTGGGAGGCCCCAGGTCTAAGCAGTGCTGAAGACGTCCCGCCTCAGGCAAGGATCACTTCCCCAGCACTTGCCTCATCATCTGCCATCTGACCTGTGGACCCACTGTCTGCACACGTTGAGCCTGGGAGTACGCACCTGGGAAGTCTTGGGACTTTCCTGTTTAAAATCTCCCCAGAGTGGGGTGGATTCAGGGTCTACAGCTCACCTCTGTCCCAAACTCATGCAGCTTTGAGAGACCAAGATATTCAGAACCGAGTGTGTTTTCTTTTCTTTTTCTTTCTTCTTTCTTTCTTTTTCTTTTTTCTTTTTGTTTGTCTGTTTGTTTTTTGAGACAGAGTCTTGTTCTGTTGCCCAGGCTGGAGTGCAGTGGTTCAATCTCGGCTCACTGCAACCTCCGCCTCCTGGGTTCAAGCAGTTCTCCTGCCTCAGCCTCCTGAGTAGCTGGGATTACAGGCTCCCGCCACCACGCCTGGCTAATTTTTGTATTTTTAGTAGAGACGGGGTTTCACCATGTTGGCCAGGCTGGTCTCAAACTACTGACCCGCCTCAGCCTCCCAAAGTGCTGGGATTACAGGCATGAGCCACCATGCCCGGCCCTGAGTCTGATTCTTAAGCTGGGTAAGTTTCCATGTATTAATTTTATTATACTTTATAACTGATAGATATACAGTCTATATATTCTACCAGTGCACAAGATATCATAATAGAAAAGGCCATGATGATAAAGTGAAAGGGAGAGATGGCATTTATGCTAACATTCACGATTTGAGTAATCAAATGAGTGAACGAATGAAGCAATCTACTTTAAAAAAGAGGGCCATCAAAGCTGGAAGTGTAGAAGTGTCCTTTCTTTTACTATCTATCCACCCACCTATTCATTCCTCTATCGTCCCCACCCTACTCCATCCTGCCTTCCTTCCATCCATCCAATAAATAAACATTTCCTGAGCACTCAGTCATTATAGCTGTACCTAGGGAATAGCCGCAAATAATTGACTGACACACCCTGCTCTCAAGGAGCCCTCAGTTTAGTTCAGAAATGAGGAGGCCAAGGCCCAGAAAGGGAAAGTGATTTGCCCAGGGTCACACAGCAAGTGAGGGAAATGAGGTAAAGAAGGGTGAGGGTATTCCAGGTGGAGGGGAACCCATGGGCAAAGGCTCAGACCTGTCTGCCTCCAAAGCGAGCCCCTGTCAATCACTGCCTGAAACCCGCCTCCTGGCTCTCCATGAAGGCCTGAAGAGCCTGCCTCACTCCATCGCTACTTTCATTTTTGTTATTCTTTTGGAAGGGGAGGAGGAGCCAGTGGCTGCTGCTGTCCAGCTGTTATGTCGGACCGCACATCCCAGCCCAGATGTGTCAAACTCTCTGTGATGGGTGAAGTGGCTTCTGGGCCACGAGCCACGAGCCAACGGCCAAGGAAGCGGCAGTGAAGGCTCTGTCCCAGGGGAATTAGGGGAGGAGGCACACTGAACCCGGCGGCAGGGAAGCCCATGGTTGCTCCAGCTATCAAACTGGCCTTGTAGACAATATGGTGTGTCTAGGTGGTGGGGATCAAGATCTTTGACATTCCAAAGAAATCAATACCTTTGACATATTTCCTCTGAGGGTCAGAGTCCTGGGGCATTTCCTGCCTCTCCCAGCTTCTCCTGAACCAGACAATCCCACCCCCACACATTCCCCAATCCTGGTCCAGGGTCCTGCCATTCAGTCTGGCTTCCCCAGGGCTGCTCAAGAGGGTTACACAGAGTTCCAGCTCACAGTCTTGACTTAACTCCACCCAAATATTCCTCCTCCATCCTGCCCCCAGGAGTGCTGAGACTTCCAGAGAAACAGCCTGTTCTCCAGCATCTGGAGCTGGTTTCTTGAGGGAGGTTCAAGGGCAAGCCAGGTTCCAGAGAGAGATGCTCCAGGAGGGCCTCGGTACCAGGACTCGCACGAGGCACATGATACAGGGAGAAGACACAAAACAGGGATGTCCTTTATGCTCCCCTCTCCTGGTGCAGTAGCCAGGCCAGGCCAGGGCAGACAGAAACAGAGTCTCCTGAGGAGTCCTGGGAGCTGCAGAGAGCAAAGATCCAAGTCCCCAGAAGGGCTGGGGAACAGCATCCTGGGGGTGAATCTGATAGGGTGTGAAATGGGATGTGGGAGCTTATTCAGGGGATCTGGTTTTGCCCATAAAGCTCTAGGCATCCAAGGTGCCCTAAGGATGGGAGTGGGTGAGGATGAAGACAGGGACCCTGTGATATGAAAGATCCTGAATTTTCCTTGCTCTAGAGGGGAAATCTCAAACTAGAACAATGAGAGAACTTGCTTGTAGCTTCTTCTTGCTCCCCTCTTTGACTCTCCATAGGACTCCTGCCCTTGAGCAGAGTGCACAATGGATAATAATGCCTATACGTGTTCAGTAAAAGGAACATGGCCCCAGTCCCTGTGGAAATGCCTTTTTTTTTTTTTTTGGAGATGGAGTTTTGCCCTTGTTGCCCAGACTGGAGTGCAATGGTGCGATCTTGGCTCACTGCAATCTCCACCTCCTGGGTTCAAGCGATTCTCCTGGCTCAGCCTCCCAAGTAGCTGGGATTACAGGCACATGCCACCATGCCTGGCTAATTTTTTTGGTATTTTTAGTAGAGATGGGGTTTCACCATGTTGGTCAGGCTGGTCTCAAACTCCTGAACTCAGGTGATCCACCTGCCTCAGCCTCCCAAAGTGTTGGTATTATGGGCATGAGCTACCATGCCTGGCCAGAAAAGCCTTCTAATAACTCCTTTGCCACTAAGGAAGAGGGAAATTGGGGCAGCATGTGCAGAGATCACCTTCTGAGAAAGCTTTCATGACCTGTAGCCTGGCTCAGCCTCCTGCCATGCTCTGCTCCATCATGGCGCCCACCATGGTGTTGATACTGCCTATTTCCCTCTCTGTCTCTCTCATTCGTCCGCGATTGACTGGAGGGTCAAGTGTGTTTTCTTCATCTGGGTTACCCTGGCACCAGCATAGATGTTCCTTCAGTGCCCAGTTGCTGAAGGAATGGACATGTGTATTAATGAATGAGCAAGTGAATTCCCAGCTGGTCCAGGGAAGCCGGAGGGACCTCACAACATATCGGGGCACAGACAGCACTTCTGTGGGACCCAGCATCCCCACCACCCTAAGGGATGGCCAGTCCAGGATCCTGAAAACCCCAGGATCCCTTCAGGAATCATAAGTACACCTCTTGAACACTTAGATCTGATTTTTTGGGTCTTGCTCTGTTGCCCAGGCTGGAGTGCAGTGGCGTGATAATAGCTCACTGCAGCCTTGAACTCCTGGGCTCAAGTGATCATCCCACATCAGTCTCCTAAGCAGCCAGGACTTCAGGTATGTGCCACCATGCCTGGATAATTTATTTTTTATTTTTTGTAGAGACGGAGTCTTTCTGTGTTGCCCAGGCTGGTCTCAAACTCTTGGCCTCAAGTGATCCCCCTGCCTCCGCCTCCCAAAGTACTGGAATTACAGGTGTGAGCCACCACATCCAGCCTGGGATTTTTTTAAAACAATTTTTCCCTTCCCTTACAAGGATTGCCCCAGTCTAAAGTAATTTTCTCTACAAATATAGTAAGTCCTTGAAATAGAGCAAAGTTCACTACAATGTGACCCAAACTTGACTTCTGTTCTATGCTCAGGCCCCTTCTCAAATAAAAGTGAGCAAAACTCCATTCTCTATGGGGCTGGTAAAAAAAAGTGACTGCCTCATGCTCCTGTGGTACTCTTTCTGTTTGGTCTGCTTTGTGCAGTAAGGTGTCACAATTTTTACTTTCCTGCTTTTTGTGATAGTACAGACCATCTGAAAAATACTGTTTTTCGTTAATTCTACAAAAATATTACTCCACATTTTATGTAATTGGAAAATTTATTTTTAAATTTGTATTATTATTATTACTTTTAGAGACAGGGTCTGGCTTTGTTGCCCAGGCTGGAGTGCAGTGATGCCATTATGGCTCACTGCAGTCCCAACCTCCCCAGCCCAAGTGATCCTCCCTCCTCAGCCTCCTAAGTGGCTGGGACCACAGGCATATGCCACCATGCCCGGCTCATTTTTTTTTTATTTTTTGTAGAGACGAGGTCTCCCTATGTTGCCCAGACTGGTCTTGAACTCCTGGGCTCAAGCAATCCTCCTACCTTGGTCTCCCAAAGCATTGAGATTACAAGCATGAGTCACCGCAAAGGAACATAATTGGAAATTTTTGACTGGGCATATTTATTGCATTATTGTAGAATTTTACTACATTGAGCATCTATTTTGTCCCATGTGACTGTGCTAGGTTTATGTCAATGCACAAAACTGATATGGACTCTCCTCTTATGGAACTTACTTTCTCGTGGAGGAAATAGACAATAGGCCATTAAAATAATTGCAAACTGGGTTAAGGGCTAGAAGATATCAAAAGACTAAAACAGAAAAGAACAGGGGGGTCCCACTTTAGGTAGTCAGGGAGCGTTCCCTAAGGAGGCAATATTTGAGCTGGGATCAGAAGGCTGAGATGGACAGACTGGGGGAAAAGCAGTCCAGATGACAGGAACAGCATGTGCAAGGGCTCTGAGGCAGGGCTGGAAAAGGCTTAGTCTTAAATTGGGTGAGTATGGATCCAGGAGTCCTAGAGCAATCTGAAGAAGAAACTGGGGAAAACGGAAGCCCTAGAGACAGTGCTCAAGAGTGACACCTGAGCCACAAGTTCAAATCCCCTGTGGGTCAGCCAGCTGTAGACTATTCTAGACCAGGGGCTGCAGAGGCCTGTGCAGTAGGGGGATGGCTCAAGGTAATGAGAACTCATTAAAAACCATGGAGAGCCCTTCCTGGACCCCAGAGACAGTGCAGGGTCTGCAGGACCTCGATGGCTGCAAATAGATGGGCTTAAGGACACTTTTCCCTCTTCTCTAAGAATGTGGGGTCTGGTTTGGGCCCCTTTTTCTTCATCCATCCATCCATTCATTCATCCATCCATCGATTTATTCATTCATCAACGGTTGTTAGGCACTGGGATACAGCAGTGAACAAGACAGACCAAGCCCCTGACTCAAGGAACTGTTCCCTCAACACTGGGGGAAGCAAAACCCAAATCAAACCTCTGCTCAAAACGAACTTAATGTTTTGATAGAGTAGGTATCAGAGGTCTCCTTTCTGAATAGGCACCCTGAGATTTGGGCTCCTCCAGTAGGTTTTTCATTAGATCTTTTCTAGCAGATTGCACTCTGAGACCAGAGTGCCTTAGCACTTCTGTCCTCTTTCCTGTTGGTGAGAACTTAAACAGAAACACACACAAATCTCCCCTTTTAAGGACTGTTAAAGGCCCACCCACAGACATAGGAACACCCAAACACACATACTTCTCTAATCTCCCTAAATCTCCCGAAGGCTGGGGGTGGGGGTGCCTCTCTGCTTCCCAGTTAGCTCAGGAGAAGCCAGGCTAGGCGTGTGGGGAGTAGCGATCAGCCTTAGCCCCCACCGCCTCCCCGCAATGCTGGGCTGGTCCCTGGGTCCCCGTCACTCCCACACCTGGCCTCCCCAGCTGCAGGGAGTAAACGGGTGTGCTGGGCAAACATCCTTGCAGCTTCCTGCTGCTCCCCTCTGAGAAAACAGACCTTTTCTTCCTCCTCCTTCTCCTCCCCACACCCTCCCAGCTGGGGCTTCTCTGGGATCCCAAGCCAGTTCCCTCTAGAGAAGCCAGACATCCCTTCCCCTTAGCCAGAGGAAGGAGGGGACAGCACACAGACCTAGTGTTTCCATCTGGAGAAACGACCTGCTCTCCCTCTGGTCCTTTATCCCAGTTCTTGGAGCCCAGACCCTCTCTCTCATACTGGCCAAGGGGCTGAAGGACCACAGAGTACAGTGGCTCAAGGGTGGCCACATCAGAAACCATGGGAGAGCGGGAGGGGCAGGGAGGAGATGCCCCCACATGGGACAGGAAGGGCAGCCCCCTTCTGAGGATCTCTGAGAATCGCATAAACAGAATTGCAGCAACATGAAGGTATCCTCATAGAAAGAAAAATAAGGCAGCCCAGCCACCTCCAAACACACTTGTCTTGACTTTGTGTACTCACTCTCCTGTCTGTCCAAGTGCATGCGTATTTCTTGCATAGTTGTTTTCAGGGTGAGCATACATTTTGCATTTTGCACAGAGCAACAGAGCACACATGATTTCCACATGATTTATGGCCCGTATCTGGATTTTTAAGGAGGATAGCGAATATTCTGCTCTCCATTTTCCAGACTGAGAGGCACACAGACGCCATCCCTACCCATCCTTAACCCTGGAAACATTTTCCTATCCTCATGCAGAATGAAGAAGTTGGGGGAAGGGTTGGAATGGGATCTCAGCTGGAAAGAACCTCGGATATGGAGATGGAGACCCCAGAGAAGGAAAGTGACTTGCTATGTTCACACAGCAACTCGTAGCTGAGCAATTCTCACTATCACGCCCATCCAGTCTCTATGGATCAAGCCAACGATGAACGTTACATGCCAGGCATTGTGCTACATAACCTTCACTTTAATTTTCTCTCGAAATGCTTACAGTAATGCTATAGTTCTAATATTCCCATTTTTCAGATGAGGAAGTCAAAGCCCAGAAGAAGAAAAGTCACTTTTGGCCGGGCGCAGTGGCTCAAGCCTGTAATCCCAGCACTTTGGGAGGCCGAGGTGGGTGGATCACGAGGTCAGGAGATCAAGACCATCCTGGCTAACACGGTGAAACCCCGTCTCTACTAAAAATATAAAAAAAAATTAGCCGGGCGTGGTGGCGGGTGCCTGTAGTCCCAGCTACTCGGGACGCTGAGACAGGAGAATGGCGTGAACCCGGGAGGCGGAGCTTGCAGTGAGCCGAGATCGCGCCACTGCACTCCAGCCTGGGCGACAGAGCAAGACTCCGTCTGAAAAAAAACAAAAAACAAAAAACAAAAAAAAAAACAAGAAAAGAAAAGTCACTTTTCTGAATTGTCCCGCTGGCTGGTGGCAGAAACAGAGACAGAATTAAATCTCCTGATTCCCAGCCCAAGAGTCCTTTCTCTCTTTCCTTAGGCACCCCATCTTCTCCCGCTGCCTCTCCTGGCGCTGCCCCAGGTGCGAGATCAGGAGCCTCCCCAGCAGGGCTTTTCCTCCCCAGTGTCCTAGTGCTGGATCCCACTGTCTGGTCGTGCCTCTTTTCCTGTGCTGGACCAAGGCCCAGATAAGCAGCTGGGGATGCAGGGCTGAATGGAGCAGCAGGAAGAGGCTTCGGGCGGCCGAGTTCATTCAGAAGAAAGCCCAACTCAGAGCTGCCAAGGGCCGAGAGAAGCTTACTGCAGGGCTCTACTGCCCTGCTTGACTTCAAGGGTCCGAGCTCTGACAAACCTCTTTCCCTCTGACTAGTGTCTTTTACCAGCTTCAAGAGGAGGTGTGGATCCCCCGATCCCTGCTGCTTTATTCCTGGGATCTGTGCCAGAACCATCTATAGGAAGACCTGATCCAACCTCTCCCCCATTTTACAGACAAAGAAACTGAGGCTCAGGGAGGAGAGCCAGTGGTAGGGGCCAAGCTCACAGGGGAAGCAGAGCCAGGACTAGAAACCAAGTCTCGCTGCAGTCAATGCAAGCCCTCTGCCCTTATACCCTTGTCTTGTCTGCTGAATTATGCTCTCTCTGCCTGGGACAGGGGCCTTCCTCAGAGCGCAGGGTGACCAGGATGTGCTGCTTAATGGAGAACAGGGAGACCTCAGCCCCCATGCCTCCTTGACTCCGGCTCCTGTCCCTTGGCCTGGTTCCTCACCATCAATCTAGTGGCCTGGGACAGTTTAGGTGGAAGTCCAAGATGCTCAAGTCCTCTAAGGACTTGACTCTTGCCTGGCCAAGTTTATCTTGGTCCTGGGAGGTAGAGGTCAGCAGGTAAAGAGTCTCAAGTGCTTGATCACAGGGTGTGTGTGTGTGTGTGGCGTGTGAACAGGCATGCACACGCAACTGGTGGTTCACTGAAGAGGGGGCTCCCACTAGACTCCCCAAACAATCCACATTTCATCTGGGCAGGCCCTTCTGAACCCAAATATTTTCTCCCATTCTAAGTCCGTGCCCCTCCCCCATCAAGGCCTTAGGGCTGAGCCTGAGAGAGGGAGGGAGGGAAGAAGAGAGAGAAGCCACGTTTCCTTAGGGAGGGAGGGGAAGAGTGAGAAAGAGGAGAAAGACAAGCTCACAGTCGGACCTAGTCAAGAAGACATAGGGAGAGGGAGAAAGTCAGCCAGACTCCAGGAACAGAGGGACAGAGCAGAGATCTAGAGGCAGATGGAGAGAAATGGCTCCCTCCTCCTGAGCCATCACCCTATGTTGCCCTGACCGCCTCTTCCCAGCCCCCAGCCTCAGGTCCCTCCCTGGGGTGGGGGGTCTCTGGGCCTGATTCCCTGGGGCTGCCAGGGTAGCACCCTGAAATTTCTGGGCCTGGCTTCCCCGAGGGGTCGGGTCTCAGGCCCTCTGAACGTTCCCCGGTGCGCCCCCCAGCGGAGATCCAGCCTATGAGCCACCGAAGCCCCAAGGGAGGCGCAGGAAAGGGCGCTGCCACTTTGCGCCCAGTCTGGTCCTGGAACCTGGGGTGGGTTGGGGACGGCTAGAAGACGTGGGTGGAGGGCGGGATTGGTGTCTCTTGAGCTCAGATCCGAGGATCGGACGGACCCGATACCTCGATGGCCCCTTCCCCCTAGAAGGTGGAGGCCAGTGTATTCAAAGATTGAGCCCCCAGGAGGGGCGCTTAGCTCCAAACACATGTCGCTCCTGGAGACCCTGCGCTGAACCCTCTCCCCGGCTCCTGCCCAGTGATGTGTAGTCGGGTCCTTCTAGGGGCCCAGGCGCGCCGCGAGGACGGGTGCCGAGGGGTGGAACGGGAACGGAGACCCTTCATCTTACCGCATTGTTGAGGAAGTCCGACTCGTTCAGATCCCCCAAGTCCAGGAAGCTGGATCCGGGGAACAGCCTGTCGGCCGGGAAGGGTTCCAAGACGGCGTCCATCGCAGCCGGCTCCCGGGACCCCCTTCCACTGGGCTTCCCTCACTCCAGGGCGGCGGCGCGCCCAGTCCAGAGCTCCTGCCTGAGCGCTGGCAAACGGGCGGGGGGCAGGTCCGGGGCGAAGCCCCGGGGGAGGGGCGGACGGAGGCGGCGCGGCCCCGGGTGGGGGGCGCGGGGCGCGCGGGGGCCTTAGGGCAGCGGCTAGGAGCGGGATGGGCTCAGGGGCCCCGGGCGCACCGTGGGCATTCAGCCGACTCCACCTCCTCCTGCTCCTCCTGGGGCACAGCTGGCTTCCATGGGGAGCCCGGGGTTGGGGCTGAGGGCTTCAGGAGCCCCCCGGACAGGGTGGGAGCCGGGGCGGGGGAGCTAAGTGCTCCCCCGAGACTGGGTGGCTGCCGGCCTCTCCTCTGTCTCTGCGTCTCCCTCCGCACGTCTTCTGTCACTTTCCTCTCTGTGAAACCGGGAACCCCTGGCTGGCTAGCCCAGCTGGCCAAGGCGCCACGCCCCCACATCAATATTCACAATAATTTAATATTAATGAGAAGAGGGCGTGGCTCGAGGAATCCTCTCTCCTTTTTTAAAGAGACATCTGCAACTTCGTCTTAGTAATCTCTCTTCTCTGAATGCTCAAGGTGGGGGCTTAAAGCAACAATAGTCCTGGAACCGATAACAGTGTTCCTGGAACATTGGCATTTTAAGGCTTCACCAACCACTGTCCCGTAAATTGATGAGGGAGCTATTTCCATCCTTCCAGCCTTATACTAAAGCCTGCACGAAACCCAGTCAGGGAATTCCATTTCACAGTCCCCTCAACAGATCTCCCCTCAACGGGGGAGATTTTCAGCTTTTTAAAAATTTTATTTATTATTATTACTATTTTTTTGACACGGAGTTTCGCTCTTTTTGCCCGGGCTGGGGTGCAATGGTGTGTTCTCGGCTCACTGCAACCTCCGCCTCCCAGTTTCAAACGATTCTCCTGCCTCAGCCTCCTGAGCACCTGGAATTACAGGCGCGCCCCACCACGCCCAGCTAATTTTTGTATTTTTAGTAGGGACGGGGTTTCACCATGTTGGCCAGGCTCCTCTGGAACTCCTAACCTCAGGTGATCCGGCCTCCTTGGCCTCCCAAAGTGCTGGGATTACAGGTGTGAGCCACCATGCCCAGCCGATTTTCAGCTTGTAACTCTCATTTCTCATCTCACCTGTTTCTTCTTCCAGGAAGCCTTCCCTGAACCCCCAGGCTGGAGCAGTTACCAACGGTATACACCCACAGGGCATCATGTGCTCACCTCCACTGTTTCCAGTCTAATGTGGTATTGTCCTTATTTGCTCACATTGTTTGTATCTGTGACCCCACTGAGCTGTGAGGCTCCTCAGGGCAAGGACAGTCCCCAGCTTCCCTCTGTGTGAAAGGGCTGGGTGAACAGCCAGAGATAGGAGAGTCCCCCTCTTCTCCTCGATAGTCAAGTCCCTCCCTACCCCCCAATGGTTCTGAAGAGCAGGAAGTTGGAAAACAGTGGTTCTGGAATCTGAATGAGCCAAGGTGCTGGCTGGCTGCACACTCCACAGTCACCAGACACTCCCAGGGCCCCGGGATCCATTACCTAAGTGGCTTGCTCCTGCGTACAAACTTAATCTCTTGAAAGGGCTGATAGCAATCGCCAAGCACCTGAACAAATGGAGGTGGTTCAGAAAGGCACTCCCTCAGAGGGCTGGGCACACTGTTTCCTGACCAGAAGTTATTAATAAGATTAAGCATGTCCTTTCTGTCTGGGACGTTTAATTAGCTCAGGAACCAAAGGCCTTTAAGAGGTAGAGATGTCATTGCAGCTAAGCCATGGATGTCACCAAAATTGCTCTCAGCACCAGGTGGGAGAAGGGTTCATACCAAGGCTGAGACAGCAGTTGTTTGCTTCCCTGGCAGGCAGGCAGTCACGTGGCTTTTCCCCACCTTATGATCTAGTTGACATAGTTCTGGAGAGTGAAGTTCTGACCTTCCAGGCTGTCACATGACTGTTAGCTCCCAGGCCTCCTGTAGAATTTGCTCCTGAGAAAGTAGGATTATAACCCATGCTCTGGGGACCAGTTCACCAGCCATGCAACTCCGAGAAGTAAGGCTGGGCCAAAAAGAAATCAATTCACTTTCACAACAGTGGCGGGTAGAATTAGGGTGCTGGGACCATGGGTGTCTTCCCCAAATGCGTCACATCTGGCCAAATGGGGACCATTCAAACACTGGGATGTGGCTGATACTTCTCAGGGGGAGGGGAGGGGTCTCTGGCTGGGTGAACAGGCTATCGTGAGTGAGCTCCAGCAGCAGGTGTCTGGAGTCCTGGCTACTAAGCTATAGTCCCTACAGGCCCCCAGGAGGAGAAAAAGTGGCCCCCCGCCTGAGGTTGGCTGGAAATTGTGCCTGTGTTCCTCCCAGCCTGCTCTGTAATTAGAGACACAGGTACCATTTAAGTGATTGGGGAAGATTATATAGTTTTAGATAAGTAGGATTAGAGTGTCCTCTCTTTCCTTATTCTTACCCAGGTGAACACCCCAGGAAACCATTGAAAATAATCCTGGGGAGCCATTCTGGTTCCAGCAGCTTCTGCGGAGTCTGAGAGGCAGAATCTCCCAAGAGAAATCCTGGGGAAAGGGGTGGCAGGGGGAGGAGGGAGACCAGGCAGTGTAGAGCCGGGCACACAGAGGAGTGTGATCATTTTCTTTCTGGAATGAAGAGGATGGCAAAGTCCAGCAGAGATGAGGATGATCGCAGATTTATTCACACATTCTACAAGCATTATTGAGTACCTACTGTGAATGGTTCCGAGACTAGGCACTGGAGACACAGCAGTGATTAAGAACCTGGATCCCAGAGTAAACGTGTTTGTACAGAGGTGGGTGGGTAAAAAAATGTTAAGAAGATGATTTCAGAGAGTGGTAAGGACTATGAAAAAATAAAATAGTGTGATGTGACTCTTTGGGTAAGGAAGGCCTCTCTGAAGAGGCCACATGTGAACTGAGAACTGAATCAAGAACTGGGGTCATTTATGGGGCAAAATGCAGGGAAAACATTCTAGGCAGAGGGAACAGCAAGTAGAAGAGAAAGAGGAGGAAGGCCGGACTGGGAAGAACAGGCAGTGGCGCAGGAGTGAGATGATGAGGGCGAAACCCCAATGCCCTACACAAACCCCGTACTTATGGCCACACTGAAGCCCAGGCTCTATTCTGTGCCAGGACTGGAAAGAACTGTGCCCACCTAAAGCCTTCTGTAGGGTGTGGTCAGTCACACATCCCTTCTCTCTTGTCTATTAAAGATTTTCCAGGAGATGAAATGAGATGTCTCCCTGGGTCTTAAGTCTGCCTTCTAACCCAGCAGGGAGGGTTTGCTCCCTCCCTCCCAGTTCTTGGGCCTGGTCCCACAACCCAACCCCCCACCAAGGCCCCTCCTTTACATCTGAAGGAGTTAGGGGATGGAGGCCAACGTTGGCTCTGCAAACACCACCTCCACAGGCCCAAATACTGCAGGTCACGAGAGGCACTGATGGCAGCTCCTTCTGTGACGGGCTCAGGAACACCTGGTTGCTGCTCTCCATGAGCTGTTCCAACTGTGAAGCAAAAGCTTCATGCATAAAGGCATCCCAACGCAGTCAATGACGCACAGGAGAAAGAGGACAGAGATAAGCTTCTTGCCTGTTCCAGACACTGAGGATCAGGCAGAGAGAGAGGCTCCTGCCAGGCTGAGCTGTGAGTAGAATGGGGTGTGTGTGTGTGTGTGTGTGTGTGTGTGTGTGTGTGTGTGTGTGTAGAGTCACTGCCCTTCGTTGGGTCTCCGTTTCCATAGCTATGAAATGGGCGAGGTGTTGATGCCCTCTAGGGTTTCATCCTCTCCAAGGATCTTCCAATGTGCCCTTTCCAGGACAGGGCCTGGGGAGCAGGGGTAGGGGTCGGGGGAGTGTGAAGGGCCTCCCCGCTCAGGAGGCCTGGTACTTTGATTATCCAGGCTTCTGCCCAGAGCCTCCAGGAGGGTGCAAGCTGGTGTTTACACTCAGCAGGCAGGCCCTGGGTGGTGATAATAAGGTCACCCAAAGTAAACTTGTCTTGTTTGCCTGGGTTGTAAAGGGAAAAATGCTTTGGCACACTCTAACAGGAACTTCTGAGAAATGAAAACATATTCATCCTGGAGATTAGACTGACTTCCGGGGTGCAGACGGGGCCCTCTGTTCTCTAGCAGCTCCCTAAATTGGGCTGCATGGCTGCTTTCCCTGTGCCCCCCACTGGGGCTGGACATGGAGCCTGAGGTGGCACTCTACCAGGAGCAGGGTGGGTTTCAGAACCCCAGCTCTCACTTAGTTTAGGGCTCTCCTTTCCACCCCTTTGGCCTGTGATCCCTTTCCACCCAACCCTGAACCATAAAAATACCGGACATTTATTAGTACTTGCTTTGTGCCAGGCACTAAATACTTTTTATCATCTTGTTTAATTCTTGGAACAAGCTTGTGAGATAAGTATCGTCTTTCACTGATTCTGAGATGCACATTTCCTCAATGTTTTAACATCTCTGAAATCAGAATGTGTCTTATGATCGATGGTCTGTCATAGTTTAATGGATGATGTTTTTTCCTTCCTGAAGTACATAAAATAGTGGTGCATCATGTAATTGATGACACCTTAGAATCAACATGATATTATTATCATCCCTAATCTGCAGATGAGAAAACCAAGGCTCAGAGAGTTTATATGACTTGCCTCTTCTCGTTTTATAGAAAACCAAGGCCTGGGGCCATCAGAGGCTTGCCTTAAGTCACCCAGCCTCATGAGGCAGATAGGACTGAAACCAGGGCCTCCCGGCTCCGCACCCAGAGCCCTTTCCACTCACCCCAGTTGAACTGAATTTGCTCACTGGGCAGAGGCAGGACTGGAGGGGAGGGCCTTTCTCCAGGGCCTTCCACAGCAGCGGGTGAATCACCAACCACCCTGCCTTGGAGAAAGGCCTTAAGATAGATTTTTTTTTCCTCTTTAAATTCTCTGAAGACTGAAGTTCCTTAAAGACTAAGAAAACACTTGCCTCCCTTCCAGCTCCTTTTCCTGGTAATTATTTTTGCTTCTTTTTCCCTGAATTTCTGCTCTGCCGTCCCATCTTTGGACTGGAAGCAGGCCCGCCCCTTGGCCCTCTGTCTGCCTGCCATCTGGGAAACAGCTCCACCCGCTTCCTGCTTTGCTCTCCTCCTGTTCTCAAGTCACCCTTCTCCCCTCCAGCCTGAATCACCTGCTCCAACTCCGCTTCTAGACATCTCTAGAACGCAGCCACCTGGCTCCCTCCCCAGAAGACACGCACTCAGGCATACCACCACCCTCCATCTCCTCGCTCTTGAAGTCTCCAGTAATAGGAGAGAAACCAACAAAGCCACTTGTTTCCTCCTGCCTTGAGTCCTCATATTGTTGGGGACACTCCCCTGCAAATCCTGCCCCACCTAGGGCTGGCAGAGCTGGAACTATGGGGCTAAGAGGAAGGGCAGGGGCACGGAAAGTTGGAGGCCTGACTCTGCCTACGACCTCCTGCTCTTGCCAAGCCCTTATCCCCCCAACCCACCGTGAGCCTCAGATTCCCCAACCTCCAAGGCTGGTGAGACTGAAGTAGCTTGTCCCCAGGAAGGAGGGAGGCAGCATCAGGCATTTAAATCAAAGGCTTTGCTAAAATGCATCCAGTCACCATGTGCTTCACTGGGGACTGATAACAGTCAAGGTTAAGCCAGGGCCTCAGATTCTTCCCTGGAAAATGAGGGTCTTAGCTTGGTCTCTGAAATCCCATCCTCCCAGCTCTGAAATGCTATGATTCTGTCTCCCTCTGCCCAGAAAGCAAATACGGCCTTTGTGTGTGAGGAGTCTGAGTGTCCCCTGGGCAGTGATTGGCTGGGAGCTAGGTGTGCATACAGCTCCTCCCTCCCCGAGGATGTCTGGAGGTGTGAATCTAAGTGTGGGGCTTCCACATTTGCACATGTGTATGTGCCAGCTCACACCTAGGGGCGGGCTGCCTCTCTGTGTGCATCCATGCCAGCGCGTGCGGCTGCAAATCTGGTTTCCATCTTCTCCCGGTAGGCAGCAGGGCTCGGGGAGACTGAGTGGAATATTAATTGTGCTCTTGCACGTGGCCCAGCTCCATGAATGTGGTGGTCGAAGGGAGCAGCCTGGAGCTATGCGGGGAATGAGGGAGAAGCCACAGGAGCAGGGCTCCCTGGGGCTTAAAGCCATGCTGGGAAGGAGGCAGGGGCTGAGACCCAGAAGGGTGGGTGGCAGTGGGAGGGGGAGAGCTTCTGAGGCCAAGGATTTGGGGACAGCAGGGAAGATACCAGCTAGGTTGAGGAGGATTCCCACCTTTGCCTAACCCAGGTGTTCGATAAATGTTTGCTGAATGACTGAAGAGCTGAATCCTCCCATGCCTGTGAGATCAATGGATATCCCTTCCCTGGGAGCAGACAGAGTAGGAAGAAGGATGGAAATGGGCACATATTAAGCACCTACTGTATGCCAGCCACTCTAGGTGACACTGTCAAGCATTTCATTTTATTTCAGACTCACAAAGACCCTGGGAGATTGTATTACCCCCACATGGGGAGGGGCCCACTATACACATATCCTTCACCTCTACCTGCCACCTTGTCCCTTTAGGAAGGTCTGGGGAAGCATCTTTTCTTTTACTTCAGGGCCCATCAAAGCTGGCTGCTTCTGAGCAGCAGGCCTATTTTTAACTTGAGGGACACTCCGGGTTTTGTAGTTCATTGCATTACTTTCTTTACTTGAGCTGTGAGGAAGCTCAGAGATCAATTTGCTGAGGTCCACCTCTTGCAGCAGGAAGAGGAGGTTCATTCCACACACTCACTGCAGCCCGCCTTCATCTTGTGTTTGTTCTCCTTTCCTCCATATCTTTTTCCTCCATTAACAACCATCGAATTCCATTGTCTGTAGGGTTTCTCAAATGCCTTTAGAAGGGAGACAGAAATACACACATATTTTTGCCTTTATAGGTGAAGTGAGTGAGGCTCAGAGAGGTTATGTTATTTGTCTAAGGATTACACAGCCATTAAGCGGGAGTATTGGAAAGTTGATCTGGCCTCCGACTTCATCTTTCTGCTGCGTCAGACTCTGGGATTGGATAAATTGCATAGTAACCGGGGGGGTTTCCAGAGAGTTGGGAGGAGGCTGAGGCCTTTTCAGACTCAGCCTTTACCTCCCATTGGCCCTAACCCAGGTTCCTCTTTTTGAGGAGCAGGTCCAGGTGGGGACTTCCATCCTTTTCATGCACAGAAAGGGGGCCCCGTGGGCCATTCTCAGGGACCAGCTCCAGCCTCTGTGGCTGAGCAGAACTAACAGAAACCCAGCAGGCTTGGCCTTGGCAATCACTAGTTAATGCAAATATCAATTCCAGGTGCTCTGAGGAACATTTCGGGAGCCTCCAGAACTGAAGAGGGGGCCAACTCTCTGGAGAAAAATGAATGGATGTAGGCCCAAAGGAGCCGAATGTTTTCCTTGGCTGAATGGCAAGCAAGCACCAAGTGTCCACAGGTCAGGGTGAGGGGCCCCAAGGGTGTGTATTCTGCAACCCAGTCCCTCAATGTGTCCCTTCAGACCAGCCCGCCAGGATTCTCTGTCTTCTGGAATGAAGACTTAGGGTTTCCTGGGGAGGCTTTACTTGAACTCATTAGTGAATTTTTTTTTGAGACGGAATCTTGCTCTGTCGCCCACACTGGAGTGCAGTGTGAGATCTCAGCTCACTGCAACCTCCACCTCCTGGGTTCAAGTGAAGCTCCTGCTTCAGCCTCCCAAGTAGCTGGGATTACAGGCATGCACCACCACACCTGGCTAATTTTTGTGTTGTTTTTTTTTTTTTTTGAGATGGAGTCTTGCTCTGTTGCCCAGGCTGGAGTGCAGTGGTGCGATCTTGGCTCACTGCAAGCTCCACCTCCCAGGTTCACACCATTCTCCTGCCTCAACCTCCCGAGTAGCTGGGACTACAGGCGCCCACCACCACGCCTGGCTAATTTTCTGCATTTTTTAGTAGAGACGGGGTTTCACTGTGTTAGCCAGGATGGTCTCGATCTCCTGACCTTATGATCCACCCGCCTCAGCCTCCCAAAGTGCTGGGATTACAGGCGTGAGCCACTGTGCCTGACCTAGTTTTCATGTTTTTAGTAGAGACAGGGTTTCACTATGTTGGCCAGGCTGGTCTTGAACTCCTGGCTTCAAGTGATCTGCCTGCCTTGGCCTCCCAAAGTGCTGGGATTACAGCACTTTCTTGTAGGAGCTGGTATTACACACATACCCCACAAACTTGGGGACCTCCAGGGAAGACACAGAGAATGAGCCTCATCTAGAGTAAAAGGGAAGGTTGTTGTTCTGAGGGCTGCAGCTGGAAGCACCTAGGAGAATGATAATCTCTGACTACCCAGAGGAGACTGGTTAAGAGACACAGAGCCAGTGACAAAAGACTCTGCTCCTTGAGGGCTGTCCAGATGAGCCCCAAGGTCTTCAATGTGGGACCCCTTCAAACATCAGCATGCATGGCTTGGAGGAGAAATAATCAGAAATATATAGTGATTTTCACAAACTGCCATTTATTGGGTCTTGTTACTTTTCAATGCTCTGCCAGTTTGCAATGCATAACTCAATCTTCTGAATCAATAGAGCGCCTATAAATCAATAAGACAAAGACCAACAATCCAATAAAAATATTGGCAAAGAATATGAACAGTAAATCTTATATATTTATACAATATAGCATTGATCAAGTCCCAGGATATATGCTAAACACATCCTATGAGTTTTCTTTTTTTTTTTTTTGAATTTTTATTGGTGCCAAGATGAGTTTCCTCATTTACATCTTACCATAACCCTTGGAGGCAGGTACTAGGATTACTCTGTTTTATTGAGGCCCAGAGAGATGAAGTAACTTGCCCAAGGTCACACATAGTCCATGATCTGGAGGCACGAGTTGAGATGGCAGGACCGTTTACTGGAATCCAGGGTCTCAGGAAAACCTGGTGGGAGCGAGGGAGGGAAAACGACAGAGGGACAGCCAGCTGAGGTAGAATCACATTTACCCAGCAACTTGTGAAGAATCCAAGAATCCCCAGTCCTAGGTGGAAGTTTGTGTGTGTGTGTCTTTTTCAATTTCTTGAATAGATAATGCATTCAGATGGTTTAAAAAATAAAAAAAGAATACAACAAAAAGTAATCCCCCCATCTCTGCATCCTATATCCTAACCACTAAGTTCCCACCCTTTAACTAACATATAATCAATTTTATTACTTGCTTGGGCATCCTTCTATGGTGTGTGTGTGTGTGTGTGTGTGTGTGTGTGTGTGTGTGTGTGTTTAGATATTTCTCTCTCTCTGTTTTTTTTTTTTTTTTTGAGATGGAGTCTCGCTCTCACCCAGGCTGGAGTGCAGTGGCGCGATCTCAGCTCACTGCAAGCTCCACCTCCCAGGTTCATGCCATTCTCTTGCCTCAGCCTCCCGAGTAGCTGGGACTACAGGCACCCGCCACCATGCCCAGCTAATGTTTTGTATTTTTAGTAGAGATGGTGTTTCACCATGTTAGCCTGGATGGTCTCGATCTCCTGACCTCGTGATCCACCCGCCTTGGCCTCCGAAAGTGCTGGGATTACAGGCGTGAGCCACTCAGGGACTCAAGCAATCCTTCTGCCTCAGCCTCCTGAGTAGCTGAGCACTACAGGTGTGCCCAGCTAACTTTTTAATTTTTTGTAGAGACAGGGTCTCACTATGTTGCCCAGGCTGGTCTTGAACCCCTGGCCCCAACTGATTGTCTTGCTTTGCCTCCCAAAGTGCTGGGATTATCAGGCATGTGCCACAATACCAGGACTCCCTCTCTCTTTCTTTTTAAATTGAAAAGTATTATACACACTGTTCTGCATCTTTTCCCCCCACTTAATCTATTTTCAAGATCTTCCTGTATTAGCACACAGAGAACTTCCTCATCCTTTTTTTTAAAATAGCTGCATAGCCACCCATTGTATGAATGTACCATCATTTATTTACCTGACCCCAATTAATGGACAATTGGATTGTTTCTAGTTTTTTTACTGTAACAAACAGTGCTGCAAAGATAGGCTTGTTCAAGCACTGCATGTAGGATAAATTCTCAGAAGTAGGATTCCTGGGTCAAAGAGAACATGCATTTGTAATGTTGTAAGTATTCTCAAATATCTTGTACCAATTTACACTCCCATCAGCAATATACGACATTGTTGGTTGTTCTACAGTCTCTCAAAGAGAGGATATTATCAAACTTTTGGAGTTTTCTTTTCTTTTTTTTTTTTGAGACGGAGTCTCGCTTTGTACCCCAGGCTGGAGTGCAGTGGCGCAGTCTCGGCTCACTGTAAGCTCTGCCTCCCGGGTTCACGCCATTCTCCTGCCTCAGCCTCCAGAGTAGCTGGGACTACAATTAATTAGCCCAGCTAATTAATTGTATTTTTAGTAGAGACGGGGTTTCACCATGTTAGCCAGGATGGTCTCGATCTTCTGACCTCGTGATCCGCCCGCCTCGGCCTCCCCAAATGCTGGGATTACAGGCATGAGCCACTGTGCCCAGCCTGGAATTTTCTAATCTGATAAATAAGAAATGATTTCCAGTGTATTTTATTTATTTTTTTGGAGACAAGGTCTTGCTCTGTCGCCCAGGATGGAGTGCGGCAGTACAGCTATGGCTCACTGTAGCCTTGACCTCCTGGGCTCAAGCAATCCTCCCACCTCAGCTATATGAGTAGCTGGGACTACAGGCATGCACCACCATGCTTAGATAATTTATTATTATTATTTGTAGAGATGGGGTCTCACTATGTTGCCCAGGCTGGTCTCAACTTCTGGCCTTAAGTGATCCTCCTGCTTCAGCCCCCGAAAGTGCTGGGAGTACACTCATTTACACCTTACCATGTTTAGCAGAGATGGGGTTTTTACCATATTGGTCAGGCTGGTCTGGAACTCCTAACCTCAGGTGAGGAGACCTGACTTGGCCTCCCAAAGTGCTAGGATTACAGGCGTGAGCCATGGTGCCCAGCCATAGCCTCCAGTATATTTTAAATTTGCATTTATCTTGAGTAGGATTGAGCATCTTTTTAGATGTGTTAGGACAATTTATGTTTCCTTTTCTGTAGACTCTATTCACGTTCTTCAACCTTTAAAAATTGGTGGTTGGTCTTACTGATTTCTAGAAGCTAAACTTTACATGTTAGAGATACTGTGATGTGATTTGCAAGGGAAGTGGGGCCAGAATTTGCATCCTCCCTGGGAAAGTCCGTAGAGGTGGATTCTTCCTCACTTCTCTCACCATCTCATGCAAGCCCAACCATCTATTCAAAGAGCATTTATTTGCTGCACGCAGTGGCTCACGCCTGTAATCCCAGCACTTTGGGAGGCCAAGGCAGGTGGATCACCTGAGGTTAGGAGTTCCAGACAAGTCTGACCAGTATGGTAAAACCCCATCTCTACTAAAAATACAAAAATTAGCCATGTATGGTAGCATGCACCTGTAATCCCAGCTACTCAGGAGGCTGAGACAGGAGAATCACTTCCACCCGGGAGGTGGAGGATGCAGTGAGCCAAGATCGCATCACTGCACTTCAGCCTGGGCGACAGAGCGAGACTCTGTCCCCCATAAAAATAAAAAGTCTTAAAAAAAAACAACCAAAGAGCATTTATTGAATACTTCTTGTGTGCCAGGCTCAGTGCTGAGGCCCACGAGACCAGAGGTGAATAGACACAGCCCTCCGGCTGCTTGCAATCTAGTTGAGAAGCCAGATCTGCAATCAGGCAGGTTGTAGTATAGCGTGAGATAAACTGTAGTTCAGGGATTCAGAATGGGTGCTCCAGGAGCATGGGGGAGGAGGCAGTAGCCTCTGCCTGTCTCAATAGCTCTGACATCCATCTCTACCTGGGGCTGGCTTTGCCCGCCTTCCGTGTCTCTGTGGGTTCAGCCCTCAGACCCTGATTGCAGAAAAGCTCTGCTCCAGGAAGATATCTCCCTTGGAACATATGTACAGAGTGCTTACCACACGCCAACCCTTCCTGCACCTATCGTGTGTACTCTGCCTCCACCCAGCTTCCTTCCCTGCCCTGCACTGGTCCTCAGCAGGTGCCACTTTCCCTTCCATTGCCTGCCACCTGTTTCGAGTGGGCATTCCCCTGCTGCTTAGAGGGATCGTCAGCTCCTTGCTGACAGGAAGGGAGATTTTCCCTTGGGTCCCCTCCCCTGGGTGCTTGACATCTGGTGGCATTCGTCAAAGGCTTGTTGGGTGATTGATTGGCTGGTGTTGAGGAAGTCTGAAACCATGGCTTACCTGAACTGGGGTGTATATGGTGGAGGTGAGAATGGCGCATGTTAGGCACAGGAATGGATGCTGTGCCAAGCTGAAACCCTGGCATCCGGGCCCAACCAGGAAAGGGTTAAGTTTGCTGGAGTTTTGTATATGAAATGGCACCAGAAAAAAAAAGTGCAGACTAGCAATTGAGCCCTGTCTCATCCTGGTTCAAATGACATTGTCTGCGCTTCCCCAGCCTCGCCTCCTGCACTAATTACAGACCTTCCCTGGGGAGGAAGACTGGGGCCAGGAGGTCTTCATTACAGGCTCCCTTGCTGGAAAGAGCAAACCCCAATGACCAAACCCAATGACCAAACCAAGTCTCTTGAAGAGAGGCCCAGGGCTTCCTATCTTGAGCTCCCTGCTGCCGCCTGGCTGGGAAAGGGTTAAGAAGCGGGCATGGAATGGAGAGATGCATCGAGATTTAATCACAAGGAGCACCCCCTTTGCTAAGGTGTCCTCCTGGCTCCCCTTGCCGAGGACTGGGCCCCCTTCTCTCCTCTTGCCCCCCAAGATGGCCACTGCCAGGGCTGTGTCGGGGCCTCTCCGCTGTGGTCGCCTGCTGGCTGCCTCTCCCTGTGGCCTTGTGGAGACTGAGCCTTCTTTAATCTTCCATTTATCCTGAGGCCTCGCCCCTCCGAGATTGGCTTTGATGTGGGGCCTGCTCTTGGGGGAAATCACGGGTTTCTGAGGCCTGGGCTGGGCTCTGCCCACTGCCCCCAGCCCAGGAAGGCCCCAGAGAGAGGTCTCCCATCATCAGGGCCAGACCCAGAGGGTGACCTTGGCAGTCCAGATAAAAGTTTCAGGCCCTGCTGTTCAGGCAGATGGAGGGGCTGCTGCCCACACCCCAAAGTGGAGCAGAGGGCTCAGGATAAGAGCTTTATTATCACAAATTACTTATTTCCACACCTGTCTCCCCGCTTTGAGATGGCAAGCACCAAAACAACAACAGCATGAACAATGACAGTAAAACAGCAACCATTATTGCGTGTCACTAAGCTCCCCTGCACCAGGCAAAGCATCTTCCACTATGACATCATTTAATTTTTTTTTAAATAACGTTTTTGTTTGTTTGTTTTTTCATTTTTTTTTTTTTTTTTTTTTTTTTGAGACGGAGTCTTGCTCTGTCACCCAGGCTGGAGTACAGTGGCGTGATCTTGGCTCATTGCAACCTCCACCTCCTAGGTTCAAGCGATTCTCCTGCTTCAGCCTCCCAAGTAGCTGGGATTACAGGTGCCCACCGCCACATCCGGCTAATTTTTGTATTTTTAGTAGAGCAGGGTTTCGCCATGTTGGCCAGGCTGGTTTCAAACTCCTAACCTCAAGTGATCCGCTCGCCTCAGACTCCCAAAGTGCTGTGATTACGGGTGTGAGCCACTGAGCCCAGCCAACATAATTTAATTCTTATAACTATGTGGCTGTATGTATCATTTTAAAGGGGAGGAAAGTGAGGGTCATTGATTTATTTGTGTAACAAAAATTTGTTGAGCTCCTACTATGTGCCAGGCACTGTTCTAGGCACAGAGGAGTAAACAAAATGGGTGTATCTGTACCCTTGTGTACTAATAGGAGGGATAGGTCATTAACAAATGGTCGAATACAGGTAGTATCAGGTTGCATAATATAGAGACAGTGTTTTGAAGAAGAGTACAGTTGATAGTGACAGGGCCACTGTTTTGGATGCCATGGTCAGGGATTGGCTTTTTTTTTCTTTCTTGAGACAGGGTCTCACTCTGTTGCCCAGGCTGGAGCGTAGTGACATGATCATAGCTCACTGCATCCTCAACATCCTGTGCTCAAGCAATTCTCACACCTCAGCCTCCTGAACAGCTGGGACTATAGGCATGTGCCACCAGCCTGGCTAATTTTTTTTATTGTTTTTTTTTTTTTGAGAGGGAGTCTCACTCTGTCTCCTAGGCTGCAGTGTAGTGGCGCGATCTCAACTCACTGCAACCTCTGCCTTCTGGGTTTAAGCAATTCTCGTGCCTCAGCCTTCTGAGTAGCTGGGACTACAGGCACGGGCCACTGTGCCCAGCTAATTTTTGTATTTTTAGTAGAGACAGGGTTTTGCCATGTTGGCCAGGCTAGTCTCAAACTCCCGACCTCAAGTGATCTGCCCACCTTGGCCTCCCAAAGTGCTGAGATTACAGGTGTGAGCCACCATCCCTGGCCCATGCCTGGCTAATTTTTGTATTTTTTATAGAGACGGGGTTTCACCATATTGCCCAGGCTGGTCTCGAACTCCTGGGCTCAAGCCATCCGCCCACCTTGGTCTCCCAAAGTGCTGGGACTACAGTTGTGAGCCACTGCATCTGGCCAGGGATGGCCTCTCTGAGAAGCTGGAGACCTGAGTGGCAGGAGGGAGTTAGCCATGTGTCCATCTGGAGAAAGTGCATCCAGGAGAGGGAAGAGAAGGGCAAAGATCAAAGGTTGGAGATGCTTGTCTTGCTTTAGGCATAGCCAGGAGCCAGGGCATCTGAGGGTGGGAAGAGAGATGAACAGAAAGAGGAAATGAACTGGATATGGGAGCAGTGACTGGGTCATATGTGGATTTTACTCTGAGCTGATGCCTTTGGAGGGTTTGAGCACGAGGCTGGTTTGATCTAGGTTATGTTTTGAATCTGAGACTCAAAATGTGAGATGTGGAGGTTAGGAACCAGTTCAGGCTCACAAGGCTAGTCAGTGGGGAAGTCGAGATTCAAACACAGGTTCTGTCTGACTTGAGAAACTGTGCTTTTGCCATTATGCAGTTGGCCACCTTGAGGGGCAGGGACTGTGTTCCATTCACCTCAGTATCCCCTGTGCCTAGCAGAAAGCCTGGCAGAAGCTACATGCACAGTGCTTGGGAAGTGATGGATTCAGTTCTGGCACTTCTACAGTCCTGGAAAGTCATTTAACTCTCTCTGAGTCTCAGTTTGTTCATCTGAAAGTGGGGGAGAAAACAACACCTGTCTTGTTTGTAGGGCCCTGCCTGGTGAGGATCATATGAGCCCTAGTGTGTAGCAGGGCTTGTGTGGTGTGAGCAGAGAAATGCTCTGCTCTCTGATTTCATCTGTCCTTACTCCCATGCAGGGCTCTTAACCTGGCTGCTTAGAGGCTCAGACACGTTCTTTCTTTCTTTATTTTTTATTTTTTTGCAGACAGAGTTTTGCTCTTGTCACCCAGGCTGGAGTGCAATGACACGATCTTGGCTCACTGCAACCTCCGCCTCCCGGGTTCAAGTGATTCTCCTGCCTCAGCCTCCTGAGTAGCTGGGATTATAGGCATGCATCACCATGCCTGGCTAATTTTTGTATTATTAGTAGAGACGGGGTTTCACCACGTTGGTGAGGCTGGTCTCGAACTCCTGACTTCAGGTGATCCACCCGCCTCGGCCTCCCAAAGTGTTGGGATTACAGGCATAAGCCACCGTATCCGGCCTAGACACGTTCTTACGGTCCCCTGCTCTACCCTATGGAGCAAGACATGCTCATGCCACCTGTCTCGTGTATGTGTGTGCATATGCCTGTTCACTTGTGTCAGTAGCACCTAGACCACAGCTGTGTTAGAGACAGGGTTTTGCCATGGTACCAAAGCGGCTCAGAGGGGGCAATGATCTACTCTGCTTTTGAGGGGAGGACAGGAAAGTTTCACAGTATAGAGGGATCTTGATGCGGTCTTGAAGGATGAACAGGTGTTTTCTAGCTGGACAAAAAGAGAAAGGGCATCCTGGGTAAAGGGAAGAACATGGCAAAAATCCTGGAGGTATGGCAGAGCTTGGCACCTTGGAGATGCTGCTAACGGGTATGGCTGAAACTTATCAAGGATGGAAGGGTGTAGTAAGATACAGGGCTGGAGAGGGTAGCCAAGAGCTAGGTGGTCAGGGCCTTTAGGCACTCTAAGAAATTCTATGAGTTATCCTGAAGGCAAATGGGAGCCACTGTTAATTTTTTTTTTTTTTTGAGACAGAGTCTCACTCTGTTGCCCAGGCTGGAGTGCAGTGGTGTGATCTCAGCTCACTGCAACCTCCGCCTCTCAGGTTCAATTCATTTTCCTGCTTCAGCCTCCCAAGTAGCTGGGATTACAGGTGCGCACCACCATGCCTGGCTAATTTTTGTATTTTTAGTAGAGACGGGACTTCACTATGTTGGCCAGGCTGGTCTTGAACTCCTGGCCTCAAGTGATTCACCTGCCTTGGCCTCCCAAAGTGCTGGGATTACAGGTGTGAACCACTGTGCCTGGCCCACTGTTCAATTTTTAAGGAGGCTAATGACATGATCAGATGCATTTTAGATCAACCACTCTGCTGTGGTGTGGACAGCAGACTGGAGGTGAGCAAGACCAGCCTGTGGTGTTATGAGGCTGTTGCTGTTCTCCAGGTGGGATATGATGAGGCCTGAAGTAAAGTTAACAATGGCAAACAGTTACCCGGCACTGACTATGTGCCAGCCAGGCTCTGCACTAAACACTTGCAGATATTATCACATTTCATCCTCAGTGCTACCATGTGAGTGGTGCTGTCATTATTATCACACCTGTATTACAGACCGAGGAATGGAGGCTCAGCCACATAGCAGATAAGTGGCAGAAGGAGGACTTAAATCCATCCACCCTGACTTCAGCACCCACTGGCCTACCCCCTATAATATTCTGCCAAATAATGAAGGCAGTGGGTGGAGACAAGGGCTTGGAGTCCAGTGCTGGTTAGGAAGTGGGTCCACCAGGATATTGGCGCGAGGGAGGGGAAGAAATCAGAGGCTTCTTCTCAATCAGTGGGATCAACAGCGAACCCAGACAAACCAGTAGGTTTTATGGCCCCTATACCTGTAAGTCTAGGATTCAGGGACAGTGTCCAAGCCACAGAAGAGGATTCCAGTGTGTCATTGTTACTGTTACTGTGGGCCTCCTTATGGGGGGATGACACAGGCCAGGGTCCATCAGAAGTCTCTACCCACTCCCCAGCAGGAGGGGCGCTACCCATAAGTTTAGGCCATGTGAGAGCATTTTTGTGGCCTTTGTTGTCTTTCCAGGACCCTCTTGCTCTCAGAGGGCCAACTGGTTTCCCCTAGGACATTAGGAAGGGCACTCCTACTGTGTCACACGGCTGGGTGGTCAGCTCCGCATGGGCCATCTCAGGGCCAGGCCTTGACCTTCACTTGCTGAGGTTGGGCTGGGGGTGCCCCATTTCCTTGGGCCCTGAGGACTCTCAGAGAGGTAGAGTCCTTTGAGTCTGGTCTTTGAGCCAAAGCTGAGAAAATGGAACCTGCTTCCTATTAAGTGGTTTCCACCCAGCAGTGTGAATTCTGTTTGTATTTTCCCTCCTGGGCCATGGTTTGCGATGCTGGCCTCCCCACCTGCCCCTGTGGGTTTTTCCAGGCTCTGTGGTGGGCTGGGCCAGCTGACGTCAGGAGGCTCAGGGGCTGTGTGCCTCGCGGCCGACGCACCTGCTGATTCACGCTGTGGCCTCCACCTGCGGCTTCACTTTGCCCTTCACAGGTCGGGGCATTGGTTTTCTTTTTTAATAAATAAAGCTGAACCTGATTCACAACTCAAGAGAGGCCTCAGCTTGTTTGGAGCCATCAGCATTACCATGGCAACCATGCCGTCCATGAGCACTTGAAAATATCATTATCCACAGTGACCCTGCATCCTCCCTCTTGCCTCACAGCAGCCTCAGGCCTCCATAGCTCCTGGCCCTTGGAGTTCAGCCCAGGTATAGGCTCTCCCAAAAGCAGGGAGTTGGAAGTATAAACCTGAGGTTCCCACTCACCCTCATCTTACCCCCCTGCCACCTGCACATCCTTCTGAAAGGAGCTGAGAAAAATCCCTTTCATTTTGGGGCAGGCACTAGGAACAGACATTAAGCCGACATTTTGGAGCCGCCCCCCCTCTTTCTTTTTTGAGCTGGATCTCACTCTATTTCCCAGGCTGGAGTGCAGTGGCGTGATCTCGGCTCACTGCAACCTCCGCCTCCTTGTTCAAGTGATTCTCCTGCCTCAGCCTCCCGAGTAGCTGGGAGTGCAGGCATGCGCCATCATGCCCGGCTAATTTTTGTATATTTTTAGTAGAGATGGGGGAGGGTCTCACCATGTTGCCCAGGCTGGTCTCAAACTCCTGACCTCAAGTGATCTGCCTGCCTTGGCCTTCAAAAGTGCTGGGATTACAGGCGTGAGCTACCGTGCCTGGCCAGAGCCCCCAAATTAACAATATCTATCTATCTATCTATCTATCTATCTATCTATCTATCTATCTATCTAATCTCTATTTAGAGACAGGGTCTTGCTCTGTTGCCAAGGCTGGAGTGCAGTGGCATGATTACAATTCACTGCAGCCTCGACCTCCTGGGCTCAAGCAATCCTCCTACCTCAGCCTCCTGAGTAGCTGGGACTACAGATGCATGCCACCATGCTCAGCTAATTTTTAAATTATTTTTTTGTAGAGACCAGATTTTGCCATGTCACCCAGGCTGGTCACAAACCCCTGGGATCAAGTGATCCTCCCACCTCAGCCTCCCAAAGTGTCAGGATTACAGGCGTAAAACACCGCATCCAGCCATAATTTCTTTCCTTTTTCTTTCTTTCTTTCTTTTTTTTTTTTTGGAGACAGTCTAGCACTGTGGCTCAGGCTGGAGTGCAGTGGCCCCATCACAGCTTACTGCAACCTCTGCCACCTGGGTTCAAGCGATTCTCCTGTCTCAGCCTCCCGAGTAGCTGGAACTACAGGTGCGAGCCACCATGCCCGGCTTATTTTTGTATTTTTAATAGAGATGAGGTTTTGCCATTTGGCCAGGCTGGTCTCGAACTCCTGACCTCAAGTGATCCACCTGCCTCTGCCTTTCAAAGTGCTGGGACTGCAGGCGTGAGCCACCGCACCTGGCCATGATTTCTATGGGGAGGATAAAATTGTGTGTTAGATACAGATGCAGAGATAATAAGGCCTAGAGTTAAAAGGTATGTGAGAGTGTTCATAATAATAATAATAAGCATTTATTGAATACCCACCACCATGAGTCAGGCAGTGTACAAGATGTGTTACATACCTTGTGTCCAGTCTTCTGCTGTAATTACTCACGTAGAGGCAATTTTAATTAACAAATTAATTTTAATTAATTTAATAATACTATCTGGCATTTATTGAGTGCCAGACACTCTGCTATGCTCTTTAACATTTAATTTCACATGTGAAACACTATGATTATCTTCATTTTACAGATGAGAAGACTGAGGTTTACAGAGTACTAATGTGCCTGAGGTCATTCAGTTACCGAAGGATGAAGCTGCGATTTAAGTTTAGGTCTGCCTGACTGGTGTCCCCATTATTCTATAATAGCCTAAGGCTTAAATGAGGTTCAAGCTATCTACTGAGCAAATGGAGATTCCATGTTTGCCTGGCTTAGGAGGTTTCTTCCAAGGGCTTTGAGTGATATTTCTCCCCCTAGAATGGTCTGTCCCTGATCACCCTCATCAGGGTCACCTGGGGATATTTGAAAGTCTAGGCCCACCAACACCTACTGCATCAGATTTTTGGATGTGGTCCCCAGGATTCTGTATTTTAGGTAACTCACCAGGTTGAACTCTAATGAGAATTTAGAATTAGCTGCCCTCCTGAAGAGCATGAAAGGGACCACGTCTTCTCTGAGACTTCCCCACGGCCAGGCACATAGGCCACAGCCCTGTGAGGGGCTCAAAAGCATTTGTTGAACCCGAATAAAGAAAGAATGGGCCCCATTGAGTCCCCCAAGACTTTCCAGGGCCAGGGACTCCCTTGGTCCTGAGAGTCTGTAGTTTCCTCTTACTGCCCCACTCCCCGCTACTTCCTGAGGCCCCTGGACTCCCCGACCTACAGTGGAACTGCCCACCAGGCCCTGCCCTGTCCTATGACTTCCCCTGCAACAGGAGCAGCAGGGTATACCAGTTGCTAAAAAACTTCATTTGTTAACAGGAAGAAAATCAGCCAGCTTTCCAGGCAGATACCACCCTGACTCCCCAGCAAAATATCTGAGGTGGGCACCCACAGAGTGGAGAGGAAAGCTTGGCATCTCTTTCTCTGACAAGTTTTAAACATAAAAGAGGCTTATTTAGCAAGAGTAATAATAGTAATCTGAGTATCTCTTGATACCCAGAGATCAAGTAATAAGATCCATAAGTGATGCTACATATATATAACAGAATATTAAGCAGCCATTAAAAATTAAGAATTTATATATTCTTAACTAATAAGTATAAATCTTAACTGAGAAAAATTAAGAATTTAAATATTCGGCTGGGCGCGGTGGCTCATGCCTGTAATCCTTGCATTTTGGGAGGCCGAGGTGGGCGGATCCCTTGAGCCCAGGAGTTTCAGACCAGCATGGGCAACATGGCAAAACCCTGTCTCTACAAAAAATACAAAAATTAATGGGGTGTGGTGGTGTGTGCCTGTAGTCCCAAGTACCCTGGAGGCTGAGGAGAGAGAACTGCTTGGGCCTGGGAGGTCAAAGCTGCAGTGAGCCATGATCATGCCACTGCACTCCAGCCTGGGTGACAGAGCAAGACCCTGTCTCATTAAAAACAAAAGGAAAAAAAAGAATTTCAAAGAATATTTAATGATATGGGGAAATGTTCAACAAAATATAAGAAAGCAGGATACAAAACTATATACACTGGAAAGATGTTTGTGATGTGTGGTAGAGATACCAGTTGCTCCCCAATATGTGTTCTCCCCTTTTGCCATAGTAACAGAACCCCTACTTAGATAAATAGCCTATTTCCCAGTGGCCATGGGACTACATTCTGGCTAGCAGGATATAAGCAGAAGAGGTGCATGTGAATTCCAGGAAGTATCTCTCTTAGACTGTTCCTGCTGCTATAACAAAATTACCTTAGAGTGAGTAATTTACGAACAATGGAAATGTATTGCTCACAGTTCTGCAGACTGGGAAGTCCAAAATCAAGGTACCAGCAGATTCAGTATCTGGTGAGGGCCTGCTCTCTGCTTCCAAGATGGCGCCTTCTTGCTGCGTCCTCATGTGGTGAAAGGGAAAACAGGTCCCTTGTGCCTTTTTGATAAGGGTACTAATCTCATTCATGAAGGCTCTGCCCTCATGACTTAATCACCTCCTAAAAGCACCACCTACTAATACTGTCACATTGGTGATTAAGTTTCAACATATGAATTTGAGGGGGATGTGTTCAGATGATAGCAGTGTCCTTGGAGAGAAAAGCTGATCTCTTCTTTGTTTCTTCCTTCTTCAGTTTCCGGAGTGTGGATATGAACAGCCGTCTTGGGTCCTGAGGTGGAAGCCATGTGTGGAAGATGGAGGGCATCGGTTAGAAGGAGTCTAGTCCCTGATGGTCACTGAGCTGCAGAACCAGCCTGGGCTGCTTCCTGCTGGATGTCACTTACTAGAGAGCGAAATTAAATGTGCTTCAGCTACTGTTACTTTGGGTTTTCTGTCATTTGTAGCTGAAATAATCCTAATCAATATGAGATATATTAAGTAAACAAAAATGCAAATGAAAACGATTATGAATTGTATGATTCCAATTTTATCTTCTTTTATGTGATTTAAGTCTTTAACTTTTAACCCAGATGATTTTATTTTAAAATGTGTGTTTATATACATCCATATGTACATAGAAAAAAGACAGGAATGTTGAAAGCTAAAGTATTAGTAGAGATTATTTCAGGATGGTAGGTTATAAGGATTTCATGTGCTTATTTATTTACCTTTTGTTTGTTCATCTGTATTTGCTAATTTTTCTATTTTTTTATTTTTATTTTTTGAGACAGGATCTCACTTTGTCACTCAGGCTGGAGTACAGTGGCACAATCATGGCTCACCACAGCCTTGACCTCCTGGGCTCAGGTGATCCTCCCACCTCAGCCTCCTGAATAGCTAGGACTTGGTACCTGCCACCACGCCTGGATAATTTTTGTATTTCTTGTTGAGACAGGGTTTCGTCATGTTGTCCAGGCTGATCTCGAACTCCTGCGCTCAAACAATCCACTGCCTCAGTCTCCCAAAGTGCTAGGATTACAGGCGTGGACCACCATGCCCGGCCTCTAATTTTTCTTCAACAAAACTGTATTACTTTTTAAATAAGAAAAAATAATAAAAGGTATAAAGTGTATGACTTAATGAGATCCATATGTATTGCAGTAATAAAAAAAACCTGAAGCCAAGGCGGGTGGATCATTTGAGGTCAGGAGTTCGAGACCAGCCTGGACAACATGGTGAAACCTCGTTTCTACTAAAAATACAAAAATTAGCCAGGAGTGGTGGTATGTGCCCGTGATCCCAGATACCTGGGAGGCTGAGGCAGGAGAATTGCTTGAAACCAGGAGGTGGAGGTTACAGTGAGCCAAGAATCCACCACTGCACTCCAGCCTGGGCGACAGAGCGAGACTGTGTCTCAAAAACAAAAAAACAAAACAAAACAAAAAAAACCTTATTCTCAGAATGAAGATCTGAAATAAGAAACAAACAAACAAACAAAAAATATTTTAAAAAGGAAATAGAAAACAAATAACTTATTCATGATTCCATGGGAAAAAAGACTGAAAATAAGTGTTCTAAAGTAAATAAGGGCATGAGAAATTGTTCAAAATATAGTGTTAAAGAGAAAAAAGGTTATTCAACAATATGATGCCATTGTTTTTGATAAAAAGAATTAAACAACATAAATGTATGCTAGAAAAAGAACTAGAAGGAAATAAGCTGATATATTGGTGGTCTGGTTCCAGAGGAGAGATTTTAGTGATTCTTATTTTCCCCTTTATACTTTTGGTATTTTCTAAATATTTCTCTAATAAACCTGTGCTAATCTTATTTATTTCAAAATGTTTCTACTTAGAGAAATTTTAACAAGACAGAAAAGCATGTTATAAAGAATAATAAAAACACACACACATCGCCACTGCTCAAAATTAAAATGATTAATTTTTGTTATATTTAATTCCTGTCTTTATTTTAAAGAAATAAACAGTAACAGTAAAGTCCCATTTATGTATATCATCATGATCATTAAAAATATTTAAATTAGGCCAGGCACAGTGGCTCATGCCTGTAATCCCAGCACTTTGAGAGGCTGAGGCCCGAGGATTGCTTGAGCCCAGGAGTTTGAGACCAGCCTGGGCAACATAGCGAGACTGTGTCTCTACAAATAATAATTTAAAAATTAAATTAAATTAGACCTTGCCCTGTCTAGGATGGCCCAGGGTGATATTTTGTGAGGGTAGGGGATACCTGCTCAGGGATTTTAAATTCCTTTCTACCTTCAGCCAGAGGTTTGGCTCTAAGTGACTATTTCCAGGACGGGGGAGACCTGGGTGCAAGGATGCCAGATTTGTCTGGCACTTCCCCTGGAACATACAGTGGCAGGCAGGGCTGGAAGGGGAGGGTCTCAGTGGAGCACTTCCCTCCTGAGGTCAGTTGGTGCCCAACTGGTGTTTACGAAGAGGGTGGGGCCTGAGCCTCCTAGCTCTGCGGCCTTTGCTCTCGGGGGTGCTGGCCCACGGCAGGCCACAAGCAAAAGACGGTGAAACTGCTGTCTCCTGCAAGGCTCAGAGGCCGGGCCGCAGCCTGCGAGGGTTCTGGGAACTGGGGGCCCTTGCAGCTAGGTGGTAAAGTGGTCAGTGGAGGTTCTGGGGATCCAGAAAAAAGAAGGAAGAAAGGGAAGAGGCAGGAACACTCACATTTACGAGGCACCTACTGATGGGAAGGTATTATGGCCATTTCCCAGATGAGGAATCCAAGGCTCAAAGGCCTAATGACATCACTCTCCTGAGGCCTCACAGCTCCTGTGGGTCCAGGTTGAGATCCACGCTGACTTCATGCCTCATGCTCCTCACACCACACCAGGCTGCGTCCCATGGGGCTATGATGAGGCGGCCATTCTGCATTGCTCAGAGCCTACAGCAAGGCCTGGGATCATTTGGAGGTTGATTTCCAGGAGGTGGTGGGATCTGGGAATGAGATGTTCTGAGGCAGCCCATCTTCACTGGGCGTGAGTCACAAGGCTGTCAATCACCTTCTGGCAAGGAGGCTCAGAGAGGCTGGTAAAGTCTGAACTGATTTCGGAAGAGTTCTCTGGTATCCTCTTTTCTAGCCTTTATGGGCAGCAAGGGTCTCAGGCCCATAGCCAGCTCTCCAGGAAAATTTCCAAGCATCTCCTGGGATCTGAGAGGGGGATGAGAGTGGCCACCACCCGTCCCTTTGGACCTGACCTGCCAAATGCACAGCCCTGCGCTGTCCTCTCCTAGGCCAAGGCAGAGGTCGGGGTCAGGTCCGCACGTGCCTGTGTGCACTCACACATACATACACACACACGTGTGTGTTCCCCTTGGCAGGGGGCAACCTCCTGGTGGGTCCACCCTTTCCAAGACTGCCCCTTGCTTCCAGCACCTGGCAGACATCCCAAAGGAGGAACAGGCCTGGAGGCCTGGGCTGGACCACAGACTGGTTCTGAGAGTGATCTATTTATCTATGGGCTCCCCACCTTCTCGACTCAAACACCAGGACCAGTGCCTGCTCATGCCAGAGCCATGGGTGGAGAAAGACCCATGAATCCCTCCTGGGGAGCCTGGAGTTTTTTATAAGATAGGGTTGGCTGGAAATCTGGCTCTGTTCCATTCTGCCTATGTGACCTTAGGCAGATTCCTGAGCCTCTCTGAGGCTCAATTGCTTTATAAAGCGGGGATGTCAGCCGGGCGCAGTGGCTCATGCCTATAATCTTAGCACTTTGAGAGGCCAAGGCGGGTGGATCACCTGAGGTCAGGAGTTTGAGACCAGCCTGGCCAACATGGCGAAACTCCGTCTCTACTAAAAATACAAAAATTAGCCGGGTGTGGTCGTGGGCGCCTATAATCCCAGCTACTCGGGAGGCTGAGGCAGGAGAATTGCTTGAACCCGGGGGGCAGAGGTTGCAGTGAGCCGAGATGCCGAGATTGCACCACTGCACTCCAGCCTGGCGACATAACGAGACTCCGTTTCAAAAAAAAAAAAAAATGGGTATGTCGTCATTGATGATAACAGACACATACCTCTTCCAGTGGTTGAAGGATTAAACACAGTAGTACGCAGGACACGATTCCATGTTTTGCACACAGCCAGGCATAGAACAAACACTGAGGAGCAGTGCCTGGTGTTTGTGTAGCCCCAGTGACCTCTCCTGCCCCAGCCCCAGCTCAGGATCCAGTCTTTACTCTGATGTGGCAGGAGAGATGTAAAACCTCCCTCCCCTTCTTGGGTGCCCCTGCTCTCCAAAGGTCCTCTGGGACTGCCCAGGCTATTACTATTGTTAACAATAACAATGACTGCTGCTCCCATTTATTGATCACTGGCTCTGTGTCAGGCATTGTGCCAAGTTTTCTCTTCTTTCATCGTCATGGCAATAGAGGAGGTACTATTAGTTTCTGTGTAATCCAGGTAAGGACACTGAGGTACAGCGAGGTTAAGTGACTTGCTGGTGTCACACAGGTAGGGAGTGGCCCAGCTGGGAGTCTTTCGAGGCTGGGAGAACATGAGTGACAGAATGAAGAGATTCTACAGACTCAGCTGCAACAATTGCCAGGGCTCCTGGTCTGGGATCCAGTGGGGTTCTGCTGGGAGGCTGCTGAATTCTGTTCATGGTCACTGAAAGGGCACCCTGGTGGCCTGGCGGCAGGACTGGGCTTCTGCCTACACTCAAGCCCAGGTGCTTCCTGCCACTCTGCCCAGTGAGACTGCCTTGATCCACAGCTGCGGTAGGAGACGAGGACCGTGACTGTCTCCTTCCAGTCTGGGGTACCAGGCAGGGCCCAGACAGGAGACCAGGACCCAGGTTCAGCAGGGGAAATGGTTGGAAATGTTGAAAAGGCATCTGGGGGTGGGGAGGCCAACCAGAGAGGAGCAGCAGCAGGAAACTGTCACCCCTCCGCCCCCCTACCAGTGGGGTTGCTCCCAGGGCTGGAGAAACAAAGGGAGGGAGCCCAGAACCTGGACTGCCCAAGGGAGCTGGAGCCATGAAGCAGATGGACTCACAGCCAGAGCTGCCACCCAGATCTGGAGATCAGGAGGAATACCCAGACTTCTCTTCTTCCTCTGCCCTCCATCTTCCTCCAGAAACTTTCATTGGGTAAAACTAATCAGAAGCCAGTTGGCAAGAGGGTCTGGAGCATGTGATTTGCCCTCCAAGATACTGAGCAGAACACAGGCAAGGAACAGATGTGACAACAAACCAAACAAATGACCAGGACACAGACCTCTCCAGGGCTGCCTCCTGCTCCTGTGGCCACCCCTCACCTGCTTCAGGGGTCCTGCTGAGTAGGGGACAGTGGACTCTCGATGCTGGTGATCACACTCCCTCCTGGAGTCCACCTGGGGCTGTGTCTCTTCTCCTAAACCCCCACTTGTTGGTGTCAGGAGACCCTAAGCGACAGAGCTGGCCTCTCCCTTCACATACTTGACCTGGATTGCCTGGTGGTCTTCACTGCCCTGCACTTCACTTCAGTGACTGTGTTTCTCTCTTGTCCTAGCCTTCTCTCCATCAGTACTGACCTTACGGGGCTGGGGCCTCACCATGCCCTTCCCCTATGCCTGCTTAAGTTATAAGACCACAGATGATGCCGCCAAATTCCAAAGGTTTCCCACCAAGCACTCTAGTTAAGAGTCCAGGCTGGGGGGACTCTCAGACCTGAGGTCAAAGCCAGCTCTGTCACCTACCAACCTTGAACAAGTGATTTTACCTCTCTAAGCCTGAATTTGCTCATCTAAAAAAAGGGGAATAGCAGGAAGAATAGCAATAATACATACTTGCAGGGCAGAGGAAAGAGAAAGGCTTACAGCTTATCTGTGAGGTAGTCGTTGCAGGTACAAGAAGAAAAATAGCAACTGAGCATTCATTCCACAAATATTGATTGACACTTTCTGTGCATTGGGGTCTGTCTAGGAACAGCAGGGATAGGAAGAGGAGTGAAATATTGTAAGGTAAGACATGAGGAAACCAACTCGAGCTGGCCTCAATGGAAGGATATTTGTTGGCTCACTTAGTTGGAGGTTGGGGGTCCAGAGGTAGGGTGATGTTATGAACTGAATTATGTCTCCTCCACACTTGTATGTTGAAGCCAACAAATGTCTTTCTGTGACTACATTTGGAGATAGGCCCTTTATGGCAGTTGTTAACGTTAGATGAGTCATAAGGGTAAGGTCCTAATCCAATAGGACTGGTGTTCTTATAAGAAGACAGAGAGCTCTCTGGTATCTCTCCCTCTTCTTAAAAGGATAACAGTCCTATCTGGAAGAGATGCCAGAGAGCTCTCTCTTTCTCCACACATACACAGAGAAGAGGCCATGTGAGGTCCCAATGAGAAGGCAGCCATCTGCAAGCCAGGAAGAGAGGCCTCACCAGAAACCAACTTTGATGGCGCCTTGATCTTGGACTTTTAGCTTCCAGAACTGTGAGAAAATAAATCTCTGTTGTTGAATCCACTCAGTTTATGGTATTTTGTTATGGCAGCCCAAGCTGACTAACACTGTAGGCTTCCAAGTTGATGAGTCCAGAAACTGATTCCATTTCCCTGCAATGCTCTTAACTTTGCCCTCCTCTGTGTGTGGTGCCATCCTTAGGCTGGTAGCAAGAGGACTGCCCTAGTTCCAGGCTCTGCAATGTCTAGCGGAAGATAAAGAGAGAAGGTTGTCCATGAAGCTGCCTGATAAAAACAAGCATGCTCTTTCCTAGAAACCCAAATCAAACCTTCCTGGCATCTATTGGCCCTAACTAGGACACATACCTATTTTGGAACCAATTCCCAAGATTTGGGAAAGCCAGGCACGTGTATTTTGTACAGCATAGGAAAAGCTGTAACACAGAGACCCCACATACGAGTGTAAGCAAAATAGAACGTATGTCTCTTTCATATGAGAGTTCAGAAAAAAAAAAAAAAAGCAGTTGAAGACTGATAGGAGGGCTTGGCCATCATTCAAATGTGGTTTCCCTCTCTAGGTCCAAAGAGACAGCTTCAAATTTCTATCATCTCCCAGGGAGGGAGAAGGGCAGAAGGGTCAGGGAAGCACATGCACAGTGCTTTTGAGAGCCCAGCTTAAAAGTGGTCCGATTATGTCTGCTCACTGTTCACTGGGGGAGCACGTAGACTCCTGGCCACATTGAACAGCAAGGGAGGTTGGGAAATGTAGTCTTTAACGAGGCAGCCATCTGCTCGCCAAAAATCAGGAGTTCTGTTATTTAAAAAGGGGATGGTGCATATGAGTAAACCAGAAAGGTCTCTGCTGCACTCAGATTAGTTAGGGCCAGGTTCCTGAATCAATTATTGGGAAGGGTCAGTTTCCACAGAGCCCCATGGGCTTGCTTCTTCAGTCTCTATACTTTGGGTCTGTCACAGCAGCTTAGCTCATACTCTAAATACTGCACTGCGCCTTGCGTCACCTTGGCTTCTCTTAGGAAGCTGGAAGGGGGAGAATGGATGTTGGGTAGCCAGCCAGCAGTGTCCACTACATTATCTGCCCTTGAGGTCCTGAGATGCTGAGGGAAGAGATGGGTTTAAATAGATAACTATGGTCAACATGACAACTGGTAAACTCACAACAATATATAAAGCCCAGTGAAAACAGAGGGAAGAATTAAGAGGAGGCTTCTTAGAAGGAATGGAAGAGAATCATGAGTTCATTTTGGCTGGGTTTTAAAATAGGTATGGGAATTTCCCAATGGTTTTGGTTGAGGAAGGGCATTTCAGACAAAGAGAATGGCAAAAGTATGGAGGCCTATGGGGTGTGGCTCGTGATCTCAGAGTGGAGAACTGGGGGTACGTTGGGATCAGGTAAAGAAGGGCATCTGAAGGCCATGAGAAGGAAGCAGCCTGTCCCACAGGCCTCTGGAAGCCATGGAGGGGTTTTAGGCCTGGGAAGACATGATCAGATCTGTGTCTTTCTCTGAGGGAGGGACTGGAGGATGACTCGTTAGGAAGCTATTTCACAAATTCGGCTGAGTAATAAAGAGCCCGCATCAGATCAGGGCTTTGGTGGTGGGAAAGGAGACAAGGAGACAAGGAGACAGTTTGCAGAGAGATTTTGGTGGGAGAATGACAGAACTTGGTAACTGGGTGACTAAGGGGGGTTGACTGAGAATGGAGGGGGTGGTGGTTTAAATATGGTTAAATATGATCCTGAGTGTACATGCCTGCGCTACAAACCTAGAGAAGGAGTACAGGAAATGCAAGTTTTGGGGGTGAGAGGAGAAAACGCCTTCCCACTGTCCTGAGCTTGGTCCAAGACAGACTTCTTTGGGTTTCTGAAATGTTTAACAGTCTCTTGGTCGGGCGCGGTGGCTCACGCCTGCAATCCCAGCACTTTGGGAGGCCGAGGTGGGCGGATCACCTGAGCTCGGGAGTTCGAGACCAGCCTGACCAACATGGAGAAACCCTGTCTCTACTAAAAATACAAAATTAGCCCGGTGTGGGGGCGCATGCCTGTAATCCCAGCTGCTTGGGAGGCTGAGGCGGGAGAATCGCTTGAATCTGGGAGCAGAGGTTGCGGTGAGCCAAGATCACACCACTGCACTTCAGTCTGGGCAACAAGAGCAAAACTCCGTCAAAACAAAACAAAAACAAAACAACCAAAAAAAAAAAGTCTCTCTTAACTCAAGGCATCTGAACACTCAGTCCCTCCTCTACAGAATACACCCTTACCCCCAAATCTCCAACTGGCTAATTCCTTATTTCCTCTAAGAGCCTTTCTTGATCCCCTCACCAAAGTCAGAAACCCTCTCCTGTGGTCTCATGGCATCCCATTTTTTTCTTTCCCCACCTCTCACTGGTGGTTACTGAATGCCCGTCTTTCTCCAATACACCTGTAATTTCCATGAGGCAGGAACCATGTCTGTATTTTCCACTGCTTCATTGTCAACAATGAAGTATAGTGCCTGGCACATGGTAGGCACTCATGCTGAGTTTGAGGAATCTAACAGTGGCCATTGGAAATACGAGTTGGCTAATCATTTGGATCTAGGCCCATTTGGATAGAATGCAAGGTAATGGCGCCACCATGGGGACAGGTGATGTGACTCTCGTGTAGGCCTGGATGTTGTGGTTTTTCAACAAGGGCTGATTTTTGCCTTCCCAGGGACATTTCTGATTGTCACAACTGGACGTGAATGTAAACATGTATGCTATTAGCATCGAGAGGGTAGAGGCCAGGGATATTGATAAACATGCTATAATACCCAGGACAGCTCCCCACAACAAAGAATCATCCAGCCTAGACTGTCAATAGTGCCAAAGTGGAGAAACGCTGCAGAGATGGGCGAGCCAACTGGCACGGCTGAGTTCCAATTTGGCCTACTGGCTCCTATGGCCCAACCAAGTAAGAGCAAGAGAAGCTTAGCGGCTGTCACAAGAAATATGGACTTGTGATGTGCAGCCAGGAACCATCTTGGATCAGGCCTCAGTCAGAGGCCCCAACACCTTGGGCAGTTTCCCCTTAACTGAACTCCCAGCCGTAAGCCCAGCCGGCCCAGCCTGGCACTCGTCTCTCTGACTCATTCTGTTGGGTTTCTCTCGCTCTTTGGTGGAAGGGCACCACACTCTCTTCCCGCCCCATCTGCCTCGCTGATTATTTTCAGCTTGGCTTGCAGAGGTCCAACACTGCAATTACTCCCCAACCTCAATGGCTCCTTCTGAAAATAACATTTGGGTCGAAGAAAACCTCAGTCTGGTGGGCTGGATTTTATACTAAACAGTTAAAGAATGGGTGTGGGCAAGGGGGTGGGGGTGGGGACAAGGGAGTGGCACGATGGTACAATTAAGAGAAGAATCTGGAAGAAGGGGAAAGGAAAGGAAATGGAGAGAGGGAAGAGGTGGTGGTGGTAAGGGCTGTTGCAGAAAGAAAATAGATGGGCAGGGGTCATCAATTTTCTAAAAGTCTTACACCAAGTCTTTATTTCTGCCTCTAATTGAAGGTTTTGTTTGCTGTAATAACCCATCCCCACCCCCAATCTTTGAGGCCTGGGAAATTCATGTCTGCCTGGGGCCAGAAGAATTAGTCTATGGGCATACCAATCTTTATCCAAGTTAGTGACCAGATTTTCCAACCCCAAAATAGAAGACACATGGTCTGACATAGGCTTTTTGTTCTCTTTCCAGATGAGAATGGCAGTCTGGGAAATGTAGTTTTAATGTGGATAAGGGGAATTTCTAAGTGTTTCCATGGTCAATGGAGGACAGTAGATAGGATGTTCAAAATAGGGATTGTCACGGACATCAGAGATTTATGGGTTACTTTAGAGAAGAAAATGATATTATTCTAAGTGAAGTAACTCAGGAATGGAAAACCAAACATTGTATGTTCTCACTCATAAGTGGGAGTTAAGCTATGAGGATGCAAAGGCATAAGAATGACACAATGGACTTTGGGGACTCAGGGGAAAGGGTGGGAAGGGGGTGAGGGATAAAAGACTACAAATTGAGTGCAGTGTGTACTGCTTGGCTGATGGGTGCAACAGAATCTCACAGATCACCACTAAAGAACTTACTGATGTAACCAAACACCACCTGTTCCCCAATAACCTACAGAAATAAAACAATAATAAAAAATAAAAAAAGAAGAAAATGAAACATGGGAAATGAGAAACTTTGTCCCATCCAGGTAAAGGGGAGGAGGGGGATCTAGGGAGTGTGGAAAGAAATGCCTGGAAGCACCCTTTGGATTCCAAAGGTGCTTTTAAAAAAAAGGTGCTTTAAAAAATTTTTTTAAAAAATTTAAAGGCTGATTGACCTACCTTCTATGACTGTCGTGAGAATGAACTGAAGTTTGCAAAACGTAGGCCCTTGCACTTAGCACTAAGTAACCAGTAGTTCATGAGTGCTGAGAGAGATTCTTGAATGCAGTTCCTTAACGCTTGTTGGCATTTCTGCCTGTTCTGTGTCACTAACTCAACTTGCCCTGTGGAGACCTCTCAGGGTCAGCCCATTGACCTCTTTGGGTAGTGATGCCAGTGCTGCCCACTGTTACAGAATGTGCCCTCGGAAGGAGTCCTTAGAAGGCTAGAGGGTCCTTCAGCCTTCCATGTGGATGGCTCCATCAATCTGGAGGGGAAAGAAAAGGCCTTCCTCTATTCAGGGCCCACTTTGTTCATTCATTCAATACTATTTTAACGGGTGGCCACCATGTGCCAGGCACTGGGCTGGGTACTGGAGATACAGCACTGACCAAGGCAAGACTCTGTGCTCAAGGAGCTTCTGGTCTAGTGAGGGAAGCAAGTATTTACAGTACGGTGCTATTCAGTGCTAACATCCCGGTAAGTATCAAGTGCCAGGAGAGCACATGGGAGGGGCCCAAACCGAGCCTTAGAAGGAAGAAGAGAACTCTAAACTGGGACAGATGTCCTGAGTTGGTTGGATCAAGGGTGTATGAAGAAATTGATTCTGGGCTGGGCATGGTAGCTCACACCTGTAATCCCAGCACTTTGGGAGGCCAAGGCGGGTGGATCACGAGGTCAGGAGATCGAGGCCATCCTGGCTAACATGGTGAAACCCTGTCTCTACTAAAAATACAAAAAATTAGCCAGGCGTGGTGGTGGGTGCCTGTAGTCCCAGCTACTTGGGAGGCTGAGGCAGAAGAATGGCATGAACCCGGGAGGTGGAGCTTGCAGTGAGCCGAGATCGTGCCACTGCATTCCAGCCTGGGTGACAGAGCGAGACTCCATCTCAAAAATAAATAAATAAATAAATAAATAAATAAATAAATAAATAAATAAATAATGATTCTGCTTATTTTACAGATGAAGAAACTAAAAGCTTCAGATCATAAAATTAGTAACAGCAAAACCAGTACCTGAACCCTGGCTGACTGGATTCTCATGCTCCCCTATGCCAGTACCCTGTGTGCCCATCTCCCAGGTAGCCTTCATCCAGGCCCTGACATTTGATCTTGGCCTTGAAAGAGGGGTAAGATTTGGAGAAACTGTGGGTCCTCCTTGGATAGGGCAGCCATGTAGGCTCTGGAGACAGGCTAGTGGAGTTTGCATCCTGGCTCTGTGATCTTAGGCAAGTTACTTAACCTCTCTGTGCCTCATTTTTCTCCTTTAAAATGTAAACAACATCCACCTTCTGTGGTGTCATAAGGAGTAAGAACATGTAAAGTGCTTAGAATAATGCCTGAGACATTGACAATCACTCAATATGTTAGGTAGTATTACCTCCAGAGTTTTTGTTTGTTTTTGAGACAGGGTCTCACTGTCACCCAGGCTGGAGTGCAGTGGCACCATCATAACTCACTGCAGCCTCAACCTCCCGGGCTCAAGCAATCCTCCCACCTCGCCTCCCCGGTAGTTGGGACTACAGGCACGCGCCACTATGCCCAGCTAATTTTTGTGTTTTTAGTAGAGATGGGTTTTACCATGTTGCCCAGGCTGGCTGACCTCCCAAAGTGCTGGGATTACAAACATGAGCCATTGTGTCCAGCAATTACCAGAGTTTTTCACCAAATGTGGTAGACGAGACAATTTAGCATATATATATATATATATATATATATGGCTGGTCAAGTGAAGCAGTGTGAGTGGAGAAGAAAAGAAAAAAGAAAAGAAAGAAATCTGTAACTGAATGTGATCAGTTAGTTGCAAACACCACTGCACTCGGACCAGCCCATATATATATTTTTTATTTTAATAGTTTTGAATTTATTTTCAGCCTGTAGCTTTGCTAATGTTATTGCTTAGGGCAAAGCTATCTAAAAAAGGGAAACGGTTTAAAGTTAAAGAAAAAGTTAATAAAATAAAAGTCTATTAAAATATATAATAGTGGTGGAATGTGGACATGGAAGCAAACCGTGAAGGCAATATCCGAACAGCTGAAAATTTTGGAAAATAATCGGTGACGTCTCCTGCTCATAAAACCTAAAACAGATGAGCGAGGCAGAGGAGATACTGACAAAGGAGGTATCAAAATCTTGCCTCCTTTCCGCCCCGTAGCCACAATGCCTCCCTTCTTAAGAAAGTGTGTGGTGTGAGGGCCCAGACCCGCGAGGCTTGACTGTGCTTCCGAGCTGTGGATCCTGGACAGTGCTGCGGATCGGGGGCGCAGGAGAGGGACGCCGAATCCAAAGGCCCAAGTCTGGAAACCGAAGCCAACTTCCCAACTTCGCTCTGCCGGTGCGTTTGGGGAGATTTGGGCCTCTCTGATTTTTTTGGATCACTGGGTCAATCAGTCAGCCAATGCCTCGGGAGAAGTTTAATTAAGCTCAGATCGCAGGCGCGAGCTGCCAGAGGTCTCCCTGGCCGACCGGCCCCGCCCCCCGCACATCTGGTGAAAAGCTCCCCCTCCGCCCTTTGGGGCGGGGCCGCAGCCCGCGCATGCGCGTCGGCCCGGTTCCCGGCGCCCCGCAGCAGGACTCAACTCCCAGAACAGCGTTGCAAACTGTTGCATCAGACAGCAAGCAGCCGGTCGGGCTGCCAGGGTTTCTAGGAAGATAGGAAGGGTTTGAGATCCTCTGTGGTCGCCTGGGAGCTTTGGCTGTCACTCACGGTGTTTACATGCCGGTAACGCGATCCCCTAAAATATCAAGCTTGCACCCATCAGAGGAGGGCCATAGCCACAGGTGAAATTCCCTGAACGCCATTGCTCCTGTCCTCACTCCACGCCCTGACCCAGGCGGGACTAACTGAACTGGACTTCGTCTGCTTTATTAATGGCAAGGGCCCTGAAGGAATCAGCTGGGTTCGATTTCTCTTCCCAAGTACAAGAATGCCCCCTGAGGAATTTCTCACTCTGTGAAAGTGCAGAACTAATTTCCCCTGACAAGTGCTATTGCCGGTTCCCAAAAGGGTTTGGAAGGATCCCAGCAGAAATGTTCAGTGGTTTCCAAATCTCTTTACCCCAGCAGCTGGACACACAGACCCTGAGCTAGGAGCCCCTTTGGGCATCCAGAACTTCTTGGTGGGTGGACACACGTCCTTGACACATAGGTCTTCCTTTTGTCGTATCTCAGGCCCCTTGTTATGAAGACTTTGGATATTAGCCAGAAAATGCACAACCACAAATTCATGCACACATATATATTGAGCAGCACACATATACAATGAGTTCTCTGGGTCCAAATGGCTTTAGCAACTCAGGTCAGTGGAAAAGTCGTTCTTACGTTCCCTCACTCTTCCGGCCTCTGGGCCATTCTTCCTCAAAGAGAGAAAATAATGCTGTATCTAGAAGGGATAGGACAAGCTAAGCTGGTGGGTGGGATATTCAAGAAGAATGAGAGCACTGATTTGGAATCTAGTTTTTAAAGGGATTTTCAAGGACATAATCTGAATCCCATGGCTCAATCCTCTTTTTTTTTTTTTTTTTTGGAATGGGTCAAGACCAAGATCATTCAGTATTAATGGATTTTCCAGAAAGACAAAAACTGGCAATTTACCTTGAGCATTCTGCATCTTTAGGGTGTTGATGGTGAAAGTCTATTCCCTGTGAATAATTCTGAGAACTAAAACAGGCCTAATGTCTTCCTTCCCCTTCATTATTATCAATCACTCGATCCCAAGATTAAAAAAAAAAAGACCCAAAAGACTCATAAGCATTATTCGATGCGTCCCTTGCCAGACAGTCACTGTTGTTTGTTTTAGCTAGCATTTTCCTGTGAACAGTGGAGTATTATGTCACTATGGGATTCTCATTGTAATAGATGTTTCATAAATATGACCTGAATTATTTCAGTTGTCACAGTGTTCTTATGAATGGAAGGAAAGCCAACTAGGAAAGGATGGGACGGCATTGGCAGGTCCTGGAGCTAGAACATTCCCAAGTTCTGCTCCTGAAGGTCCATCAGGATCCAAACCTGCCAAATGGGTACCCCCAAGGTGGGGTTCTAAAGTCAGCAGGTATGGTCTCAGGAAGCTGCCCGGAGCTGATAGAATGTCAGATGTGTCTGGTCAGGCATGGTGGCTCATGCCTGTAATCCCAGCACTTGGGAGGTGGGCGGATCATCTAAGGTCGGGAGTTCGAGACCAGCCTGACCAAAATGAAGAAACCCTGTCTCTACTAAAAATGCAAAATTAGCCGGGTGTGGTGGTGCATGCCTGTAATCCCAGCTACTCGGGAGGCTGAGGCAGGAGAATCCCTTGAACCCAGGAGGCTGAGGTTGCGGTGAGCTGAGATGGTGCCACTGCACTCCAGCCTGGGCAACAAGAGTGAAATTCCGTTTCAAAAAAAAAAAAAAAAAAAAGTGTCTGAGTAGTTGTTCCCACATGGAGAAGCAAGTCAGTTACTATGGTGGAGCCAAACCTGAAAGTTGGAGCCATGAAGAAAGGAGCCAGGTGGAGGTGGGAACAGGAGAAGGTGAGCCCATGAGCTCATGCTAGGTTCTCTGCTGTCCTCCCAGCACCTACATATAATGGGCTCTCAATACATGTCTGTGGAGTGAAGGTACTGAAAGAAGGAGGGAAGAAGAAGCAGACTGAGGAAAGGGCAAAGAAGTCCAATAATTTTGCAGGAGGCCACCTGGGATGGCCAGGGTATTGGGTGAAGAGGGGGAATTCTTCCAGTTTAAAGGCACAGGGCAATACAGTCAGAACTATTAAGTGACAAGTCCCATGACTTTGTTTTCCTCGTTTGGAAAAACCTCCAGTTGGTGGTTCCAGAGCTGAGCAGTCATTCTACTTCACCAAGCCTAGTGACATCATCACCTATTGCCTCACCTTGATTGAATTTCCAGAGCAAATTTCTGGAAAAGGGAGGGGTCTGAGGAGTGACTGAGATCTAGAGGACAGGAATATCACCCCAGAAGCAACACTTCAAAACCATAAGCAGGCCGGGCGTGGTGGCTGATGCCTGTAATCCCAGCACTTTGGGAAGCTGACGTGGGCGGATCACCTGAGGTCAGGAGTTCGAGACCAGACTGGCCAACATGGTGAAACCCCATCTTTTCTAGAAATACAAAAATTAGCCGGGTGTGGTGGCAGGTGCCTGTAATCCCACCTATTCGAGAGGCTGAGGCAGGAGAATCACTTGAACCCAGGAGGCAGAGGTTGCAGTGAGTTAAGATTGTGCCATTACACTCCAGCCTGGGCTACAAGAGTGAGACTCCGTCTCAAAAAATAAATAATAATAATAATAATAAATAAAACCATAAGCAACGTGGTAGCCCAGATGGTCAGATGATGCAAGCATGTACTAAAAGGGTGATTTGTTTTACACATTCATTGGGCACTCACAGATTCTAGACACTATACCAAGCCCAGACCCAGACAAAGCTTCTGCCCTAAGGGCTTATGATCTAAATTCCTTGTGGAAAGTCTGTTTTTGAAATGTTTAAGGCATCTCATTTAATCCTCATTTCCATTTCAAGTCATGTACCTCCTTCCTGAGAAACCCACCACATTTTAAGTTTGTAGCTGGCTTTCCTTCTGTTTTTGCTATTTATGTGCCAATTTAAAGGGTGGGGAGAGCCACATTAATTTTAAAATAAAACACAAATAGCAAAATGAGGCTTGGTTAAAGGAAAAACCACAAAAGGGATTTTTTTTTTCTTTCTCCCATACTTTTCAGATTTTCCTAGAACCACCTTTATTTTCTCAGAGCCCAGACATAGAAAGTGAGTGGGCCTCTCCGGATGCTCTTCCAAGCTAAAGCCAAAAGCCTCATTCTTATTCTCTCCTTGCACCTTTAGGTTTTGTTTTTCTGTTCAACATCTGAGTCCCACATTGGGGACTCAAGCTGGTCAAGCCTCCCATGACATGTGGTATTTCTATGCACTCTCAGCGTAGATTTTGATTTGTTTTTCATGATTTGCATCTTACCTCTTCTGTTCAGTTGTTTCAGCGTGTACATTCTGGGTGATGAGAACATAGCTTTAAAGTCAGACACTCCTGGGAAGAATCCCAGCTTTGCCACTTACCAGCCTTGTGACCTCATCCATCAAACAGCAATCATCATCCACACCTCTTAGGGCTGTAGTGAGGATTAATGAGTCAAAGCACATAAAGGGCTCAGCGCAAAAGAAGCACTCTGTACTCGGTAGCTATTATGAAAATAGATCCTTTCATCTGTGTGCGCCTACTTAACCAACCCTCCCCATACCCACCGTATTTTGGAGAAGAGAAAAATTAGTCATTTATTCCAAGTAGATGATGTATCCCTATTTTAAATCACCAGAGGGCGAGAAGGGGAAGCAAGGCTGAATTTGACTTGCAGACATCTAGGCCTTTTAATGGGATGGGAATCAGTGTCCGCGCCTCTCAGCAGATGACAAAACCCGCTGTGCAGGGACTGGGGAAGTCTTGAAGGCCAGTGGTGGGATGGCAGGAGCACAGAAGATGGGGAAAAGTGGTCAGGGAAAGCAGGTCCAGGGCTGAAATGGTGGGCCTGAGGGATGGCAGCCACCAGGAAGGGAAGCTTCTTGCTTCGGGGTTCTGAGTCCAGGCGTCTGCAGGCCGACGTCAGCCTGCCCCGAGGTCCCAGTGACAGTGAGATCCAAGGCGTGTGCGGCAGCGCCCTCTGCCGGCCGCGCGGGGCAGGCGCCCAGCCCAGAGCCCGGCCCCGCAGTTCTGCAATGGGGACTCCAGTTCCCTCCGGCTGCCTCCGCCCCCGCTCCATCCCGACTGAGGACCGCGGACCCGTCCCGGAGTAGATTCCCGGAGACGCCTCCCTATCCTACGCCTGCGGGCTGAGCGGGGACGATGCTCAGACACACCCAATTCACCAGCGGATCGGAGGCCGCAGGAACCCATCCAAACCCCGCAGGGGCTGCGCCTCTGGGACCCAGGGCCAGACCCTGCTGGGCTGTCGGAAGTGGCATCGCCTATGGCCAAGACCGCGGGTTCTGCGTACAGAAAGGAGCCCTGGGTTCGCTTTCTGTCTCGTCCATTTTCCAGCTAGGTGACCTTGGGCAAGGTATTATACTTAAATTTCCATGTGCCTTAGTTGCCTCATCTTTAAGATGGACAGAAGGATCCCGTCCTTAGTGGGTTGACATGAGGATGGCATGGGGTCCGACAGCCGCGGTTGGAATTCTGGCACTGACATCAGCTAGCTGTGTGCCCTGGGGCAAGTTACTTAACCTCTCTGTGCCCGGGTTTCCTGCAAAATAGGGATGATAATGGTACTTACCTCCGAGGGTTGTTGCCTGCAAAGCGCTTAACACAGCACCTGGCACAGAGTAAGCGCTCAATAAATGGTGGCTACTATGGCTGTGGTCGTTATTATTGTTCCTAAAGGCGCTGAGCACACGAGTGGAGCTCTAGCTGGCAGCTATTATTAGTCTGTTTCTTAGGTCCAGCTATTTCTTTCCGGGCATTGTTCAAATCTTTTACCAAGAGCTCGCGTCCTTATCAGTAACCGAAGGACAGCCGGCCTTCCAGAGTTTGGAATGAACGAGGTTCCCCCGGAGGAGGGCCAAGGACGCGGCCGCGGGCTGCCGGGACCGGGACCTCCCGGAGGAAGCCCGCGCCGCGCCGCCTCCGCCCGGGCCTCCAAGAGCGCGTCAGAGCCGCAGTGACGTCGCCGGGCCTGCACGTGCGGGGAGCCTGGAGGGGGCCGGGAGGGCAGGAGGTCGGGCCGCTGGCAAGAGGCGCCTCGGGCCGCGCTGGGACCCTGCCCTCCGAGGCGGCCAGAAAAGCTGCGGGAAGGCCCGGCCTGGGTCCGCTGTTCCGCGCCTGCTCGCGCGGGGTGCGCTCGGGGCGCCGCCTGCCTGCAGCCCCGCGGGGAGGCCGGAGATGCCGACGCCCGCTCCGGGCCCCGGGGCCCGCTCAACCTGGCCGGGGGAGCTGAATTCCCGGCAGCCATGCGGCGTCGGCGCGGTCCTTTGCGCCCAGTCCCACCCGCCCGGATCCCACTCGTCGCCGTCCCCCAGCGACTCCCTCCGTTTCTTCCCCCTCTGTCCTCCGTCCGGACCAGCTCGTTTGCTGTCAGCGGTGGAGAGCCACTCTCAAGAGGCACCTCCCACCTCCGGCTCCCCGCCTGCAGCCCGGGCGCGCCCATCCTATCGCCCTCCCGACAGCTCCACGCGGTTGGCCCCGCGCGCACCGCCACTCGCCGCGTGTTGACCCGATTATTGTCTATCGCAGAGATGGCGCGACCGCCCAGCCCCTCGTCCCGATGCCTCGCCTTCCCTCCTGAACACTTCTCCAGGCACTCTGCACTCCATCCTCATTCCCACTTCATCCAGACCTCCCCGGCGCCCCGCCCCCCTTGGCTGTTGACACATTCCCCTCAAAGGTCTCCCCTGCATGCCTGTCTTCTTCAAATCCATCCTCCTCGCTCTGCCAGAACAGCCACCTGCAACCCCTGTTTTGCCATGCCTCTCGGCTTGGGGCCGCCCGGTCTTCATGGATGCCCTAGTCTGCCATTTTCTACACCACGCCTCCCGAGCTAGGCTCGGAGGCTGGAGCCCGCTGGGGCCACACTCTTGAAGGTCCTCAGGTCTTTGCTGCAGTTAGGCCCTATCCAGAGAATTTTCCCCTTCCTCCCTTCTCCCCCTCCCCCTACCGGCTTCCTCTTACTCATCCTCCAGAACTCAAGATGTGAGTCACCTTTTCAAGAACGCCCTCCCTGTTCCGCTATCTGGCCGAGTGAAGTGTCCCTGGGCCGCCTGCTGATTTTGTCATATTTAGGGGAGAGGCTTGAGCCTTCAGGATGGCCTGTGGGGTCCTGCATGGTCTGTGCACACCCCCTTCGCCTCCCCTCCCCTCAACATCAGCTCCTTTCTTCCCCTGCTCTGGCCACACAGGGGGTCTCAGTCCCTGGCCCCTACCTCACCTTCCCAGTCCAGCCTCTTAGCGCAGGCTTCTCTGCCTGAAACACCTTGCCGCCCTTCCTCTTCTACTCAATTTTCAGCTGTCATCTTAAGTAAGACTCAATTCGTCTGAGAAGCCTTCCCTGACCCACCCACCCCCAACTCAGTGGAATTCGCCTTTAATAGGTCAAAGTGCAATTCAAAAAAATTTAAAGCATACCAAAAAACTATAGCGAATAATATAATTAATCACTATTCTGTGTGCCTTCCCCTCCCCTAGCCACGTCTTTGTCAAAGCTTAACATTTGCTCTATTTTCTTCAGATCTTTTTTAAAGGACATAAAACCTCACAGATCTAGTCTTCTGAACTCATTTCTGTCCCTCCCCTATGGTAATCACTTTCTGCCTTTGAGTTTTACCATTCCTATGCATACTTTTGTATTTTTGCTACATATATTTGTGCCTGTAAGCACTTTACAGAATTGTTTGGTATGTTTTTAAACTCTGAAGAAATACCATTATACTGGGTATATAATTGTGCAACTTGCTTTTTTCACCCAGCAGGATAATCTTGAAATGTGTTCACATGGATACACGTAGTTCTAGATTATGCAATTTTCACTTCCTATTTGGGTCCCATTATATGAGTTCACCATACTTTATTTACCAATGTCCTTCTGAAGGACATTCAACTTATTTTTAATTTTTTTTCTGTTAGAAACAATATTGTGATTAGTATTTTTTATACCCATCCCCTTGTGTGAAAGTAAGTCTTCCAGTAGCCACTTGGGTGCAGAATTGCTGGATTCAAGGCAGAGGAACTGGCAGCTTTACTCAGCATGACTAAAAGTTTTTTCAAAGTGGTTGTACCATTCACAGTCTGATAGCAATATATGGAAGTTCCCATGCTTGGCATCCTCAACAACATTTGGTATTGTCAGACTTCAAAATTTTTGCCAAGCTGATGGGTGTGAAATGGCCTTTCAGTGTTTTAATTTGCAATTCCCTGTTAACAGGTGAGACTGAGCACACTTTCATTTGTTTGTTGGCCATTTCCTCATTTTTAAGTTGCTCATTGGTTTATTTGACAGTGCTTCTGTTAGATTATCTCTTACTATGAGTAGGAGTTCTTTATATATTCTGAGTACTAATCCTCTGTCAGGCTGTGGCCCATCTGGTGTCTTTTATTGCACTCAATTGCAATTTTAAACATGTATAATTATTTGATGAATGTTTGACTTTCTTATTAGATGGTAAGCACCAAGAGAAGAGGAACTATCCACTGCAACTAGTGCAGTGTCTAACACATACCAGAAACTCAATAAATACTTCTGGACTGAATTGTATTGACATTATTATTATTATTATTATTATTATTATTATTATTATTATTATATGTTTGCCTCTTCAGCTGTCACCCTCAATGTCCCACAAGGCTATCAACTCCTTGAGAGTGATATTTTATTCATCTTTGTATCTCCAACACCTATTATAACACAACACATCTGGCACATTTTATATACCCAATACTTTTTAATTAATTTCCTTTGAACTTTCTCTTCTTTCCCTCACCTTTCTCCTCATCCCATCTTCTATCTCTGAACCCAGTTATATTACCTATACAATGAATGATAAAGACCTCCTAGGGTGTTGGTGAGAATCACCCGATACAGTGGATGCGTTAAGTAGAGCAGTGCTTGGCACATAGTTGGTGCTCAATAAGCAGTGACTTTCAGTATTCCTACAACAATCATTTTGGTGACTAAGGATACACTCTGCTTAATTTTAACAGACAAAATTCTTTCAGAGAGAGAATAAAAGTGAACCTTCTAAAGATCTGGTGACCATTTTTTTCCCCGTTACTGGCATTTGACCCACAATATAAGGCTCAGTCCCAACGTGATCTCTGAAAAGCATCAAATATCATTCTTCTCCTTTTCTTTTATAAATTCCAGAAATATCAAAGGCATATGAACCATACATAGAATTCAAACCTTTAAGTAGAAACACATAAAGGCCAATTCCAAGTCTTTGGCCAGAAGTTGGAGAGCAGAAAGGAGGTCTGTCGGGGATACTAGAGGTGGGATTTAGTGGCTGCAGCCGAAGACAAAAGCAGAATTCTTACCTCTGTTTCCGACATCTGTCATTGATTGTGTGACTTTTGACCTATTTATAAAATGAAAATAATAATTCTTGCTTTTTCTAGACATTGAAATTCACTAATGAGTCATTTGAAAATGCTTTGTGACCCTCAACGTGAAAGGCAGTTTGAGTATATTTAAACATAGCTCCTCCAAGGTAGATGGGCCAGCAACATCTGTCCCTACCACGCAGGAACATGATCTCTATTCTGCCAGACAGGGAGGCCCAGGAAGGTGGATTTTGTCCGCCCAGACTTGTAAGTTACCGACAAGCAGGGGAAAAACCCAAGAGGGAAGTCCTCGTTCTGTGCACGCACCCCCTTCACCTGCGGCCTGACATTTGCAGGAATGATAAATCTCAGGGCAGTCTTATTTGATCAAGATGTAATACTAGGCAGAGGCCTGTCATCTCTAGGGTTTCAGCTCCGCGGGAGGAAAGCAGGTGGCTGCACTGGGTCTGTTGCAACGTGAGCCCACCAGAGAGAACAATTAACGCAGTGACCGCTGGCAGCCGCCTCTCCCCAGAAGGGCCGAAAGGAGCTTTGCTGAGAGATGTAACAGGAGAAGGTGGGCTGAACCCAGAAAGCCCCTCTGGAGGCTGACCTTCTCCTCAACTCAGAGACCTACAAAAGGGCCAGGAAAAGCAGTAGAGATGGCTGTTTGACAACTCCATGTCGTAGCGTCCTAGGGTTAAGCTGACCCCTACTGCTGTGGGAACCAGCAACAACACTGGAGCTGGAAGACCAAGCTTTGAAATCCAACTGTGAAACTTACTAGCTGTGCAATTTGGTCACTAACCCTCTGTGACTCAGTGCCTCAACCGTGGGTATCATAAGAACACTGACCCATCAAGTTTGCTAAGGAAGATTAAATGAGAAAAGGTAGGTGATAGTGTGCCACACAGGGAAGGGGCTCCATCATTACTTATTAAACTGATTCAAACACTAAAAACTCATTTAAGACTGAGCACAACTCCCTCCCTTAAACATTTTTTTGTCTTTTTTTTTTAAATTCTTAAAGCAATGCTTGAACATGATAAAACAAAAACAGAAACAAAAGCCACAACAGCACGAAGTGGGACACAGTGAAAAACAAACATCTCTCCCATGGGAAACCCTTGTCACCCATTTCTCTTCCCCTGGTGGCAATAAATGTTACCAGGTTCTGGTGAATCTTTCCGAAGATATTCTATGGATATACATAAAGGATCTATGTAGGTTTTAAACTGTGCCTCTTTTTATACAGCTAACATGCTATGTACATTCTTCTTATAGTTTGCATTTTACCCCCACTTAATGTAGCCTGGAACTAATTCCATGTAAATTTATATAAAGCTACATCATTCTTTTTGAGGCCGCAGGGTGTTACACTGCATTTATTTACCAGTCCTCTACTGGTGGACATTTAGGTTTTTATTAGTTTTCTGTGTCAGCTGTAACAAATTGCCATGAATTCAGTGCCTTAAAACAATATAAATCTATGATCTCACAGTTCCGCAGTTCAAAAGTCTGAAATGAGACTTGCTGGGCTAAAATCAAGTTATCTGCAGGACTGTGTTCCCTCCTGGAGACTCTAGGTGAGAATCTGTTTTCCTGTGCTTTGCAGCTTCTGGGACACCTGCATTCCTTGGCTTGTGGCCCCTTCCTCTGTCTTCAAAACCAGCAACAATAGGTTGAGTTTTTCCTCCAATCACATCACTCCAACTCTCCTTTTCTACCTCACTCTCCCACTTTTTTTTTTTTTTTTGAGATGGAATCTCACTCTGTTGCCTAGGCTGGAGTGCAGTGGTGTGATCTTGGCTCACTGCACCTCCATCTCCCAGGTTCAAGCAATTCTGCCTCAGCCTCCCAAGTGGCTGTGATTACAGGTGCCTGCCACCACACCCAGCTAATTTTTGTATTTTTAGTAGAGATGGGGTTTCACTGTGTTGGCCAGGCTGGTCTTGAACTCCTGACCTCAGATGATCTGCCCACTTCAGCCTCCCAAAGTGCTGGGATTATAGGCGTGAGCCACCTCGCCCAGCCTCTCCCTCTTCCACTTTTAAGAACCCTTGTGATTGCACTGGGCTTACCCTGATAACCCAGGATAATCTCCCTATTTTAAAGTCATCTGTTTAGCAACCATAACTCCATCTGCAACTTTAAATCCCTTTCCCATGTAACATAGCATATTCACAGGTTCTGGGGATTAGGATATGGACATTTTTGGGGGGCTATTACTGTGTCTACCAAAAGATTATTTCATATCTTTTGCTATTACAACAGAACTGATGAATATCATTATATAAACGTTGTTTCTACCTGTGAGTCTATATGAAAGATAAATTCTTAGAAGTGGACTTATCTGGGTAAAAAAAAGTGTGTTTCTTTAAAATGTTTGGTATACTGAGAGTGACACTGTAAAAAAATTTTTTTGGTAGGTAGGTATTGTCAAATTTTGCTCCAATGAAATGAGGTTGTAGCAATTTACACAACTACCACCAATATATAATACCATTTTTTTGGTTTTAATCAGTAGTCTTTATTATTTTTATTTTTTTTGTTTTTAAAATGTGCTTTATTGGAACTTTTATTTATTTTATTTTATTTATTGTATTTTGTTTTTAATCTTCTTTAAGTTCCAGGATGCATGTGCAGAATACGCAGGTTTGTTACATAGGTATACGTGTGCCATGGTGGTTTGCTGCCCCTATTAACCCGTCATCTAGGTTTTAAGCCCAGCGTGAATTAGATATTTCTCCTAATGCTCCTCCTCCCCTTGCTCCCCACCCCCCACCTTTTTTTTTTAGCAGTTTTATGTTAACAGAAAATTGATCAGAAAGTACAGAGAGTTCCTGTACACCTCCCCCTCCCCCCTATAGTTTCCTCAATTATTTACATCTTTTATTAGTGTGGTACATTTGCTATAATTGATGAACCAATGCTGATACATTGTGATTAACAGAAGTCCATAGCTTACATTAAGGCTGTTTCTCAGTGGTGTACATTCTGTGGGTTTTGACAAATGTATAAAAGGCATGTATCTACCATTACAGTATCATACAGAATAGTTTCACTGTCCTAAAAATCTCCTGTTCCAACTATTTATTCCTCCCTCTCTCCCCACTGCAACCCCTGACAATAACAGATTTTTTTTTGGGAGGGGGATGGAGTCTTGCTCTGTCACCAGGCTGGAGTACAGTGGCGCACTCCGCTCACTGCAACCTCTGCCCCCCGGGTTCAAGTGATTCTCCTGCCTTAGCCTCCCGAGTAGCTAGGACTACAGGCATGCTCCACCATGCCCAGCTAATTTTTGTATTTTTAGTAGAGACAGGGTTTCACGATGTTGGCCAGGATGGTCTCCATCTCTTGACCTCGTGATCCGCCCGCCTTGGCCTTCCAAAGTGCTGGGATTACAGGCGTGTGCTTCCGCTCCCTGCCAATAACAGATTTTTTTATTGTCTTCATACTTTTGTCTTTTCCACAATGTCATATATTTGGAATTATACAGAATATAGCTTTTTTTTTTCTAGCCGGGCGCAGTGGCTCACGCCTGTAATCCCAGCACTTTGGGAGGCCGAGGCGGGCGGATCACAAGGTCAGGATATCGAGACCATCCTGGCTAACACAGTGAAACCCCGTCTCTACTAAAAAATACAAAAAATTAGCCGGGCGCGGTGGCGGGAGCCTGTAGTCCCAGCTACTCCGGAGGCTGAGGCAGGAGAATGGCACGAACCTGGGAGGCGGAGCTTGCAGTGAGCCGAGATTGTGCCACTGCACCCCAGTCTGGGCGACAGCGAGACTCCGTCTCAAAAAAAAAAAAAAAAAAAAAAAAGATAGGCTTCTTTCACTTATCAATGTGCATTTAAGGTTACTCTTTTTGTGGCTTGTTAGTTCGTTTCTTTTTAGCACTGAATAATATTCCATTGTCTGGATGACCATAGTTTTTTAATCCAGTAACCTACTGAAAGACATCTTGGTTGTTTCCAGGATTAAGCAATGATGAATATAGCTGCTATGAACATCTCCATGCAGATTTTTGTGTGGACCTAAATTTTCAACAGTGGGGCCAGTTTTTTTTCTCTTCACTTTTCTTTTCTTTTTTCTTTTTTTTTTGAGATGGAGTCTTGCTTTGTCACCCAGGCTGGAGTGCTGTGGCACAATCTCAGCTCACTGCAACCTCTGCCTCCCGGGTTCCAGCGATTCTTCTGCCTCAGACTCCCAAGTAGCTGGGATTACAGGTGTGCACCTCCACTCCCAGCTAATTTTTGTATCTTTGGTAGAGACGGGGTTTCGCCATGTTGGCCAGATGGTCTTGAACTCCTGACCTCAAGTGATCCGCCTGCCTTGGCCTCCCAAAGTGCTGGGATTATAGGCGTAAGCCACCACGCCCAGCCCTTTTTTTCACATTTTTGAACATGCACTTTTTTAGCAGACTTGTTTTATTTTGGCCAATCTGATAGATGAAAAATGGTATCTAGTTGTTGTTTTAATAAGCATTAATTACGAATGAAGTTGGACATCTTTTCATATTTTTATTTTTATTTCTAGAAATGGTCTGTTTAGGTTTATTTTTCTTTTGGTTTGTTTTTTCTTAGGGATACATGCAGCATTTTTATATAATAAGGAAACTGAAAGTTTGTAAAAATGAGGTCATATTTTTATAATTTTTTTTCAGTTTGCTATTTGTCTTTTTTTTCCATGTAGAAATTTGAAACATTTATAAGTCAAATTTATGCATTTTTTTTTCTTTGGGGTTCTTTGTGTTTTGTCTTTCCCACTCTGAGATTTTATAAAACTCACCTGTTTATCCTAGCATTTTTATAGTTTTACTTTTTACATTTAAGTCCTTCATTCATCTGAAAGGAGCAGATTAAGGTTCCAAATACCACCTTCCCCCATGGATAACTTATCAAGGAATGTTTCGATATAATTTTCAGAATAATAAATCTTTCCTCTTACTTGAAATGCCACTTTTATTATGTACAAAATTCTGGTCAGTAATTGCATCTATTCTGGTCTTTTGTGCTGTTTTGCTTACCAAAGTTTTATATTATGTCTTAAAAAATAACAGCTTTATTAGCCGGGAGCGGAGGCTCACGCCTGTAATCCCAGCACTTTGGGAGGCCAAGACGGGCAGATCACGAGGTCAAGAAATCGAGACCATCCTGGCCAACATGGTGAAACCCCGTCTCTACTAAAAATACAAAAATTAGCTGGGCGTGGTGGCATGTGCCTGTAATCCCAGCTACTCAGGAGGCTGAGGCAGGAGAATCTCTTGAACCTGGGAGTCAGAGATTGCAGTGAGCCAAGATCGCACCACTGCGCTCCAGCCTGGCGACAGAGCGAGACTCCGTCTCAAAAAAAAAACAAAAACAAAAACAAAAAAAATACCCAGCTTTATTGGGATATAATCCACATATTATAAAATATAAAATTCACCCCTTTAAGTATACGATTCAGTGTTTTTCAGTATATTCACAAAGTTGCGTAACTATTACCACGATCTAATTTCACAACATTTTCATCATCTCATATAAAAACGCGATACCCATTAGCAGTCACTTCCCATTCCCTCCACAGCCCCTGGCACCCACGATTCTACTTTTGGTTTCTACAGATTTGCCTTTTCTGGGTATTTGGTAAAAGGAGAATCAGCCGGGCGCGGTGGCTCATGCCTGTAACCCCAGCACTTTGGGAGCACAAGGTCAGGAGATCGAGACCATCCTGGCTAACACGGTGAAAACCTGTCTCTACTAAAAAATACAAAAAATTAGCCGGGCGTCGTGGCGGGCGCCTGTGGTCCCAGCTACTCGGGAGGCTGAGGCAGGAGAATGGCGTGAACCCGGGAGGCGGAGCTTGCAGTGAGCCGAGATCGCGCCACTGCACTCCAGCCTGGGCGACAGAGCGAGACTCCGTCTCAAAAAAAAAAAAAAAAAAAAGGGGAATCATACCACACGTGGCTTTTTGTGACTGGCTTCTTTCACTTAGTGTAATATTTTCAGGGCTCATCCATGTGGTAGCATGAGTCAGTACTTCATTCCTTCTTATTGCTACTTGATATTCCATTGTATAGATCCTACCATGTTATACCACATTTTGCCTCTCCATTTATCAACTGATGGACATCGGGGTTGTTTCCACTTTTTCGCTATTATGACTCATGCTGCTGTTGAACATTAATGTACATTTTTTGTGTGGACCATATATTTTCAAATCTCTTGGAGAATATCTGTCTATCTATCTATCTACACACATACATATTTATATGTATACATATATACATATAAAATTGCTGGGTCATATAATGACTCTTTTTTTTTTTTTTTTTTTTTTTTTTGAGACGGAGTCTACCTCTGTCGCCCAGGCTGGAGTGCAGTGGTGCAATCTTGGTTCACTGCAACTTCTGCCTCCTGGGTTCAAGCGATTTTCATGCCTCAGCCTGCTGAGTAGCTGGGATTACAGCCGTGTGCCACCACACCTAGGTAATTTTTGTATTTTTAGTAGAGATGGGGTTTCACCACGTTGACCAGGCTGGTCTCGAATTCCTGACCCCAAGTGATCCGCCTGCCTCGGCCTCCTAAAAGCACTGAGATTATAGGTGTGAGCCACCACACCTATCCTCTATGTTTAACATTTTGAAGAACCAACGATTGCCAGACTGTTTTCCAAAGTAGTGCATGTTTTACATTCTCTTTTTCTTTTTTGTTTTTGAGACAAGATCTTGCTCTGTCACCCAGGCTGGAGTGGTGTGATCATGCCTCACTGCTTTGAGCCTCCCACCTCAGCCTCCTGGGTAGCTGGGACTACAGGCACCTGCCACCACGCCAGGCTATTTAAAAAATTTTTTTTGTAGAGATGGGTTTCGTTATGTTGCCCAAGGTGGTCTCAAACTCCTGGGCTCAAGCAATCTGCCTACTTCATCCTCCCAAAGTGTTGGGATTACAGGCGTGAGCCACCACGCCCTTGGCTGTTTTTCTTTTTGCCTTTTTTTTGAGACAGAGTCTCGCTCTGTTGCCCAGGCTGGAGTACAGTGGCATGATCATAGCTCACTGCAACCCCCACCTCCCAGGTTCAAGCAATTCTCGTGCCTCGGCCTCTTGAGTAGCTGGGATTACAGGCATGTATCACCATGCCTGGCTAATTTTTGTATTTTTAGTAGAGATAGGGGTTCACCATGTTGCCCAGGCTGGTCTTGAACTCATGACCTCAGGTGATCCACCCACTTCAGTGTCCCAAAGCGCTGGGATTACAGGTGTCAGCCACTGTGCCCCTGGCTGTTTTACATTCTTAACAGCAATGCATGAGGGTTTCAGTTTCTCCATATCCTCCCCAACACTTGGGAATGTTTGTCCCTTTGATTCTAGCCTCCTTATAGGTGTGAAGTGGTATCTCATTGTAGTTTTGATGGGTATTTTCTAATGACTAATGATGTGGAGCATTTTTTTCCTGTGCTTATTGCCATTTGTATACCTTACTTAGACAAAAGTCTATTCAAACTCTTTGCCCATTTTAAAAGTGGGTTGTCTTTTTGTGGCTAAATTATAAGAGTTCTTTTTATATTCTGAATAGTAGCTCCTTATCAGATATAGGACTTGGAAATATTTTCTCCCATTTTATGAGTATGTGTTTTCACTTTCTTGATGGTATCCTTTGAGGCACAAGAGTTTTTAACTTTGATGAAATTCAATTTATCTATTTTTTTTTGTTGTTTATGGTTTTGGTGTCATATCTAAGAAACTACAGTATGTTTCAATGTTCAGTAGGTAGTCTATCCTCACTGTCTTTCCCTCCCCACCCCCATATTTTTTTCCTGGCTATTCTTGCATGCTTATTTTTCCATGTGAACTTTAGAATCAGCCTATCTGGTTCCAAAAGCAATTCGTTTAGCATGTTTTAAAAATTGGAATCATTGTAAATACCATGATTTGTGAAACCGACATCTTTACAATAGTACATCCTCCTATTCAGAAGCAGGATATGTCTTTCCATTTATTCGGACTATCAAGTCCCTCAGCAGCATTCAAAGGCATTCCTCTTCCTTTTTTTTTTTTTTGGAGACAGGGTCTTGCTCTGTCACCCAGGCTGAAGTGCAGTGTCGCGATCATAGCTCACTGCAGCCTCTAACTCCTGGGCTCAAGCAATCCTCCTGCTAAGACACTCCTCTTATACATTTAGCACATCTTTTTTTTTTTTTTTTTTGAGATGGAGTTTCGCTCTGTCGCCCAGGCTGGAGTGCAGTGGCGTGATCTTTGCTCACTGCAACCTCCACCTCCTGGGTTAAAGCGATTGATTCTCCTGCCTCAGCCTCCCCAGTAGCTGGGATTACAGGCACCCACCACCATGTCCAGCTAATTTTCGTGTTTTTAGGAGGAATGGGGTTTCACCATGTTGGTCAGGCTGGTCTCGAACTCCTGACCTCAGGTGATCTACCTGCCTCGGCCTCCCAAAGTGCTGGGATTACAGGCGTGAGCCACTGTGCCCGGCCCATTTAGCACATTTGTATTGGTTGTGTTTTGTGTCATCACTCATATGAATGGAAACTTTTAAAATATTTCCTAACTGGTTGATTGCATGTAAGAAAGGTACTAACTTTTGTATATCAGTCATATAAACAGTCATCTTATTTTATTGATAATTGACATCTAATTATTTCATTGTGAATTCCTGAATTACCTTGAGTTAGAGGTTTACAGTCATATCATCTAAAGATGATAATTTGTCTTTCTCCTTTCCTGTTTTCCTACATCTTGCTTCTTTCGGTTGTCTCACTGTATAGTATAGGCCAGCACTTCCAGAATAATGTTACGTTTAACATTGTTAGTGGTGTGAGTAGAAATTCTCATTTTGCTCTTGACTCTGGGAAATGCTTCCAGCATTTACAGATTTACTGAGCCTTTTTTTCTATGGTGCTCTCTTGTCAGGTTACATACAGCGTTGTGCTGGCTTCATAAAAAGAATTTGGAAATTTTCCTGCTTTCTCTTTGCTCTGGAACAATTTAAATAGCAGGTAGAATTCACCCATGAAACCATCTGGACCTGACACTTTTTTTGGGTATTGCTCTTTGAAAATATTCTCAATTTATTCTACAGTATTTGGTAGGTTTCTTTTTTGGTGCGTGTGTTTTAAAAAACTCTTTTGGAATTAGTTGTAATATTTTCTATTTCCCTAGAAAATCATCTATTCTATCCAGAGTTTTAAACATTTTTGCCTAGGTGGATCGAGGTAAATGTTTATGATTCTATTAATTAGATTGGTGTGTATGGTTATTTCCCAACTGTCATTTCTTGTGTATTTGATCTTTAGAAAGCTGCTAGTGATAGGGGTGGGAAAGGAGTCTTCTGCTGCAGGACAGCCTGTTTCTATGACCAGTCTGAGACTGAGGGCTCTGGATCACAAAATCCCCCAATGCCCAGCCAGTTTGGTTTCGTTTGCGATGATGGAAGACAAACATTTCTCCTCTACCTGGCTTTAGCTGTGATTGAGTGTTTGCCATGTGCCAAGCTCTTAGCTTTTACATTCTCGTTTAATTCTCACAGTCCCATGAGATAGGGAGTACCGCATTATCCACAGTTTACTGGCAGGAAACAGAGACTCAAAGAGTTACAATACTCCTCTGAAGTCACATAGCTAGTAGCTGGCCAGGGTGGGATTAAATACACGGCCCATTCTGCACTTACCTTTACCTCGCCTGGTGTCAGCAACATGGAAACATCCACAGTTGATGACTTTTTTTTCCTTTTAATTGAGATGGAGTCTCGATCTGTCGCCCAGGCTGGAGTGCAATGGTGTGATATTGGCTCACTGCAACCTCCACCTCCCAGGTTCAAGCGATTCTCCTGCCTCAGCCTCCCAAGTAGTTGGGACTACAGATGCGCGCCACCACGCCCAGCTAATTTTTTTGTATTTTTAGTAGAGACAGGGTTTTGCCATATTGGCCAGGCTGTTCTCAAACTCCTGACCTCAGGTGATCTGCCTGCCTTGGCCTCCCAGAATGCTGGGATTACAGGCGTGAGCCACCATGCTGGGCCCACGGTCGGTGACTTCTAACTCAGGCCCATGTTTCTCGGATCTATAAGGTGCCTCACGGTGTGACCTCCCCACTCTTTCCTGTACATTTCTTAGATATTGTTTTGAGGCTTGCTCTGTTCCTGACATTGTGCAAGGTACTCGGAAAACGGCTGTGAAGTGGAGACCACGGACCTCGCTCTCAGACATGGTGTTTATCATCCTGTAGGATGATCATTTAAGAAGCAGAACAATAATTTTTTTTTCTTTGAGGCAGGGTCTCACTGCGTCACCCAGGCTGGAGTGCAGTGGTGCAATCTTCCCTCACTGCACCACGCCCGGCCAATAATTTTTTTAAAAAAACAAACCATCAAGCCAGGCATACTGGCCCATGCCTATAATTCCAGCACTTTGGGAGGCCGAGGTGGGCAGATTGCTTGAGCTCAGGAGTTCCAGACCAGGCTGGGCAACACGGCGTGACCCCATCTCTACCAAAAATACAAAAATTAGCTGGGCGTGGTGGTGCATGCCTATAGTCACAGCTACTCAGGAGGCTGAGGTAAGAGGATCACTTGAGCCTGGGAGGTCGAGGCTGCCATGGGCTGAGATAGCACCACTGCACTCCAGCCTGGGTGACACAGCAAGATCCTGTCTCAAACAACAACAAAAAGGCATCAGATCACAGTGCCTTAAGGTACAGTTGGTTTTTTTTTTTTTTTTTTTGAGACAGAGTTTCTCTCTTGTTGCCCAGGCTGGAGTGCAATGGCGCGATCTCGGCTCACTGCAACCTCCGCCTCCTGGGTTCAATTGATTCTCCTGCCTCAGCCTCCTGAGTACCTGGGATTACAGGCATGCACCACCACCCCGGCTAATTTTGTATTTTTAGTAAAGACGGGGTTTCTCCATGTTGGTCAGGCTGGTCTTGAACTCCCGACCTCAGGTGATCCACCCGCCTCAGCCTCCCAAAGTGCTGGGATTACAGGCGTGAGCCACTGCGCCCGGCTTAAGGTACAGTTTTTGAGGGAGCCCAGGACTAGCTTGAATCACACACATCTGACTCTTAATTGCTTTATGTCTGGGACACGCCTCTTCATTTCTGAGAGCCTTTGTTCCCACATCTGCAAAATGTGGATAACACCACACGTTTTTTTTTCCCACTTGGTAGGGATGCCTCTTACAATTGATGGTGTCTCCCAACGATATCTGGCAGTGTTTTTCTCTTTCCTATTGTTGAAGAAAACAGTGGTATGTCCCATTGATGGCCTTAGGTTGGATGACATATGGTAATAATCACGTGGTGGTTATGAGGACCAAATGAGATAATGTAAGGTGAAAAGCCCTATGCAAATTCAGGTGAAACAGTGCGAATTCAGGTGAAACAAGCATTGGCCCAGATTCTAAACTAAAGTCTGTCATTGCTACTTTGTTGATGACCTTAAGCAAGTTACCCCCGGTGTGTGGTCCCCAAATTTCCTTCTCTGGCCTTCCTTCTCAGCAAAACGAGAGATTTATTTAATTCATTAATTCAGCAAACACCTACTAAGCACATTTTCTGGGCCAGGCACAGTGGCCCTGGGGATGTAAGGACGTGAGACAGGGTGGAAGTGCGTTGTTCAGCAGGATGCAGACAGGGGACAAAGTTCTTCCTGTGAGCCTGCTTCAGTTAAGGTAGAGACTGAAAGCTGATGTCAAAGGTCTCCTCCAGCTTTAAATTCTGTTATTCTGGGACTAGGAGGCGGGACAGACAGGGCAAGCATGTTTGGGGAGGCCGTATGGTATAAGGGTTAATGTAGTGGTCCTGGTGTTGGACAGCCTTGGGCCAGCTCTGTCGCTTTTAAGCTGTGTGACCCTAGGCCAATGACTTAACCTTTCTGATCCTCTGGAGCCTTATCTGTAAAATAGGAGTGACAACAGTCTCCTCTCATAGGGTTCTAGTGAGTGCTGAAAGAGATACAATGTGTATAGTTCTTAGCTTAGTGCCTGGTACATAATAAGCAATGAATGAATGATAGGTAGCTTCCCTGCTTCCTTTCCTTCCTTCCTTCTCTAGCCTTTTCTCTCCTTTCTCCTTCCTGTTTTTCCTTTTCTGCCTCTCCCTCCTTCTCCCCAGTTTTACTTCTGTACTTGAGAAGCGAAAACTTTCTGGAGCAGGAATTCCCTGTCCAAACCTTCCCACTTTCTATTTGGAGGTTGGCACAGAAAAACCAACTCTGCTGAATAAATTGGCTTTCCTTATTGCTAGCCTTTGAAGTGGCTCCCACCCCTGCTGGAAGTTTCTGGTGTTTTCTGCCATGGCTGCCCTGTAGTGAAAGCAGGATGTTCTCTCCACGAGTCAGGGGAGACACAGCCCAAGTCCTAGATCTGAAAAGAGTTATTGGTTCCAAACTATGAAAACTGTAAAAATAAAAAAGTTTAATTAAAAACTATACAATGTAACATTGTGTTAATTGCATTAATTGTTAAATATTGTGTTTCTTTATATTTGAAAACAATTCGTAGGTTGGATTTTTCTCAATTTTCCCCGAGTTCCCAAATAGGCACAATAATTACTGAGAAATTATAGCCAATTGTAAATTCAGTGAGTTGTTTGCCAGTTGTAAATTAAATGAGTATGTTTAGCCAAATTCAATAGCAAAATTATAAAAAGCCCTTTCAAAAAATTTACCATTAAAATTGCTAATATGGAATATTTTAAAGTGTTTTATACAATATAAGCCCTCTCTAGGGCTAGAGAAGACGTTAAAATGCCTTGTGCTGTATTTGGGAGGCCAGGAACCCTCTTTTTGATTCTTCTATTTTTTTCTCCCCAGGATAGCTGATTTTTCCAGTCCTTTGTGAGACATCTAATATTTACAATTTGTAATAGCTTTGGAAAATATTCACAATGTAATAAAAAATTGCAGGATCTTAAGCTATAGATCAGTTTGATCTCAAGTAGTTTAAAAAATTCATACATGCATTTTTTTTTAAAAAAAGACTAGAAAGAATTATACTAAAATGTTAACAGGCTCTCTAGGTGGAACAACATGCATAATTATCTTTTATTTTTTATAGTTTTCATAGTTTTCAAATTTTCTACAATGAAAATGTATTACAATCAGAAAAACAATTTTTGGTAGTTTAAATTTTTTTTTTCTTACTACAAAAGTAATTTATGCTCATTATAGAAAAATCACAAAATACATATAAGCATAAGGAAGGAAAAGAAACATGCAAATTCCACCCACCCAGAGACAACCACTGGGTCCTTCCAGACCTTGTTATGCATACATAAACATTTATATTTTTATCACAAAACAGGATCATTCTGTACATAGTACTGCGTTGAAACCTGCTTCTTTCCCCATAATGTATATTGAGAAATGCCAACAGCACATTTCTATAACGTGATTTTCATGGCAGCATACATTACATTATGAGGACAAACCATAATTTACTTAACCCCTAATTATTAGACATTTATGTTGCTTCCAAAGTTTCTCTATTACAAATAATGCTGTAATAAGAAATATTTTAAAGCACTTAAGAATCCTTTATTTTTACATGGAAATCGTAGGACGCTACCCAACAGATATTTATTTTTTCTTTTTTTAATTTTTATTTATTTTATATTATTTATTTTTAATTATTTTTATTTTTTATTTTTTGGGGGATGGAGTCTTGCTCTGTTGCCCAGGCTAGAGTGCAGTGGTGCGATCTCGGCTCACTGCAACCTCCACCTCCTGGGTTTAAGCAATTCTCTTGGCTTAGCCTCCTGAGTAGCTGGGATTACAGGCACACGCCACCACAACCAGCTACTTTTTGTTTAGTAGAGACAGGGTTTCGCCATGTTGGCCAGGCTAGTCTTGAATTCCTGACCTCAAGTGATCCATCCGTCTTGGCCTCCAAAAGTGCTGGTATTACAAGCGTGAGCCACCATACCCGGCCCATTTATTTATTTTAGAGACAGGGTCTCACTATGTTGCCCAGGCTGGTCTTGAACTTCTGGGCTCAAGTGATCCTCCTGCCTCAGCCTCCCAAAGTGCTGGGATTACAGGCGTGAGCCACTGCACCCAGCCCAGATATTTATTTTTGAATGATGCTAGGCTCTGAGGATGCAAAGGTTGTTTCAGTTGTTATTCCTGCTCTGCAGGAGTTCCCAGTCCAGGAGGAGATAGTGGCAGGAGTGACAAACTATGCCCCAGAAAGCCAGGAAAGGCTCCTCTGGCAAGTGACGTTGAACTAGGACTTGAAGATCAAGTAGGAGTTCACCAGGCAGACAGGATGAGGTTAGCTGGGATATTTCAACAGCATGGACAACAGGGCATGAGAAAATGGGAAGGTAATATCTTATCTGGAGCCTGTGGTGTGCTGCGTACGTTTCACATAAGTTTTCTCATCCAATTCTCACATCAACTCCACAAAGTAACCGTTCTTAGTCCCATTTTCTAGCCAAAGAAACTGAGGTTACAGTGCTTGTTTAGCTAGAGGTAGAGCCAGGATTTGGACACAGGTCTCACTTACTCTGAAGCTCAAGCTCTTTCTTTCTTCCTTTCTTCTCTTTCCCTGATGACAGCAGGGGCAGTTCTATGCTCCCAAGCAAGATAAGAACAAGGTCTAATTCCTTTTCTTCCCATCTGATATTTCCTGGTAGCAAACATTTCCGCCATTTTAAGACCTGTGCTACCCATTGCCATAGAGTAGTGAAGTCCCAGCCTGTTTTGTCTCTTGCAGTAGCCACTCCTTACAGAGCCTGAAAGAGAAGGGGAGCGTCCAGCCGCCATCTTGGGCTCTGTCTTGTCATCCCTTGAACAAGTCTGTCTTCTCTCTCTTTTTTTTTTTGAGACAGAGTCTCGCTCTTTCGCCCAGGCCGGACTGCAGTGGCACTATCTCGGCTCACTGCAAGCTCCGCCTCCCGGGTTCACGCCACTCTCTTGCCTCAGCCTCCCTAGTAGCTGGGACTACAGGCGCCCGCTACCGCGTCTGGCTAATTTTTTGTATTTTTAGTAGAGACGGGGTTTCACCCCGTTAACCAGGTTGGTCTTGATTTCCTGACCTCGTGATCCGCCCGCCTCGGCCTCCCAAAGTGCTGGGATTACAGGCGTGAGCCACTGCGCCCGGCCACAAGTCTGTCTTCTCTTTAATGCCTCATTTGTCTTGGCACAAAGACACATGATTAGGCTCAGAGTGGCATGTTTTGGCAAGGGTGAGACACATTCAGTGGAGTGTTGGGGAAAGGATGGGGTTAGGGTGGAGGCCTAGGGCCAGAGACAGATGGGCCATGCTAAGACATACGTTAGTGACGTTTGTTAGGGAAATGACATGGCTAAATGGTTCTTTAGGAAGAAGAGTCAGGCGCCTCTGGAAGGGATGGTTTGGCCTACAGAGAGAAAACAGGTTATGGTCCAAAAATAGCAATGGCTAACATTTTTTGATTGCCAGACACTATTCTAAGCATTTAAACATATTTTAACTCTCTTAATCCTTGTGACATAGGTACTATTATTATCCCTGTTTTGCAAGTGACAAAACCGAAGTACAGAGACTTTAGGTAACTTGTCCAAGGACACACAGTAAGTGGAAAGGCCAAGACTTAGCCCAAGGCAGCCTACTCATAACTATCAATCTAGTTCAGCTGAATTTTGCAAAACTGAATGAGGAAACGTGTTAGTTCCTTGAAGACAGGGGGCCTGATTAACTACTGTATTCCCATGCAGAGCTCACTTTCTTTTGTTTTGTTTTGAGATGGAGTCTTGCTCTGTCACCCAGGCTGGAGTGCAGTGGTGCAATCTCAGCTCACTGCAAACTCCGCCTCCCGGGTTCACGCCATTCTCCTGCCTCAGCCTCCCGAGTAGCTGGGACTACAGGCGCCTGCCACCACACCCTGCTAAATTTTTTTTGTATTTTTAGTAGAGACAGGGTTTCACTGTGTTAGCTAGGATGGTCTTGATCTCCTGCCCTCGTGATCCGCCTGCCTCGGCCTCCCAAAGTGCTGGGATTACAGGCATGAGCCACCGCACCCGGCCTGCAGAGCCCAACTTTTGAAGCATCACGCACTGTCAATAGATACTTGATTAATGATTAAATGTGAAGGCAATTAGTCTGAACTAAAACAGTGGCAGGGTGGTGGTGGGGAAAAAATGTCCCTGAATTAGAATCACAGGATTTGATGACAAGAGTGGGGGTGAAGAGTGGAAGGAGAGGATTCTGGGGGGATGACTTGGAGGTTCCCAGGTTGGTGGAGCAGGAGGAGAGTGGTGTTGTTAATAAGGCTCAGCCTTCCTGATTAGGGGCTTATCAGAGAGAGTTGAGCTTGGGTCATATTAACTTGAGGGTCCTGGGCGCCTCGGCCCTGGCTCCTCATGTGAGAATCATATAAAGGTTATTCTTCTGATTTTGATAGCAAACCCAATAGGTTTGCAAACTTCTCACATGCTAATTAAGAAACTAATTAAAACCCATCGGTTCTTAAAGACATATGGTTTATTTAAAGTTGATCCAAGATTGATATTTGGTTAAACAATGTTTTAATAAATCATAGAATGAATTGGCTCTAAGAATACTAGCATGGTGCTCCAATTTACTAGACACTTTCCATGCATTCTTTTTTCCTTTGAAATATGAAAAAAATGAGATAGTGTAGATAAAAATATCTAATGCCTAACGATCATTTAAAGCTAGTTTCCTTCTTGAAGCCCATGGAACTCTGTGGGGTTAGGTATGGTTATTATCCCCATTGTACAGATGAAGAAACAGGAGTAATTAAGAGAGATTAAGGGGCTGGGTACAGTGGCTCACACCTGTAATCCCAGCACTTTGGGAGACTGAGACGGGTGGATTACCTGAGGTCAGGAGATCGAGACCAGCCTGACCAACAAAGTGAAACCCAGTCTCTACTAAAAATACAAAAATTATCTGGGTATGATGGCGAGTGCCTGTAATCCCAACTACTTGGGAGGCTGAGGCAGGAGAATCACTTGAACCTGGGAGCCGGAGGTTGCGGTGAGCAGAGATCGCACCATTGCACTCCAGCCTGGGTGACAGAGCGAGACTCTGTCATAAATAAATAAATAACGAGAGGTTAAGGGACTCATACAAAGTGATTTTGCAAGGAAGTGGAAAAGTCAGGACTCATACCTAGGTCTCCCCACAATTGCTGTATACTAAATCATCCCCAAACGTAGAAGCTTAAAGCAGTAAGTATTTATCATTACATCACAGAGTTGATGAAGATCAGCAGTTTGGGGTGGCCTAGCTGGGACTGCAGTCTCTGGAGGCTTGACTAGGGCAGGAGGTTCCTTTTCCAGGCACACTCACATGGCTTTGGGCAGGAAACTTCAGTTCCTTTGCACTTGGGCTTCTCTCTAGGGCTGCTCAAGACATAGTTTTACCCAGACTGAATGATCAGAGAGAGCGAAAGAGAGAGGGGGTGGGGAGATAGAGGGAGAAAATGAGAGAGTGAGCAAGAGCAGTTAGGCTAGAAATCTTTTTATGACCCATCTTGGAAGTAATATCCCATCAATTTTGCTGTATTTTACTCATTACATTTTTTAAAAAATTTTTGTTATTTTATTTTATTTTATTATTTTTGGAGACACAGTCTTGCTCTGTCACCCGCTGGAGTGCAGTGGCACGATCATGGCTCATTGCAGCCTCGACCTCCCCAGGCTCAGGTGATCCTCCCACCCCAGCCTCCCAAGTAGCTGGAACTACAGGTGTGCACCACCTCGCCTGGCCAATTTTTTGTATTTTTTGTAGAGATGGGGTTTCACTATGTTGTTCAGGCTGGTCTCAACCTCCTGAGCTCTCAAGCGATCTGCCAGACGTGGCCTCCCAAAGTGCTGGGATTACAGGTGTGAGCTACTGTGCCCTATCCTGTATTTTATTTTTTTTGTAGAGATGGGGTCTCGCCATGTTGCCCAGGCTGGTGTAGAACTCCTGGGTTCAAGCAATCCTCCCGCCTCAGTCTCCCAAAGTGCTTGGATACAGGTGTGTGCCACCACGTCCAGCCCCAGCGTGTATTTTACATCTTAGAAGGAAGTCATTAGGTCCAGGCCCCACTTAAGGGGAGGGAACTTCACCAGGGTGTGAACGTCAGGAGGCAGGGATCATTGGGGACCATCTTAGAGGCTGCCTACCGCAGGCACCCTTTCTACTCTGCCATTCCACAAATTGTCATTTTCATCTTTGCAGCTTCTCCTCATCTCCCATCCTCCAAATAGAAGTATTTTATGAACTTCATAAAGTTGCAATGTGGCCAGTTTGGGGCAATTTATATCTTCTATAGACAACAGCATTGAACTACTTAGCAAACCAGGAAGTGGAAAATGGTTATAAAGGGATCCAATTACTTTCATTGCCAAGGCAGTGTAAAACGCAACATGTGAAAATGGACTTAATTGGTGAAAAATTAATTAGACAATTAAATTTATTTCTGCTTAAATACACTTAGGTGTTAATTGGTAATCTGACTGCAGGTTTATTTTAAGTTACATTTGTTATCTTGACTCTGTCCTTTAAGAAACGATCTTTGTTTAATATGCCGTGAACACTCCTGGTCTTGCCGAGAAACAGTGTCTAGTTCATTCTCATCGTTCTTCTCCAGATAGGACTGATCCGGGTCAGACTGGCCCAGAGGGCAAAAAAGCATTTGCTTCGAAAGCCCCATCAAGAGGAAAATCTTTCTACTGCCAGAGGGGCTCTTCTGGGAAGCCTGAGTGGAGAGGTACAGGATTCCAAGTGGGAACTGCAGACTCGTTAGTCTGCCACTCACTGGCTCTGTGACTCTGGGCAAGTTACTTCTGCAGTCTGGGTTTCAGTTTCTCTATCTGTAAAATGAGCTAGTGGGCGTTGATGATGTCTGAGTTCACTTCACCCATAAAATTCCACGATTGTCAAGTACAGGGGTTTCATGACAGGAGGGATAGATTGCAAGGGTTTTCTTTTTCTTGAAAAAAAAAATTTCTTAGCCTCATCTGTTTGCTAGAATTTGTTTTAGAGTATTTCATGTGCTGGTTAAACATAGTGGGTTGGATACATTTTAACCTGCGCACTGTCTTTAAATCCCACTGAAATCATGAGGACAGAGAGAATGGGCAAGGGGTCATCGATGGACCGGAGATGGGATGGTAGGGACAGAAACTGCAGGGTCCGCAGAAGGAACTGCTCACCGAAAGCCAACAAGCTTGCCCTGTGGAATCCCAGAAAGGCCCAGGAACTTCGGGACATCACTGAAGGCAGAGTGAAGAGAGGTAAGTGCAAGTCCAGATGAATGAGTGATGATGTTCCCACTCTCTCCAGAGTTGCACACCCCCTCACCACCCCCAAGTGGAAGATTGGGAGATTCCTCTCTGGGGAAAGGAAGCAATTCCACAGGAAGGAGTTCCCCAATGAAAAAGACAACATGCATGGTGGTGCATGCTGGTGGTCCCAGCTACTGGGGAGGCTGAGGCAGGAGGATCGCTTGAGCCTAGCAGTTCAAGGCTGCAGTGAGCCATGTTAGTGCCTCTGCACTCCCGCCTGGGTGGGAGTGAGACTAATGCAGGACAGGCAAGCCCCCAAATTGGGCCTTAGCCTGGGAGGGTTCTCAGTTTCACACAGGAAAGAATTCAAGGGCAAGCCAGAGGTGTTAGACAGCAACTTTTTTTTTTTTTTTCTTTTGAGACAAAGTTTCTGGTCACTCAGGCTGGAGTGCAATGGTGCGATCTCGGCTCACTGCAACCTCTGCCTCCTGGGTTTAAGTGATTCTCCTGCCTCAGCCTCCTGAGTAGCTGGGATTACAGGCACTCGCCGCCATGGCTGGCTAATTTTTGTATTTTTAGTAGAGATGGGGTTTTGCCATGTTGGCCAGGCTGGTCTTGAACTCCTGACCTCAGGTGATCCGCCTGCCTTGGCCTCCCAAGGTGCTGGGATTACAGGCATGAGCCACCATGCCTGGCCTAGACAGCAACTTTTATTGAAGTGGCCGTGCACAGCAGCAGCAGAGGTACCGCTGCTGGCAGAGCGGTGTGCCCAGAGTAGCAGCTCAGAGGCAGTACTGCACTCATGTTTATACCCACTTTTAATTATATACAAATTAAGGGGTGGTTTATGCAGAGATTCTAGGATGAGAGTGGTCATTGCAGGGTCAGGGTTATTGCCCTGGAAAGGGGTGGTAACATCTGGGTGTTGCATGGGAGCAGTAAACTGACATAGCACCCTTGTGGTCGTGTCTTATGGAAAGCTGCTTCTGGACCTGTTTTAGTTAGTCCTCAATTTGGTCCGGTATGTGAGCCCCACCTCCAGAGCCGAGTCCTGCCTCCCACCTCAAGACCCCGTCTCTAAAAAAAAAGAAAAATCTGCAGGTGACAAACTGCACCCACTCAGAGCTTCCCATCAGCTTTCAGTGTCTCTCTCTTTTTTGTTGTTGCTCAAGTTAAAAAAATGTTTAAATTGACAAATAATAACTGTGTATATGTTTGGGGTACAGTGTGAGGTTTTGCCTCCCACTGAATGTGCACACTCAGCCAAGGATCACTAGACACATGAGGGAAGTCTCTCGACAGGAGGGAGACCACAAAAGATGGACAAAGGAAATGGAAAAGAAAAAGAATCAGAGCAAGGAACGAGAGAAAAAGTCTAACAATTTTTCTCAGAGATGAGAGGATACTGATTTGGGTTTGTGCTCAGATACCTCATCAGAGAGACTGCTGGCTACTCTGTCTAAAATAGTATCTTCTCTTACTCCCTTCCCCCTTACTCTGCCTTATTTCAGGAAGAGAAGACAGAGAAATGGAGGGGAGAAAACTATTAAAATAAGTAATAAGAAAACTTTCCCCAGAAGTGCAGAATCTGAATTTCCAGTATAAAAGGGTCCATTGAGCGCCAAGAACAATGAAGGAAAAAAGGTCCCACTCAGGCCTACGTATCATTGTGAAATTTCAGAACTAGAGGGATAAAGAAAAGATCCTAAAAGCTTCCCGAGAGATAAAAAAGAAGATTTTTACAAAGGATCAGCAATCAGAATTGCCTCAGACTGCTCAATAAAAACATCAGAAGCTAGAAGAAAATAGAATGAGGCATCAAAATCCTGAGGGAAATGATTCCCACCTATAATTTCATATTCTGCTCAATTATCAATTGAGTATTGAAGGGAAATAAAGACATTTTTAGACATGCAGTTTCTCCACTTGATCTTAGCCCAAAGGCCGAGAGGCAATGACATGCAGTTTCTCAAAAGGTTTGCTTCCCACTTTCTTGGAAAAAACCAAGAAAGAGGGGGCCTGGGGAACCAGGGGATCCCAACACAGGAGAGTGGCAGAGGAAGCTCCCAGGATGATGGAAAATGGAAGCAAACCAGCCCAGATGGAAGGAGAAGGGCCTGGCATGGTGGCTCACACCTGTAATCCCAGCACTTTGGGAGGTCAAGGTGGGCAGATCACTTGAGATCAGGAGTTCGAGACTAGCCTAGCCAACATAGTGAAACCCTGTCTTTACCAAAAAATACAAAAATTAGCCGGGTGTGGTGGCAGGTGCCTGTAATCCCAGCTACTCGGGAAGCTGAGGCAGGAGAATTGCTTGAATCTGGGAGGCAGAGGTTGCAGTGAGCCGAGATCGCACCACAGCACTCCAGCCTGGGCAACAGAGAGAGACTCCATCTCAAGAAAAAAATAAAAAAAATAAAAAAAGGAGAAGGACAGAGGGTTCCAGGAGGATGATCAGTGAGAAAAAAATGGAATGGGTAGATTATCTGAATTTCTTGGTGTGTGGAAATATTAAAAGGCTCTTAGAAGATCTAAGAAAAGTTATTGTTAGGTATCTAGAATAGTAAGCAAATTTTAAAAAAGAAAGAGACCTGATTACTAACTTTAGGGGAAACAAAAAGTTGTACAAGAAGAGAAACATATCTTGGTTTCAATGGGCTCAATTGAATAAAAATCACATAATCATAATAAGATAAACATTTAATGTTAACTTAAGCAAGAGGTATACTACATTGAGTAGAAGAGGGGAACAGGAAGTACTTTAAAAAGCTAACTGCTCATTCGTCAGGCTGGTCCAGAGATGATGGGTCAAACCAATAAATGGAGATGGTGACTAAACCTGTTCTGTAGACATCTGAAGATAAATACCATAAAATACGTACAACAAAGTGATTATGGTCACCTCTGGGGCAAAGGGAAGGAAGGTCTTACTATTTTTTGTTAAAGGTGTTTTTAGTATCTTTTGACTTTCTTTTTTTTCCAACTTATATTTCAAGTTCAGGGGTCCATGCGCAGGATGCGCAGGTTTGATACATAGGTAAACGTGTGCCACAGTCATTTGCTGCACAGATCATCCCATCACCTAGGTATTAAGCCCAGCATCTGTTAGCTATTCTTCCTGATGCTTTCCCTTCTCCCATGGGACTTTTTGTGTTTTTTATTTACAAGAATTTTTTTTTAATTTTAGAGACAGGGTCTCAGTATGTTGCCCAAGCTGGTCTTGAACTCTTGGCCTCAAGCGGTCCTCTTGTCTCAGCCTCCAAGGTGTTGGGCTTACAGGTGTGAGCCATGGCACTCTGCTCTTTGATTTCTTCTGTTTTGTTTTGTTTTGAGACATTGTCTTGCTCTGTGGCCCAGGCTGGAGTACAATGGTGCAATCATGGCTCACTCCAGCGTCGAACTCCTGGGCTCGAGCAATCCTCCCATTTCAGCCTCCTGAGTAGCTGGGACCACAGGCACATGCCACCACTCCCAGCTAATATTTAAATTTTTTGTAGAGATGGGATCTCTCTATGTTGCCCAGTCTGGTCTCAAACTCCTGACCTCAAGCCATCCTCCCGCCTCAGCCTCTCAAAGTGTTGGGATTACAGGCGTGAGCCACCGCACCTGGCCTTGACGTCTTAAACTCAGTGCAATAATTACTTTGAGAAAAATAAAGATGAAGTGTAAAAACTGCACCTCATGTAGACAGCTCACATTTACCCCTCTTTATCTGCCAGTGTGAACAAGAATAAAATCGCTGCTGGAGGGAAGACCTGGCTCATGCTTGTGCTGCTGAGTTTGATTTAGAGGGGCCTAGAAAGGTTGTCCTGCTCCCAAATCTCACCTCTCCTGATGATGGATGTCCTACCATTCTGTGGTGACAGTGGGGAGAGACAGCAGTGGACTGGAGTTAGAGGATTTAGATTCAAATTTAATTTCTGCCACGTGTTAGCCAAGTGATGTTAGCAAAATAACAGATTTTAACTATCCCCTGAGCACGCACCAGGACTCATGGTCGACCCTGGGAGTACATATCCCTGTCTTCAAGGAGTTTAAGGAGGGGGTGAGTCAGTTTTCTCATAGGTAAAATGGGAATTCATTGATTTACTTATTCAGTAGATACTGAGCACCTACTGTCTGCAGGAACCTTGTATTGAGCTGGGACAGAAAGCCAGGAGCATTTGGCCCCTGGGCAGGAGCAGCAGTGACAGAAGCTTGGGCCCTAGGTGGCCAGACCCGCAAAGCACATGGGGGACTGAGGGACAAAGGGGAGGCCAGGAGCTCACCACCCTGCAGCAGAGGCCCAAACTCAAAGGCATTGTGTGTGGTGGGGGTGCAGGGTGTGGTGGATCAACAGTGCCCACTTCACCCCACACTGGCTGAGCTCTGTCACTATATTTTCCTTCTGAGAACTATCTTCAGTGGTCTGGGAGTTTAGGATTTTAGAGGAGAGGGTCCTGAAAAAACATCTAGGCCACTCATTCCCACATTTTTGCAGTTAATACATCAGTAACTTTCCCAAACTGACCGGGGAGCCAATCGAGTTACCAACTTCTTACTCACTACATAAAGATATGGAGAGAAAACATGGGGTGATACTCAGCTACCATCTACCTTCATTTCACAAAAGAAAGGGCCACTTCCCATCTATGAAACAGGAAACATAAGTACCATGAAATACTATGCAGCCATAAAAAAGATGAAGCCATGTCCTTTGCAGCAACATAGATGCAGCTGGAGGCCATTATCCTAAGTGAATTACTGCAGGAACAGAAAACCAAATATCACACGTTCTCACTTACAAGTGAGAGCTAAATATTGAGGAACACATGGTCACAAAGAGGGGGACAATAGACAGTGGGGACTACTAGGGGGAGGAGGGAGAGAGGTGGGTGAGGATAGAAGAACTACCTCTTGGGTACTATGCTCACTACCTAGGTGACAAAATCATTTGTGCAGCAAACCTCCATAACATGCAGTTTACCATGTAACAAACCTGCACATGTACCCTCTGAACCTGAAATAAAAGTTGGAAGAAAAAAAAAAGAAAAAACAGATGCTAGAGGGAGAATCAAACCAAGAAAAACATAATCTCAGGATAAAGGACGGTCTTTTAAATTGCATACATTTAACTTCATTCATGAAACACACATTACCTCGGCCTTATTTTTCTCACTTTACTGCAGCCATGTGACACCGTGGGTGTAGACAAACACCAAACCACAGCTAGCTTCAGGCAACACTTTCCACACCCTCCCCTCCATCTTATAAGTAAAGAGATCAGAGGTCCAGCCTCCATTAGGTATTTGTGATTACAGCAGAACCATGCCTAAGAAACAGGTCTCCAGTCCTAGGGTCAAGGCTGAGCCTCCATCCTCTTACCCAACTTTCAGTTTCACCACTTGTGCAAGTCGGGTGAGTGGTGAGGAATAGAGTCACTGACTAGCTCTTGGCACCATGAAAGGCAAGAGAAAAACGGAAAGAGAATGACTCACCATTGAGGCCAGTGTCCTCTTTTGCACCTTCCCAACACCCCCCATTTGCCTGCAAGGTCACTCTAAAATAAACCCTTGGATTTAGCTTCCTCCCTCTGCTCCTTTTCAGCCTTTCCCTGGTTTCCTCTCCTAGGGACTTTCTGTGGGATGTTTCTCGGTCTTTGCCCTCCTTGACTTCTGCAGCAGTGAAAGATTTTCACGTTGTTGACTCTTCTCCCTCCCTGAATCTCCTTATCCCCCTGGCATTTTGGTACCAGTATCTGTGGGTTACCCCCTGCTTACTGAACAATTCTTTCTTCTTCACTCACTCTTCTTTCTGCCTTCCAAATGCTGCTTTCCCCTGAGTTAATTCCTCATCCCCTCTCATTCATCATCCTTTACAGAGACCATTCCCAACCTTTTTTTTTTTTTTTTTTTGAGACGGAGTCTGGCTCTGTCACTCAGGCTGGAGTGCAATGGTGCAATCTCGGCTCAATGCAAACTCCGCCTCTTGGGCTCAAGCAATTCTCCTGCCTCAGCTTCCTGAGTAGCTGGGATTACAGGGGTGTACCACCATGCGCAGCTAATTTTTATATTTAAGTAGAGACAGGGTTTCACCATGTTGGCTAGGCTGGTCTCGAATTCCTGACCTCCAGTGATCTGGCCGCCTGGGTCTCCCTAGGCTGGGATTACAGGTGTGAGCCACCATGCCCAGCCATTCCCAAACTTTTATCCCCAGTGCCATCTTCTCTGCCAAGCTTCAGACTCACGTTGTTAATGGATATTTTGACGTCTTCACCTGGAACTCTGGAAGGCACCCGCAGTAACATGTTGCAAATAGGAAGCTTTATTTTCCTTCCAAACCTGTTCTCCTTCGGGTTTCCCTGTCTTGGTGAATGCTATCACCCCCCAATCTATCTCCAAAGCCAGATACTTCGGAGTGAATCTTGACACCCCTCACTTCCTCCCTGGCAGTTTTGAATCAGTCACAAATCCAACCTGATCTTTCTTAGAAATATCTTTTAAATCTTAAATGTCTTAAACCCACCTTCCCTGGCACTGCCTATGTCATCTCTTTCCTGCGCTAGTATAACATTCTCCTAATTGGTCTCCATACCACCACTCTCTCATCTCTCTGCAGCCCAGCCTTTCTATCAACTAAAAAACAAACCCAATCAGCCCCTCCCTTGCTTATGAAACCTCCATCAGAATGACAATAAAACAGGGAGAATTTTAAAAAGTATAATATTCGATGCTGATGTGGATGCTGTGAAACAGGCAATCTCATTGATTACTAATAGAAATGCAAGCTGTCCAACTCTTTTAGAATACAGTTCAAAAATACATAGCAAGAACTTAAATATATTCAGTCTTTGATCCAGTGATTTCATTTCTAAGAAGCAAATGAGGCCAGGTGTGGTGGCTCACGCCTGTAATCCCAGCATTTTGGGAGGCCGAGGCAGGCAGATTACCTGAGGTCAGGGATTTGAGACCAGCCTGGCCAACATGGTGAAACCCCGTCTGTACAAAAATACAAAAAAATAAAATATAAAAATAAATAGCTGGGCATGGTGGCAGGCTACTTGGGAGGCTGAGGCAGGAGAATTGCTGGAACCCAGGAGGCGGAGGTTGCAGTGAGCAGAGAACACACCATTGTGCTCTAGCCTGGGCAACAAGAACGAAACTCCGTCTCAAAAAAAAAAAAAAAAAAAAGAAGCAACGGAGACCAGGCATAGTGGCTCACGTCTGTAATCCCAGCATTTTGGGAGGCAGAAGTGGTTGGATCGCCTCAGACCAGAAGTTTGAGACCAGCTGGGCAACAGAGGGAGACCCTATCTCAAAAAACAAAACAAAACAAAACAAAACAAAACACAACAACAACAAAAGAAGCAGCAAAGGAAATAACCCCATCTGTGAAAAAGCTTCTTGCTTTCATAAAAGCTTATTTATTATGCCATTATTTATATAGGGAAAAGTTGGAAATAACCTTACTATATTAAAATAGAAGTAATCTGTGACAGTGGTTCCCAGGCTTTTTGGCACCAAGGACTGGTTTCGTGGAAGACAATTTTCTCATGGATTGTGAGGTGGGGGCAGGGGATGGTTTTGGGATGATTCCAGTGCCTTACATTTATTGTGCACTTTTTTTTCAACTCACTTGCCATTATAAAGCTTGACACCAGTTGCAGCTTAATTGTCACTTGCCACTCACTGATAGGGTTTTTTTGTTTTTGTTTTTGTTTTTTGGAGACAGTCTCACTCTGTTGCCCAGGCAGGAGTGCAGTGGCGTAATCTTGGCTCACTGCAACCTCCGTCTCCCAGGTTCAAGCGATTCTCTCATCTCAGCCTCCTGAGTAGCTGGGATTACAGGCATGTGCCACCATGCCTGGCTAATTTTTGTATTTTTAGTAGAGGTGGGGTTTCACCATGTTCGCCACGCTGGTCTCGAACTCCTGACCTCAGGTGATCCACCTGCCTCAGCCTCCCAAAGTGCTGGGATTACAGGTGTGAGCCACCATGCCCAGCCACTGATAGGGTTTTGATATGAGTCTGCAAGCAACTGATTGACTATGGTCTCTGTGTGGTCAAACCTCTCTGCTAATGTTCATCTGTATTTACAGATGCTCCCAGTGCTAGCATCACTGCTTCAACTCCAACTCAGATCATCAGGCATTAGATTCTTATAAGGAGCATGCAACCTACATCCCTCGAATGTGCAGTTCACAGTAGGGTTCGCACTCCTATGAGAATCTAATGCTGCTACTGATTTGACAGGAGGCAGAGCTCAGGCGGTGATGCGAGCTAGGAGTGGCTGTAAATACAGATAAAGCTTCCCTTGCTTGCCTGCCCACTGCTTGCCTCCTGCTGTGCAACCCAGTTCCTAACAGGTCACAGACCAGTTGGGGATCCTTGATTTATGATATTGGATAGCCTCTTACAAGGTATTAAAAATGATGTTTGCTCATAGAAAAATATACTAAAATGCCAGTAGACATTTTAATTAGAAGGATTACGGATGATTTTAATTTTCTTCTTTGCAATTTTCTATATTTTCCAAAATTTCTACCATCAATTATTATAATTAGATAAGAAGTTTATTTTTATTTTATTTTTTAAAATTTTATTTATTTATTTTTGAGACTGAGTCTTGCACTGTCGCCCGGGCTGGAGTGCAGTGGCACGATCTCGGCTCACTGCAACCTCTGCCTCCCAGGTTCAAGCGACTCTCCTGCCTCAGCCTCCCGTATTTATTTATTTTTGAGACAGAGTCTCGCTCTGTCACCCAGGCTGGAGTGCAGTGACGCGATCTCAGCTCACTGCAACCTCTGCCCCCGGGTTCAAGCTATTCTTCTGCCTCGGCCTCCTGAGCAGCTGGGATTACAGGCGCCCGCCACCACGCCTGGCTAATTTTTTGTATTTTTAGTTTCACCATGTTAGCCAGGATGGTCTCGATCTCCTGACCTCGTGATCCACCTGCCTTGGCCTCCGAAAGTGTTGGGATTACAGGCGTGAGCCACCGTGCCTGGCCAATGTCTATTTTTTTTTTTAATTCTAGCCATCCTAGTGGGTATGAAGTGGCATCTCACTGTAGTTATGATTTTCATTTCCCTACTGACTAATGATCTTGGGCATCTTTTCATTTGTTTACTGGTCATTGGTATATCTTCTTTGGAGAAAAAAATATTTAAATCCTTAGCCTATTTAAAAAATAGTTTATCTGGGCCGGGTGTGGTGGCTCACACCTGTAATCCCAGCACTTTGGGAGGCCGAGGCAGGTGGATCACGAGGTCAGGAGTTGGAGACCAGCCTGGCCAACATGGTGAAACCCCATCTCTACTAAAAATACAAAAATTAGCTGGGCGTGGTGGCGAGCACCTGTAATCCCAGCTTCTTGGGAGGCTGAGGCAGGAGAATCATTTGAACCCAGGAGGCAGAGGTTGCAGTGAGCCGAGATTGTGCCATTGCACTCCAATCTGGGCAACAGGGTGAGACTCCATCTGAAAAAAAAAAAAAGTTTATCTTTTTATTGTTGAGTTGTAAATGTTCTTTATAAATTCTGGACACTAGTCCTTTATCAGATATATGATTTGCAAATATTTTCTCCCATTCTGTGGGTTTTCTTCTCACTTTATTTATTTTTTTTTTTGAGATGGAGTCTCACTCTGTTGCCCAGGCTGGAGTGCAGTGGCGCGATCTCGGCTCACTGCAAGCTCCACCTCCCGGGTTCATGCCATTTTCCTGCCTCAGCCTCCGAAGTAGCTGGAACTACAGGCACCTGCCACCACGCCCGGCTAATTTTTTTTTTTTTTTTTTTTTGTATTTTTAGTAGAGACAGGATTTCATCATGTTAGCCAGGATGGTCTAGATCTCCTGACCTCGTGATCTGCCCGCCTCGGCCTGCCAAAGTGCTGGGATTACAGGTGTGAGCCACTGCTCCTGGCCTCTTCTCCCTTTTTTGATGGTCTCCTTTGAAGCACAAGTGTTTACATTTGATGAAGTTCAATTTATCTGTTTTTTCATTTTAGTTTGTGCTTTTGGTGTCATATGTAATAAACCATTGCCTAATTCAAGCTCATGAAGATTTACGCTTATGTTTTCTTCTAAGAGTTTTTGTAGTTTTAGCTTTTACATTTATGTCTTTGATCCATTTTGAGTTAATTTTTGTAGACGGTTTGAAGTAGGGGTCCAACTTCATCCTTTTCCGTGTGGTATCCAGTTGTCCAAGCACCATTTAAAAAAAAGACCATTCTTTTTCCATTGAATTGTCTAGACATCCTTGTTGCAAACCAATTGACATAAATCTAAAGGCCAGATGACATTTTTGTCTTAATTTCTAGCCTCATCAGACCTCTTAATTTGCCAAGCTTTCCCCATCCTTGATGCTTTTGTAGAGACTGGTTCCTTGCCTGACATCCACCTGTCTTGGTAGCTGACCCTCCTCATTCTCCAGACATTACCTGTCTCCACAGTTTTCCTTTGTCCCCTAGGCAGTCAGATTCTGCGGTCTAGGAGCATTTTGCTCATACCTCTGTCATTGCTCTATTCACATTGTATTGAAGTTATTTATTCATTAGTCTGCCTGGATACACTCAGAGATCTCCAAAAGCAACCAAGTCTTACTTCTCTTTGAAGCGCATAGCACAGGACCTGGCACTTAAGAGGTATTTTGTGAACGGTAGTTGAATGACCATTGACAGAAGTATCTGCAAATTGGGACTCTGCTGAGGACTTCAATGGCAAGAGAAAAGGGCCAATTATTGGATCCCCGCTTCCCCTCTTCTCTCTTTCTCCAAGTCCAGAGAACAGTATTCAGGCATTTGTTCAAGAAGTTTTAAATAAGTATCTATTATGTGCTAAGCTAGATGCTAGGGATCACGTGGTGAGCACAAACAGCCATGCCCCTTCCTTACTGATGTGTAGAGTGGGTGATGTGTGTAGTAGGTGAAATCAACATTAGCCAAATAATCATATAAACATGAAAAATGGGAGCACCTGTCGTCAAATTGTCTATTGTGTGGTCTTACCTGCCTGCTCACGTGTTTATTGATAATTTGGCCACCTGGCTCACTGACTTTCTCTCCTGCTGTCACTGTCATGGTGAATTTAAGATCCACATACATGGCCACGCATCATCTTGCCTCCATTCTTTTTTTTTCCTTTTTGGGACAGAGTCTCACTATGTTGTCCAGGCTGAAGTGCAATGGCACGATCTTGCCTCACTGCAACCTCTGCCTCCTGGGTTCAAGTGATTCTCCTGCCTCAGCCTCCTGAGTAGCTGGGATTACAGGTGTGCGCCACCACGCCCAGCTAATTTTTGTATTTTTAGTGGAGACGGGTTTTCACTGTGTTGGCCAGGCTGGTCTCGATCTCATGACCTGATGATCCACCCACCTCAGCCTCCGAAAGTGCTGGGATTCCAGATATGAGCCACCGCACCTAGTCACCTTGCCTCCATTCTTGATGCCTCCATGCCATGATGCCTCCTCCACTCCACCTTAGCCATAGAGCCCCACACAAACCTCATCATAACCACAGCGCTGCTCAAGTTTCCCTTTCAATCATCCTGTTAGACTGTGGACACAGGTATTCCTTACTCAGTTGTCTTAGAACTCCCATTTCAGCAATTTCCTACCCCTGTTGGGGTCTTCAGTCCACTGACCCCCCCACCGCTTTTTCACTGTCCTTCACCACCCATGACCCAGGCCCTTCATTTCCTCATTATGCCCCAGTGTCCTCATCGCTCTGTAATTGCTCCGTAACACCGTTATAATACTCTTGCCCTGCTGCACTCATCTGCCACACCCCAACCCTGCTTCAACTCAAGGGAGAACTTAACTTTTCGTGCCTCCATCTGGGCACTGGAACATGGCTTGAAGAAAATACCCACAGCTGCCCAGACACGCCTCATTTTATACTGAAGTCTGCCAATAAGTGGCTGTTTTTGCATTGCCCAACAATCCTACTTCAGTATCTCAGGCACTCTGCCTCTCTTCAAGCCGTTTTATACCTTCTCTTTCTTTAACTCTAATATCCTTCTCTTGCCTGGTTCTCAGCTGATGATCTCATCTTCCTATTCACGGAGAAAATAGAGGCCCTCAGAATGCTCATTACCCACTGCTAAACTTACCCACTTCCAACCGCTGTATGTGCAGGCCCTGCCCTCCCTCGTATTGCAAATTGCAAACCATCCTTATGCGTGTACAATGCCCATCCCTCCCCTGGGGTCCTGAATCCCGTTTGCCCTCACCTATTCAAGGACTTTGATGAAATGATCTCTCTCATGAATCACTGACGTCTCCCTCTCTATGGCGCTTTACCTTTCAGCACACAGGTATGCTGTAATACTTACCATCTTCAAACAAAACACAAACCAAAACAGAAACACCTTCCGTAGAACTCATTGCTCCCTGGCTCTTTGCACTAGCTCTGTGTTCCTTATTGTAGCAAAATTTATCAAAAGAGTTGTCTACGTGTCCCTCCAGCCCCATTTGGTCATTTCCCAATTTGCTGCCTCAACGCCAGCCACATCAGTTCATTCTTTGGACTTACCAAGTTCATTCCTGCCCCAGGGCCTTTGTACTTACCAAGTTCATTTCTTTGCCCTTGCTGTTCCTTTTGTCTGAAATAGTCTTTCCATGCATCTTTGCATGATTTGCTCCCGCATTTCACTGGGGTTTCTGTTTAAATGTCACCTGCTCAGAAAGGCCTTTTCTGCTGTCCCTCCCCCTGCCACCACACTTGTCCTTATCCAGCTTTATTTGTCTCTGCAGGACTTACCACTGCCTAATAGCCTATCATACGTGTATGTGTCTATTTGCTCATCGCCTCTTTTTCTGTTCAAATGGAAGTTCCCTGGGGGCAGGGCTTTCTTTTGTGCACCATTGTATTCTCTGGTGAAAGAATCCTGTCTAACATATACTAGGCACTTGGTAAGACTGAATTAATGAACGGATGGCTTTTCACGATTCTATGAATGCAGCAGGGCAAGGGTATTATAAGGGTATTATGGAGCAATTACAGAGCGATTATGACACTGGGGGCATGGTAAGGAAGAAACTAAGGGCCCGGGTCATGATTCTCTGAGGACGTATAAGGGAGAGAAACACAGAGGAAGCTTCCCTGAGGAAGTGTGATCACACTGACTCCCTTCCTCCCCTCTTAAAAAAAGAGGGGGTCTGCCAGGTGAGGCAGAGAGGGACAAGTCTTCCAGACCAAAGGCATGTGCAAAGTCCTGAGGCCGGAAGAAGTGTTTTGGATTTGACCAGCTGAGAGAAGGCCAGCATGGAGGAGAGGGAATGAGAGTGAGCTGCTGCTTGGCGGCTGGGGGGTGGGGGAGAAACAAAGCCATGCAGGGCTTGGAGGGCTGAGCAAGGCTCTTGCCTCTGTCCTAAGAGCAGTGGGAGGCCTTGGACACAAGGCTCTGTGTGATTAAATTTACATTTGAAAAGATCCCTCCAGGCACGATGATTCATACCTGTTATCCCAGTGCTTTGGGAGGCTGAGGCGGGAGGATAACTTGAGCCCAGGAGTTTGAGACCGACCTGGGAAACACAGCAAAACCCCATCTCTACAAAAAAAATACCAAAATTAGCCAGGCGTAGTGGTGTGTGCCTGTAGTCCCCGCTACTTGGGAGGCTGAGGTGGGAGGATTGCTTGAGCCCAGGAGGTCGAGGCTGCAGTGAGCCAAGATAGCACCGCTGTATCCCAGCCTGTGTGACAGAGCAAGACCCTGTCTCAAAGAAAAATAAAGTAAAATAAAATAAAATAAAGTCAATCAAAGTTACTCTCCCTTCCTCTCCCAATAAAAGAGCAAGTGCTCCTGTGAGTCTTGGGTCTTGTTCTCATTTTGTTTTGTTTTGTTTTGTTTTGAAATGGAGTCTCACTCTGTCACCCCAGGCTGGAGTGCAGTGGTGTGATCTCAGCTCACTGCAACCTCCGCCTCCCAGGTCCAAGCAATTCTTGTGCCTCAGCCTCCCAAGTAGCTGGGATTACAGGTGTGCACCACCACACCTGGCTAACTTTTGTATTTTTAGTAGAGATGAGGTTTCACCATGTTTGCCAGGCTGGTCTCAAACTCCTGACCTCACATGATCTGCCCGCCTTGGCCTCCCAAAGTGCTGGGATTACAGGCTTGAGCCACTGCACCTGGCCTTGTTCTCATTTTGGAGGGTGGGCAGGAAGGCAGAATGAAGGCTGAGGCCTTGGTCTTCTGGGAGCCAAGGGCTCAGGGCCAGTTCTTTCTGAGTAGAATGTTCTTTAGTGAGACAGCCCATGCTGGGCTGCCTCTCGCTGTTGTGTCCCCCGAATGATGAGGAAAGAGCAGGGAAACCCGCCGAGTATATGACCGGGAAACACAACCTGGGGAAGGCAAGAGACTGGGGACAGACAAGGGCAGATGAAGATTCTCTGTTTAATGGATGATAGGAGGAAACGTGCCTGTGTACACACAAACACACACAAGGACGTTCCCATCAAGTCCTCCTCTGAGTCCAATCGGAATGTGGGCAAAGGAACTTGGTGTGACCTTGCCAATGGACCTACGGGCCTTGGGAAGTCCTAGAACTCTCCTGGAGAAAAGCAAGAAGAGAGGGTGACTTTCTGGTGACGACTGTGGAGAACGGTCAGAAAAGAGACAGTGGAGCGAACTCTAGGGACCAGGGAATTGACGGCAGTCAGCCGTCAGGACTGGGAACATCAGTGAGTCACGTTCTCTCCCTTTGGTATTAGTAATTGGCATCATTTGGCTGGGAAACAAAAGGCTGAGGCATGATTTTATAACTGCTTTCAAGTAGGGAGGGTTTTCCTTTGGAAGATGGTCATGAGCTGTTTTCAACCCTTGCAGGGGAGAACAGCTCATTCCCATGCTGGGTAGAGATTTCAAGAGCTTTTCAGCTTAATTATAAGAATGGTCTGACCCTGGGGCTGGCTCTTGATGATGACCCAGGAAGGTCCCAGAGTGTCCTGAGGCCCGAGTACCAGGCTTTGGAGGTGGGAATCCCACTGGAAGTGTGTGGTCCTGCTCCACAAAGCCCTCTCTTCCAGGTCTTAGGGCAGCAGTGGGGCTACCCTGGCACCTGCCCCCACTCCTCAGCATGCTGGGGAGATCCTCAGATGGTGACCCGCAACCCCTGCATCCCCAAGAGGATGGTGAATTCGCTTTTATGGCAAGTGCTCATTCTGTTCTTTTTCTAGAAATCTCTCAGTTGTCCTTATAGTCCTCCAACAATTTTGGGGGGTGGGAGAGGGAGGAAAGGGAGGCCGTTGGCATTTTTTTTTTTTTTTTGAGTTGGAGTTTTGCTCTTGTTGCCCAGGCTGGAATGCAATGGTGCGATCTTGGCTCACTGCAACCTCCACCTCCCAGGTTCAAGAGATTCTCCTGCCTCAGCCTCCTGAGTACCTGGGACTATAGGTGCCCGCCACCACGCCCAGCTAATTTTTGTATTTTTAGTAGAGACAGGGTTTCACTATGTTTGCCAGGCTGGTCTTGAACTCCTGACCTCAGGTGATCCACCTACCTCGGCCTCCCAAAGTGCTGGGATTACAGGCATGAGCCATTGCACCCTGCCGGCAGTTGGCATTTTAAGGCCCCTTGCTGTTTGAGGCTCTAGATATCCATCATTCCTTCATTCATCATGTAATTCCTGAACACCTGCTCTGTGCTGGTCACTCGGCTGGAGACTCTGAGAGAGACAAAGACATCCAGTTATGTCCACAGTAGCTGCCACCCCATTCCGGGAAGGAGTGGATTCGAGTTTTGTGAAGCCTGAGGCTTCTGCCATTTGGGAGGAACCTCTTTAAGAAGATGACAACATTATGAAAAGAAAGGCTTGTGTCCTCTCCATGCCATCTGGCATGCAAAGGAAAGTCAAAGCAGGATGAGACAGTAGTCTTAACTGATCGTTGTTGACATATTTTGCAAGATAGGTCAATTCATTGCTAGGACCCCTCCAAGGGCCTTGGAAGGGGCTCACACAAGTGTGTGTGTGTGTGGGTGGGTGGGGGCGTCCCTGAAGCTTCATTAGCTTCAGGGTGAATCCACTTTGGTGCTGAACACTGTGCATTCATGATTTCATTGAATCTTCACAATGTGACCATGAGATCAATGCTGTTCTTTCTCTACTTTCCAGAAGAGACTCAGACTCAGGAAGTTAGGAACTTGTCACACAGCTAGGATGTGGAGGGGAAGAGATTTAAACCAGGTCATCCAGACTCCAGACCTTTCATCACTAACCACTCCTCTCCATTGCCTCCTCTTACTCTCCGGGAGCTTACAGTTTCCCCGAGGAGCCAAGCACACACAAACCATCCCCTTATAGAACAGCCACTCCCTACCCTCCAAATCTGCTCCAGTTTCCTCCCTCGCACTTTTGATCAACTGACCTAGTATATATTTATTTTCTGTTTCCTCTCTCCCACTAGAACTTCATGAGGGCGGGATCGCGTCTGTTTTGTTCACTGCCGTATGGCCAGTACCTAGGACGCTGCCTGGCAGTGTACAAGGCATTCAATAGATAGTTATTGAATTAATGAATTCATTCAATAAATAGTTCCAGTACCAGCCTGTTTTTGGGAAATGCCTGAAGCATGTTACAGCCAACAGGTGCTACAGTGGTTGAGAATCAAAAACATACCAAACCAGGGGATTATCAGACAGGGTTTCCAGGAAGAGGTTGGCCCGGGAAGGATGGCTAAGCTGATATATATATTTAGGAGGCAATGGCGGGGGAAGGTATAGGATGGGTGGCAGTCCAGCAAGCTGCTTGGCATGCCTCCCAGCCTGCGTCAGGCTCCTTGGATGTGGGCCTCTGTGCTATATTCACACATCATCTAAGTGGGTTGTTAAACACAGGCAGTAGCTACCAAGGGATGCTATGGTTTCTCCTTCCTTGGAGATCTTTAAAAATAGGCATAAGCGATCAACTGTCCTAAATTGTTTAGGAAAGGAAGTACTGGCGTGATTGGCTCCTACAGTGTATCAAGCTGTTTAACTGTCATCTGATAGTTATCATCTGATACAATCATCTCAAGAACACTGTGAGGTTGGCACTATTATTATCCCCATTTTACAGATGAGGAGATCGAGGCTCAGAGAAGGTAGGTAATTGTCCAAAGTCACACAGCTGGGATGAGATGTGTCTTTTTGGCTGCAGAGCCTGTGGTCTTCCCACTACCCTCCAAGGCTGCTGAGGATCTCTCTTGCGGTCTTTTTTTAGGACTTAGCACATTCTATATTAGAATAGCACATGGTGCTCTGTAAGGCTGACATTAGTTAGTAGACTTGTAATCATGATGATAGCAAAAGTGACTCCAGTCACATGACTGAATTCTATTGATTTTAGGGCAGCATTTATTTGAGGCAGGAAGTTGGACCAGATGACCTATTCATGCCTCTCTGTCAATGTTGTTCTATTTACAAAGAGATGGTGAAAGTAGCAGTAAATTTTATCCTCCATAGCTTGTTATTCGGGGGAATATGGATTAAAGCAATCACTGAATTAAATGCTGGATACCCAAAGTTCCAATAGTGCAGAGATGCATTATTACACACCTGTGCATAGAGAGACATGGAGGTAAGTGTGTAAGAATTTTATAAGGAAGATGCAGAAGGCATGAAAAGTCAAAGTCAGGACTTGCAAGTCCCATGAACTTGACCCCTTAGGGATATTGCTTGAGAGGAAGCATGGGGCGTTGACATCAGACAGCCCTGGGTTCAGATCCTCACTCTGCCACTTACTAGCTGGGCTGTCTGGCAGCAGTCACGTAATGTTTCTCTCTTGGTCAGTGTGCTTCGGTTGCATGTAACAGAAACTAATGTGGCTGCCTTGAGCAGGGGAGGCTCAAGCTCTGGACCTCAGAAAGGGCTGATGGATGAGGTCCTCAGAGTTTCCACCATCTCTGCTCTGAATATTAGTCATGTAGATTGTGGATTACATGAGAGGCCTGGGTCCCACACCACACTCTGGGCAGCAGGGCAGGGCACTTTGACTCTTGGTACTTCGACTATTGTTGATGAGACTGTGTCATGACTGTCGCATCATGATAGTGTCCAGTGGGAGGGAGAGGGGTTCCCTGAAGCAGAATTGGGACAGAAACATTGAATAGTCACTACTGCCTCTGAGGCTCAGTTCATTCACCTGTAAAATGGGGATAATGACAGCTGCCTCAGAGAGGTTTGTTTAGGATTCAAATTAAGTATCTAAACTGGTTTGCACCAAAAAATTTCAGTAAATGGTACTTAATGCTATAATACAGTCAAATCTTTAGTGTCCCTTTTGAAGATGGCCCATGGTAACTTTTATTTGTTAATTCCAGTATGTACCTTTAAAAGAAAAAAGGAACATATTCCCTACGTAGTGAAAGTAACATCCATATCACACTTAATGCAACTAATAATAATTTCTTAATACCAGCCAGTACGTTCAAATTCAAATTTCCTTGGTAACTTTTAAATCTGGTTGGTCGACTGCCTTATGCAGCGGATTTTCTCTGTGGGCTCATGGAGGATAAGCTCATTGCAATATTCATCCAAGCCAAGCAGAATTGGAAAGGTACTTTTGTTACAGGAAAAAAAAATCATGGACTGTATTTCAAGACTAAATAGAGTTGATCTGGGATTTCCCTCTGTTTTGGTGTATCCAGGTCACCACTCCCCCTCATTAGTGTCGACTGTATTTAACACTGCCACAGTTAATGAAAGCTTCAGTAGTTAAACACGTACATGACATCCTCTGTTACTCCAGGGTGCATGTCCAAGGCTTCCAGCCCAATTCAGCATTTATTGAGTGTCTACTATATGCAGGATATTTCTCTTTCTAACCATTCTTGTAGACTTCTCAAGCCAAACTTAAGTTTTTCTCCTGTAAATTTTATATATCAAGAGCCAGATTTGGCTGTCTAAAGTAGGAGAGAAGGAACAGTCACATTACAGGATTACTTATCTGTGAATTTTAAGATCTAGTAAAGAGAATCCTTCCGGTTCTTATGGGGACAAACATTTCATAATATAAATTTTAAAATTAACAAAGATTAAAAAGAAAAGATCAGCCTGTTTGTTTCTTCTCACCCAGTGATGCTTTTCCTACAAGGACAAAGAGATCTGTAAAGAAAAATCTTATGCTAAGTCTAGGAAACCAGTCTTCAGGGCTTCATTGAAGTAGGGAAAGACAGCAATTCCCAATCTGGAGTCTTCCCCAAAGACTGCTGTTTCTAGTTCCTTGAGCCAGAAATCACTGCCTTCAAGACAGCAAAAAGAGAAAGAAAAGTTCTGAGCCAGGATTAAAAAGGTACAATATCAAATATTTTCTTTTCTTTTATTTATTTACCTTTTTTGAGACAGAGTCTCGCTCTATGCCCAGGCTGGAGTGCCATGGTATGATCTCAGCTCACTGCAACCTCCACCTCCTGGGTTCAAGCGATTCTCCTGCCTGAGCCTCCCAAGTAGCTGGGACTACAGGTGCACACCACCATGCCTGGCTAATTTTTTCTATTTTTAGTAGAGACGGGGTTTCACCATGTTGGCCAGGCTGGTCTTGAACTCTTGACCTCAGGTGATCTGCCCTCCTCAGCCTCCCAAAGTGCTGGGATTACAGGCGTGAGCCACCACACCCAGACCAAACTAGAGTATTTTATAAGACCAAATATGAGAAACGAAGTGGAGAAAGGGGGCCTCTTAGGTGCTGCTGGAGGGAGTGTAATTGGAAACACCCTTTCTGGAGGGCAATTTGGAAATACTATCAAAAGTCTTTAAAATGTTCATATTCTTGGAATGAATCCCAAGGAAATAAATAGGCTATACCAAAAGATTTATCCATAGGAATAGTCATTGCAATATTGTTTATAATAGTGGAAAATTGGAAATAATCTTAACATCCAACCACAGACTTGGCAAATCTACTGGTTTAGATTGGTTCAATAATTTACAGGGCATCCATCCATGATGGAATATTATTCAGGCATTAGAAAGGATGATGCAGGAATGAGGTTCTCAGTTAGAGTTCATGGTTCAGGAAATCTCTGAAATTATATGCAGGTTTGTGTGTGTGTGTTTGTGTGTGTTTGTGTGTGTGTGTGTATGTGTACGCACTTCTCGGAGAGAGGATTCTTACGGATTTTCAAATAGTTACCTGACCCAAGAGGGTAAAAAATCACCACTGTAGAAAATATTTAAAGCAGAAAGATGTGGACAACATATTGTTAAGTGAGAGAGAAGGAAGGGTAGGTTAAAGGCAAGGATAATACAATCTCATTTTTATACAAAATGTGCATGTATGTATGTGTGTAGGAAAAAGATGAAAAGGTTACCCACCAAAATGATAATCATGGTTATCTCAGAATGACAGGATTATAGATGATTTTTTCTTTTTCTTTGTTGTATTTTCTGATATTATTACCGTGAATATATATTACTATTATGTTAAAGAAATACTTTTTTTTTCTTTTTATTGAGACGGAGTCTCACTCTATCACCCAGGCTCCCAGGCTGGAGTGCAATGGCGCGATCTCAACTCACTGCAACCTTTGCCTCCCAGGTTCAAGCGATTCTCCTGCCTCAGCCTCCTGAGTAGCTGGGATTATAGGTGTGTGCCACCAAGCCCGGCTAATTTTTGTATTTTTAGTAGAGATGGGGTTTCACCATGTTGGCCAGGCTGGTCTCGAACTCCTGACCTCATGATCCACCCACCTCAGCCTCCCAAAATGCTGGGATTACAGGTGTGAGCCACTGCCCCTGGCCAAGAAATACTTTTTGAAAAAACATAAGATCATGGACCCTGGAACCTGGAACTACATTGCATGGGTCCTAACTTACCAGCAAAGGAATCTACTGTGTGTTTCTTAACTTCTCCAGGCCTTAATTTCCCCATCTTTAAAATGGGGATAATAATAGTTTGTATTAACAGCTATAAAATACCAGGTCCTGACACGAGGTAAGTACTCAGTGAAGGCTGGCTATTGTTAGCAATAAGGTGACACAATGTGGCCTAGCAGAAGATGCATGGGCTATGGAGGTTCATTGTGTTTGGTTTTCATCCCTGGTTTGTGACTCCTTAGCTAGTGATCACTTTGTTTTTGTTTTGTTTTGTTTTTTTTGAGACAGAGTCTCACTCTGTCGCCTAGGTTGGAGTACAGTGGTGTGATCTCAGCTCACTGCAACCTCCTCTGTCCGGGTTCAAGCGATTCTTGTGTCTCAGCCTCCCCGGTAGCTGGGATTACAGGTGTGCACCATCATGCCTGGCTAATTTTTCTATTTTTAGTGGAGATGGGGTTTCACCACATTGTCCAGGCTGATCTTGAACTCCTGACCTCAAACGATCCACCTGCCTCAGCCTCTCAAAGTGCTGGGATTACAGGCATGAGCCACCGTGCCCCTCCATCCCTTAGTATAAGCCTTACTTTTCTCATCTGTAAAATGGACAGCATAATCTCTAACTTGCTGGGTTAGCACTAGAGAGAATAGGGCCAGGTGTGGTGGCTCACACCTGTAATCCCAGCACTTTGGGAGGCCGAGGAGGGTGGATCACAAGGTCAGCAGTTCGAGACCAGCCTGGCCAGTATGGTGAAACCCTGTCTCTACTAAAAATTCAGAAATTAGCTGGGCATGGTGGCAGGAGCCTGTAATCCCAGCTACTTGGGAGGCTGAGGCAGAAGAATCGCTTGAACCCGGGAGGCGGAGGTTGCAGTGAGCCAAGATTGCTCCATTGCACTCCAGCCTGGGTGACACAGTGAGACTGTCTCAGAAAAAAAAAAAAAAAAAAAAGTGCCTTGTGCATAGCAGGGGCTCAAAAAATGATAGAAATGGCCCAAGTAGAGTAGAATTATTTCCTTTGGGAATTGACAATAAATGCTTAGAAAACTAACCCTTTTGCTTTTTTTTCACACTGTTACACAAATCTCATTTACCTCAAGCTAAAAGCACTGCAGTGAAGAGGCTGGCCTATCAAAGGACTTTGAAAAATGCCACATTCCGCATCTAGCCAATTTTGCCACCATAATTACTAAGTGTTACCTATGGCTTTATTATTATGTACCATTCCTGGGATGAATCATTCTTATTTGTTTTCCTGTATCAACTTCAATTTTTCTCCTCTTTCCGGAACTGGGCAGCTGACAACAAAAAAAATATAGCACATTGGCCATTCTCTTCCTGTGCGACTCACCTCCAGCCCCCATGAATTATCTGATTAGCATATTACCTTGACAAGAACCATCATCTCTTCTGAAATTTTCGGAAGTTTTGGTGTTTGCTGGGTATCTATGATGTGCCTGGCCCCATGTGAAGTCTTTTTCATATGTTGTCTGATCTAGGCTATAGGCTGAATCTTCCATTGTCCTCATCCTGCATATCCAACCCACTGGCAATTTCTGTTGGCTCTTATTTCAAAACGTATCCTGAATCCAATCACTTCTCCCCACTTCCATACCCTTGCCTAAGCCATTATCATCTCTCATCCAGATTTTTTGAAAACATAGATTTTTTTTTTTTTTTTTTTTTTTTTGAGACGGAGTCTCGCTCTGTCACCCAGGGTGGAGTGCAGTGGCGCAATCTCGGCTCACTGCAACCTCTGCCTCCTGGGTTCAAGCGATTCTCGTGCCTCAGCCTCCCAAGTGGCTGGGATTACAGGCGTGTACCACCACGGCCGGCTAGTTTTTATATTTTTAGTAGAGATGGGGTTTCACCATGTTGGCCGGGCTGGTCTCAAACTCCTGACCTCAATTGATCCATCTGCCTCAGCCTCCCAAAGTGCTGGGATTACAGGCATGAGCCACTGCGCCCAGCCGAAAACAGATTATTTTTAAGAGCAATTCGAGGTTCACAGCAAAACTGAGTAAAAGGTACAGAGATTTCCCATAAACCCCTTCCCCCAACACGTGCACAGCCTCTCTCATTATTAACATCCCACACCAGAGTGGTACATTTATCACAATCAATGAGCCTACCTTGACACATCATTATCACCCAAAGCCTGTAGTTTACACTAAGGTCATTCTTGGTATTGTACGTTCTATGGGTCGTGACAAATGTGTAATAACATGAATCCACCATTGTAGTATCATATAAAATATTTTCACTGCCTATTTCACTAAACTATTCATAAAATAGTTTAATCCTCTTCTTCTGCCAATTCACCGCTCCCTCCCCCCAACTCCTGGCAACAACTGACCTTTTTACCATCTCTATAGTTTTGCCTTTTCCAGAATGGCATATAGTTGGAATCACACAATATGTAGCCTTTTCAGGTTGGCTTCATTCTCTTAGTAATAAGCATTTAAGATTCCTCCATGTCTTTTCATGGTTTGATAGTTCATTGCTTTCTTTCTTTCTCTTTTGTTTTCTTTTTTCGTTCTTTCTTTCTTTCTTTTTTAGACGGAGTCTCGCTCTGTCGCCCAGGCTGGAGTGCAGTGGCGAGATCTGGGCTCACTGCAAGCTCCGCCTTCTGAGCTCACGCCATTCTCCTGTCTCAGCCTCCCGAGTAGCTGGAACTACAGGCGCCCGCCACCACGCCCGGCTAATTTTTTGTATTTTTAGTAGAGACGGGGTTTCACTGTGTTAGCCAGGATGGTCTCGATCTCCTGACCTCGTGATCCACCTGCCTCGGCCTCCCAAAGTGCTGGGATTACAGGCTTGAGGCACCGCACCTGGCCTTTTTTTTTAAAGATTTTTTTTTAATTTTAATTTTTTTTTAGAGACAGTGTCTCACTCTGTTGCCTAGGCTGGAGTGCAGTGGTATGATCATAGCTTACTGCAGCCTCAAACTCCTGGGCTCAAGTGATCCTTCCACTTCAGCTTCCCAAGTAGCTGGAACTACAGACATGCGCCACCACTTGGGGGTAATATTTTTACTTTTTTAGGGTAAGATCCCCCTGCCTCAGTCTCACAAAGTGCCAGGATTATAGATGTAAGCCATCGTGCCCTGCCAGTTCGTTTCTTTTTAGCAATAAATAACATTCCATTGCCTGGATATACCACAATTAATTTATTCATTCATATGCCAAAGGACATCGTGGTTGCTTCCAAGATTTAGCAATTATAAATAAAGCTGCTATAAACATCTGTGCAAGTTTTTGTGTGCACATAAGTTTTCAGCTCTTTTGGTAAATATTAAGGAGTGCAATTGCTGTATAGTATGGTAAGAGTATGTTTAGTTTTGTAAGAAACTGCCAACTGGTCTTTCAAAGTGGCCATACCATTTTGCATTTCCACTCGGAATGAATGAGAGTTTCTGTTGCTTCACACATTTGGCAGCACTTGATGTTGTCAATGATCTGAATTTTGGCCATTCTAATAAGTGAGTTATCTCTTATTAACTCACTGTATTATCTCTTATTAACTCACAGTATCTCACTGTTTTAATTTTCATTTCCCTAATGACATATGATAGGGAGTATTTTTTCATATAAGGTTTGCCAGCTGTATGTTTTCTTTGTTATGACGTTTATTAAGGTCTTTAGCCCATTTTTAATAGGGCTGTTTGTTTTCTTATTGCTGCATTTTTTGTATATTTTGTATATTCTTTGTATATGTTAGATAACAGCCCTTTTATCAGCTATCTTTTGCAAATAATTTCTCCCAGTCTGTGGTTGTCTTCTCATTCTCTTGACAAGACTTTTAACTAGCAGAAGTTTTTAATTTTCATAAAGTTCAGCTTATCAATTATTTCTTTCATAGATCATGTCTTTGGTGTTATATGTCAAAAGTCATTGCCAAACCCAAGATCATTTAAGTTTTCTCCTACGTTATCTTCTAGGAGTTTTATAGTTTTTCATTTTACATTTAGGTCTATAATCCATTTTGAGTTAATATATGTCACAGGTAAAGGTCTGTGTCTAAGTTAATTTTTTTGCATGTGGATGTCCAGTTGTTACATCACTGTTTGTTGAAAAGACTGTCATTTCTCCACTGAATTGCCTTTGCGGCATTATCAAAGATCAGTTGACTGTATTTATGGGGGTCTGTTTCTGGGCTCTCTATTCTGTTTCATTTATCTAGCTGTCTATTCTTTCATCAATACTTCATTATCTTGTTTACTGCAGGATTGTAGTAAGTGCTGAAGTCTGGTAGTGTCAGCCTCCAACTTTGTTCTTTAATATTGTGTTGGCTATTGTGGGTCTTTTGCCTCAGAATGAATTTTTTGTTATCTACGAAATAACTTACTTGGGTTTTAATAGGGATTCTACTGAATCTATAAATCAAGTTGGGAAGACTTGAGTCTTCCTATTCATGAACATGGAATATCCATTTATTTAGTTCCTCTTTGATTTCTTTCATCAGTTTTCTAGTTTTCCTCATATTGATTTTGCACATATTTTGTTAGATTTATATCTAAGTATTTCATTTTGGGGGGTGCTAATGTAAATGGTATTGTGTTTTAAATCCCATTTATTCATTGCTGGTATATAGAAAAATGATCGACTTTTGTATATTAACCTTATGTCCTGAAACTTTGTTATAATTGCTTATTAGTTTCAGGAGTTGTTTTTGATTCTTTGGGATTCTCTGCATAGACAATCATGTTTTCTGTGAACAAAGATAGTTTTAGCCCTTCCTTCCTAATATATATTTTAATTTTCTTTTTCTTGTCTTATTGCATTAGCTAGGACTTAAGTATGATATTGAAAAGAAGTAGTGAGAGGGGACATTCTTGCCTTGTTCCTGACTTAGCAGGAGCGCTTCTAGTTTCTCACCATTAAGTATAATGTTAGCTGTAGGTTTTTTGCAGATGTTCTTTATCAAGTTGATAAAGTTTCCCTCTGTTTCCACTTTGCTGAGAATTTCCCTTTCTTGATTATGAATGAGTGTTGGGTTTTGTCAAATGCTTTTTCTGCATGTATGTGATCATGTGCTTTTCAAATCAAGGCCTTGCATACCTGGGATAAATTCCACTTGGTTATGGTGTATTGTTCTTTTTACACATTGTTGGATTCACTTTGATAATATTTTGTTCAGGATTTTTGCATCTATGCTTATAAGACATATTGGTTTTTAGTTTTGTTTTGAGACAAAGTTTCGCTCTTGTCGCCCAGGCTGGAGTGCAGTGGTATGGTCTCAGCTCACTGCAAACTCTGCCTCCCAGGTTCAAGCTATTCTTCTGCCTCAGCCTCTCAAGAGTTGGGATTACAGGCATGTGCCACCATGCCTGGATAATTTTGTATTTTTAGTAGAGACGGGGTTTCACCCTGTTGGCTAGGCTGGTCTTGAACTCCTGACCTCAGGTGATCCACCCACCTCTGCCTCCCAAAGTGCTGGGATTACAGATGTGAGTCACCGCACCCGACCATGGTTTGTAGTTTTCTTATAATGTTTTTGTCAGATTTTGGGATTGGAGTAATGCTGGCCTCATTAGAATGAGTTAGAAAGTGCTCCCTCTGCTTCTAGCTTTGAAAGAGATTGTAGAAAATTGGTATAATTTTTTCCTTAAATGTTTGGTAGGATTCACCAGTGAACTCATCTGGGACTACTGTTTTCCATTTTGAAAGGTTATTATTGATTTAATTTGATACAGGCCTACTCAGATAATCTATATCTTCTTGTGTGATATTTTGGCTGACAGTGTCTTTCAATGAATAGTTCCATTTCACCTAGGTTATCAGATAGAGTCGTTCATAGTATATCATTATCCTTTTAATGACTGTGAGATCTATAGGGTAGTACTCTATTTCATTTCTGATATTAGTAATTTGTGTCATCTCTCTTTTTTCTTAGCTAGATGCTTATCAATTTTATTGATCTTTTCAAAGAACCAGCTTTTGTTGTCATTAATTTTCTCTATTGATTTCCTGTTTTCAATTTCATTGACTTCTGCTTTAATTTTTATTTTTTATTTCTTCTGCTTGCTTTGGATTTAAATTGTTCTTTATCTTGTTTCCCAAGTTGGAAGATTAGATGATTGATTTTAGATCTTTCTTCTTTTCTACTATACACTTTTAATGTTATAAACTTCCCTCTAAGTACTGCTTTTGCTGCATCCCATGGATTTTGATAAATTGTATTTTCACTTTCATTTAGTTCAAAAGATTTTTAAAATTTTAAACATTTCTCTTGAGACTTTCTTATTTGACCCATATGTTTAGAAGTGCATTGTTTGATATTTAAGTATTTTGGGATTTTGTCCAGCTACCTTTCCGTATTGATTTCAAGTTTAATCCCATTGAGGTCTGAGAGCAGATGTTGTAAAATTTCATATATATATGAAAGTATACATAAATTTAAATTTGTTGAGGTGTGTTTTATGGCCCAGAACGTGGACTATCTTGGTGAATGTTCCATGTAAGCTTGAGAAGCATGCATATGCTGCTGTTGTTGATGAAGGAGTCAACATATATCAATTACAATCATACACTGTATAACAACAGACCACATATACAATGATGGTCCCATAAGACTATAATACCATATTTTTACTGTACCTTTTTCATATGTACATATGTTTAGATACACAAATATTTACCATTGTGTTATAATTGCCTATAGTAACTTGCTATACAGGTTTGTAACCTAGGAGCAATAGGCTGTACCATATAGCCTACATGTACAGTGGGCTATACCATCTAGGTTTACTTAACAACACATTTCTCATAACATATCCCTGTTGTTAAGTGGCACATGACTGTATATACAGGAGGTTGATGGTACTGTTGAGTTCAATTATGTCCTTTCTGATTTTCTGCCTGCTGGATCTGTCCATTTCTGATAGAGGGGTGTTGAAGTCTCCAATTATAATAGTAGATTCATCTATTTCTCCTTGCAGTTTTATCAGTTTTTGCCTCATGCATTTAGACACTCAGTTGTTAGGTGTGAAAACATTAAGGATTTTTGTGTTGTCTTGGAAAATCATTCTCTTTATCATTATTTAATGCCCCTCGTTACCCCTGATAACTTTTATTTATTTATTTGTCTTTGCTTTGAAGTATCTGTTTGGAATTATATAGCTACTCCTGCTTTCTTTTGATTAGAGTTAGCATGGTGTATGTTTTTCCATCGATTTACTTTTAGTGTATATGTGTCTTTACACTTAAAGCAGGTTTCTTATAGGCAACATATAGTTGAGTCTCGTTTTTGATCCATTCTAAAAATTTCTCTTTCAGTTGGTATATTTAGACTATTGATGCTTAAAGTGATTATTGATATTGATTAATATCTACCATATATGTTACTGTTTTCTATTCATTGCCTTTGTTTGTTGTTACTATGTTGTCTTCCATTGTTTTTTTGCCTTTTGTGGTTTTAATTTAGCATTTTATATAATTTCATTTTCTCTCCCTTATTAGCATATCAGTTATACTTCTTTTTCAGTGCCTCTTGTTTTCTATATACTTCTTTTTTTCATTTTTAGTGGCTGTACTTGAGATTGCAATGTACATTTATCACTAATCCAAGTCCGCTTTCATATAACCTATACCACTTAACAGCTAGTGCAAGTATCTTAAAATAGTCCTAATTCCTCCCTCCCATCCCTTGCATCATTGCTATCTGTATTAGTCCATTTTCATACTGCTATAAAGAACTGCCTGAGACTGGGTAATTTATAAAGGAAAGAGGTTTAATTGACTCACAGTGGAGCATGACTGCAGAGGCCTCAGGAAATTTACGATCATGGCAGAAGGCGAAGGGGAAGCAAGGCACCTTCACCTTCCTTCTTTCGCAGGAAGGAGAAGTGCCAAGCAAAGGGTAAAGAGCCCCTTATAAAACCATCAGATTTCGCGAGAACTCACTCACTATCACGAGAACAGCATGGGGGAAACCACCCCATGGTTCAATTATCTCCACCTTGTCTCTCTCTTGACATATGGAGATTATTGGGATTATAGTAATTAGAAGTCAAGATGAGATTTGGGTGGGGACACAAAGCCCAACCACATCACTCTCGTATCTTTCACTTATACATAAGCATTCATAAATATATATCAAATACATTGCTGCTATAATTATTTTGAACCAACTATTATCTGTTAGATGAATTAACAATAAGAAAAATAAATTTTTATTTTTACCTTCACTTATTCTTTCTCTGATGTTCTTCTTTCTTTATGAAGATCCAAGTTTCTGGCTTATATGATTTTCTGTTCTCTAAAGAACTTCTTTTAACATTTCTTGCAAGGTCTACTGGTGATTTTAGTTTGTCTGAGGAAGTATTTTTCCTTCACATTCGAAGGATAATTTCATAGGGTACAGAATTCTTGGTAGTTTTTTTTCTCTTAACACTAAATATTTCACTCCACTCTCTTCTTGCTTATGTGGTTTCTGAGGAGAAGTTAGATGTAATTCTTATCTTTAATCCACTACAGGTAAGAGCTTTTTTTTTCTCCTCTGGTATCTTTCAGGTTTTTTTCTTATTTTTTTGAGACGGAGTCGCACTCTGTCTCCCAGGCTGGAGTGCAGTGGCACGATCTCCGCCCACTGCAAGCTCCGCCTCCCGGGTTCACGCCATTCTCCTGCCTCAGCCTCCCGAGTAGCTGGGACTACAGGCGCCCACCACCACGCCCGGCTAATTTTTTTGTATTTTTAGCAGAGACGGGGTTTCACTGTGTTAGCCAGGATGGTCTCGATCTCCTGACCTCGTGATCCACCCGCCTCGGCCTCCCAAAGTGCTGGGATTACAGGCATGAGCCACCGCGCCCAGCCAGGTTTTTTTCTGTATCTTTGATTTTCTGCAGTTTGAGTATAATGTGTCTAGGTGCCTTTGTTTGTTTGTGGCTTTAGTTTTTTTTTTTTTTTTTTTTGCATTTATCCTGCTTAGTGTTCTATGAGCTTCCTAGATAGGTGATTTAGTGTATGTCACTAATTTGGGGGAAATCCTTGGTCATTATTGGTTCAAATATTTCTTCTGTTCTATTCTGCCCTTCTTCTCCTTCTAGTATTCCCATCATGCATATGGTGCAGCTTGTGTCGTTGTCCCACAGTTCTTGGATATTCTGTTCTGCCTTTTTCAGTCTTTTCTCTCTTTGCTTTTCAATTTTGGAAAGTTTTATTTTGATATCCTCTAATCAAATATCAAATTCAGTGATTCTTTCCTCAGTCATGTCCAGTCTGCTAATGAGCCCATCACAGGCGTTCTTCATTTCTATTACAGTGTTTTTGACCTCTAGTATTTTTTTGACGCTTTCTTAGAATGTTCATCTCTCTGCGTACATTGCCATCTGTTCTTGAATGTTGTCTACTTTATCCATTAGAGTCCTTAGCATCTTTATCATAGTTGTTTTCAGTTCTCGGTCTGATAAGCCAACATCCCTGCTGTATTTGAGTTTAGTTTTGATGCTTGCTCTTTCTCTTCAAGCTGTGTTTTTTGCCTTTTAATATGCCTTGTAACTTTTACTTCATAGTCAGACATGATGTACTGGGTAAAAGGAAAAGTGGTAAATAGGTCTTTACTAGTGTAATGGTCAGATGTTGGGGGAGGGGAAACATTCTATAGCCCTATGATTAGGTCTCACTCTTTTCTGTTCTGTGCCTCTAGACTGAACTTCACAAGTGCTTCTCAGTCTCCACCCCCAGCCCCACCTGCCAACATTAGATGGAAGAGGATGGCTACAGTGGGCTGGAGCTGGGTATTTATTTTTCTTCCTCTGGGTCAGTTAGGCTCTGAAAAATATCTAATAGTTTAAGCTCTGGTAACATAGTTCCTCTTGAGGGCAGGCTTTGTTAGAAGAATAGGGTGCCTTGGAGGATTTCAAAATGGTTACTTCCCCCTCACCTTTTCCAAATGCATGAGGGGATTTTTCTCCACTATTCATTATGGGAAGCTGGTAGAACTCCCAGAAGTAAAGCTCAAAAAAGTGTAGGTACCCTTCTGTGACTGGGTTCCCTGGAGTGTTTAACTCTCAGACTTGTCCACATTGAGCCTCTAGTAATTCATCAATTACACTTTAGGTTTTCCATTCCTGGCACTGGTTCCTGCTGAGGTTTCAGCTCTATATTTGCCTGTTTGTCTCTCCAAATTTTAGGACTAGGAGCTTTCTCCATGACTTTACTTTTCTAATAGATCTAAGAAGCGTTGTGGATTTTTCAGTTTGTTCAGCTTTTTACTTGTTAAGACATAGTGGTGACTTCCAAATTCCTTACATGCTGGGTCAGAAACCAGAAGTCTCATCTGTATTTTTGCGATAGCCTCCTCCACAGCATAGCAGCTCAAATATGCCTTTAAAATATAAATTAGATTATGTTACTTTCCTGCTCAAAACTGTCCAGTGGCTCCCCAGGTCACTCAAAGCAAAAGCCAAAGTACTGGGCCTACCAGCCCCTACATACCTGCCCCATCTCCAACACTCTGCCTGGAGCTCCTTCTCTCCAATAACAAGATCTCCTCCAGCCATACTGTCTGCCTTGCCAATCCTTGAACCAGATATGCTCTCATTGCCAGACCTGTGCACTTAAACTTTTCCCTCTGCCTGGAATGATCTTCCCCTAGGCTCCTGCATAGTCCAGTTCTTCCCTTCTCTTGGCTCTTGATTCAAATGTCATCATCATAGTGAGGTTTTCCCTAATCCCCCTACAGATTCTAGTAACTCCTTCACAATCACCCCTGGGCTTCTTCCCCTGCTTTATTTTCTCCATAGTATTTATCACTCTCTGATTCACCATATAATTTACTTTAAAAAGAACTTAATTTTTTCCCTCACCAGAATGTAAGGCTCATGAGGACCAGGGTTTTTAATCTGTATTGCTCCCTGTTGTAACCTCAGTGCATATGATAAGTCCTCAATAACTATTTACTTTATGGATTATTATTGTACTTATCTAGATGAGTCAAGGAATGGTTGTGGTCACGGTTCAAACTCAGGTTTTCCTGACTCAGAGCCCGTGTTCCGAATGACTATACTACATTGCCACTCAATTCCGTGTTGAATATTGAATATCTGATGCATTCTTCCAAATGGCTATTACCTACACTCTGACAGTTTTCTATTTCTTGGCTCTCACTGGAGTTGATTTTTCTGAGTTAGGAAGAACTCTCTATGAGCTGCATCCTAATATTTCCTCAAGATAATTGCATTGCAAAATAGGCTGAAATAAGACCGCTCACTGCATTACCTGCAGGACTCTCTCCTCTGCCTCGCTTCACTGCAGCCTGTCTGCCAGCTAAGGTCAGAACTGCACTGCTTCTGGCCAAACATAATCTCAGGTTAAGTAGTCAATATCATGTGATCTTAAAAAAAAATTTATAAAAACCCAAACAGACTGATAAGATTCCTCAACTTTGCATGTTTTATAGCCTTCAAAGTGCCTTTAAGTGCATAATCTATTTTGATGCTTATAATGACCTGCTGGACAGGTCACTGGTTAGCTCGTTGCTTGGATGAAGAAAGGCAGGTCACAGTTAGTGGCAGTGCTAGAACTAGAAGACCTCAGATCTTCTGACCCAAGAAGCCCAATTCCTCTTCAAGCTGAGAGCCCTCCAGTTGATTTCTGTACTGTTTATCACCAGCTTTAGTTTACAGTTCTGATACCTTTTATTCATACACAGCACCTGGAATCTTGATGGTTAAAATGAATTGTTTAAGTGGGGAGAGACTAGGTGTGTTTTGGACATGTGTAGTTTTTGGCTGCCCAGCATCCATGCTACCTTCTTTTGGTAACAACCCCAATTTCAGTTTTGGACAATTACTTGTGTCCTATTGGTTGCAGTCTTAGTTGGGCTGTCAGTCAACATGGTGAAGGAGAGGGCATTTTACTCAAGCCAAACCAATCAGATTCAAGGAGTTGAGATCTGAACTTAAATGGCAGAGGGATACAAGAAGGTTGTGTAAGAAGCAATTTCCTACCAAGATGGCTGATTAGCTCCTATTCCAGGACATCTCTGGAATAGGAGCCAATTGTTCCCAGCTTTTCCAGCCCCATTCTCAGCTGTCTCTGGATTCTGTGGGTTGGCCCATTCTCCCAATACATCCTTTTGCTTAAGTTAGTGAAGATTTGTTTCTGTTGCTTGCAACCAAAGAGTCCTGCCTGGAGTAGGGAAGAATTATGGAAAGCCTGGCCTCCTTCAGCAAGACTGGACCCTCTTCTGTGAAGACAGGCTGGGGCTTGTGAGTGTGCTGTGGTGCTCTCCGTGGTCAGTGGGTCAATGTTAGCTTGCTGGCTTCTTGCCTGGGACCTCATGGCCTGTCACGGATGTGGGAGCTGGCAAGGCCCTTCAGCAAATCAGAGGAAGGTTCAGGTTGAGGAAGATGTGAGTAGAATGGGTCTTTTGAGGTGCTCCTCAAGGACTAGAGGAGGGGAGAACAAGGAGGCTCAGGTGTCTTAATGGAGCTGTAGGGGTGTCCAGGTGGGAAGAATGAGACCCAAATTTGGAAAACAGCTTTTTGCTTTGCTCAGAAAGTTTGGTGATGGTCAAGACTTCCATGTTGTTTCAGGCCTCCTAAGTCTCATATTTTAAATAAATAGTAAAGCCATTTGACAATTATGATGAAATTCTTGTATGTTAGATAAATAGTAAAGTCATTTGACAATTATGATGAAATAGGGAATGGCATGGGTAGATGAAAGCACAAGTCGTTGCTACCCCAACCCCCAACATACAGAGAACACAGACTTACTCATGGGTGCCTCTTGCCCACTTTTGCTTCTTTACTCTCTGGTCTTGCCTGCTGGTTTCAGTGCCAACCACACACCTTCTCTGCCATAGACAAAGTTTGTTGAGTTTCCCTTTGCTCGCTCTCATGGGCCAGATTTACAGCACTGAACTCTTCCCTCCAGGCACTCGTTGATATTTGTCAGGAAATTAGTGCGCTCTGAGAGCCCACTCTGTGTTAGGTGTGGCGGCAAGCCCTTTCCCATTGAGTGTATGAGCCCATTTAATTTGCATAGCAACTTTGTGAGGTAGAAGTAGTATCCTTGTTTGCAGATGAGGAAATTGAGCAACAGAGAGGTTAAATAATTTATCTAAGCTAGATCACATAGCTGACAAGTGGCAGAGCCAAGTCTTGAAACTTAACTTGACCAATTCCAAAGCTTTTCAGGAGTCCTGAGATTTAATCCTAACTCTGTTGCTTACTAGCTCTGTGACTATCTCTGCAAATAAACCTCTTAAGTCCTGGATTCTTTTATTGATAAATATAATGGCAGAGATTGGAGGTGGAGATTGGTACCACATTCTTTGCCAACCTAGCTAATTGATTAGTGCCTGTCAGGAGGGCTGTGTGGACAAGGATTCAAAAGCTATGCTGAGTTCAGTAGGAAAGAGCTCTGTGATCACTTAGTGATGTCTGCATGAGCCCAGAAGAGAGCATAGGCTGCATTTAGGTCATATGTTAGCCATCCTGTGATCATGAAGTATTTTAGGCTGCTAAATGTCACGATTCTTTGATTTAAACATCCTGACCTTTTAAAATAAATAAGCCCATCCTGACTGTATTCTTTTCTGTCCTCCTTTTGTTTTTCCTCTGGTTAGGTCCTCTCAGTTTTTCACACCTATCCAAAATCCATCATCATGGACTAATTAATCGAATTACTAAAGGATCTCCTTCTCCTAGCCTAGGCAGCATAAGTATATCTGTTATCTATTGCTATGTAACCAACCATGTCAGAACTTAATAGATTAAAACAAAAATGATTGATTTCTCATGGCTGACTGGGGAGCTTTTCTCCACATGCTGTTGGCTGGGGTCTCTCATGAGCCTACATTGAGTTGAGAACTTGACTGGGGACCTTGATTCTCCACTGCGTGGCCTCTCTCGCTTGTGGTGTCTCTAGTGCAACTCCATGTGGCCTCTCTCTCTCCATTAGGATAGCTTGCATGCAAGAGGGTGTGCAAACCATAAGCCTCGGTCTGTATCACACTTGCTACTGTCCAAGACTCTGGATAACTGTAGAGTCAGGATTGGAATGTATTCCACAAGGGCCTGACTACCAGGAGTCATGGTTCACTGGGGCTGCCAATGTAGCAATCTATCATCATAAGCAATTTCAAATATTCTCAGGGATTCCTACCACACATGGAAGTAGTCACGAAGCACTTATTGATGTGCTAGGTGCTGAGTTATAAGAGTTATAAGACAGGATGTCTGCTTTTGTGGTGTTTCCAGTTCAGTAGATAATATAGAACATACTCCAAAAGAATAAAGCAATACAAGTTAGTGGGATAAGCTTTCAAAATACAGTTATATTTCCCCAAATTTCATTGTGGATCAATTGTTTGGAATATTTTTACATAAACAAAATTGTTGGGCCACAAATACATTGTGGCTGAGCCACAAATTTAACTCATAATATAGATACACTGTGGTAGGGTTTCCCAAACATCACACATTAATGCACTGAGTTCATGATTTTTGCCATCAACATGTGCACTGGAACTTTTATTTACTTAATATTCTCCTTTGATTCAACTTATTTTTTAACACTTAAAGAATTTTGTTTTAAAATAAAGTGTTATATCACTGCTATAAAAGCAAAACCAGTATTATTTGCCATAAATATAAGCTAGCCATATGAGTAAGTTCAGCTAAAATGGAAAATAGTGATAATATTAAATCCTGGTAAGGATGTAGAGAAACTGGATCTCTCATACGTTGCTGGTGGGAATGTAAAATGATAGCGCCATTTGGGAAAATAGTTTGGCAGTTTCTTTTCAAAACTAAAAATGGACTTACCATACAACACAGCAATTACACTTTTGGACATTTATTTCAGAAAAAAGAAGATGTTTTCTTGTAGGAACTTGTACATGAATATGCATAGCAGCATTCAGAATAACCAGAAAACTGGAAATTAACCCAAATGTCCTTCAATATGTGAATGGCTAACTGTGGTACATCCATACCTTGGAATACTACTCAGCAATAAAAAGGAATGAACTATTAATACATGCAACAATGTAGAAGAACCTGAAGGAAATTATGCTCAGTGAAAAAAAGCCAGTCTCAAAAGGTTACAGACTATATGATTCCATTGATGTATTTTTAAAAGGGTAAAACTTTAGAAAAGGAGAGCAGAGTTTAGGGATGAGGGGGAGAGGAAGGGTGTGATTATAGAAGGGTAACCAAGGGAGTGTTGAGGTTATGGCATAGCTGAGTATCTCAATTTGGGTGGTAGTTGTGAAAGGCTGCACATATTGATAAAAATCACCTACAACTACACATACACACACAAATGAGTGCATGTAAAACTGATGAAATCCAAGTGAGTTTTTTTTTTTTTTTTTGAGACAGAGTCTTTCTCTGTTGCCCAGGCTGGAGTGGAGTGGTGCAATCTCAGCTCACCACAACCCCTGCCTCCCAGGTTCAAGCGATTTTCCTGCCTCAGCCTCCTGAGTAGCTGGGACTAAAGGTGTGCGCCACCATGCCCAGCTAATTTTTGTATTTTTAGTAGAGACGCGGTTTCACCATGTTGACCAGGCTGGTCTTGAACTTCTGACCTCAGATGATCTGCCCACCTAGGCCTCCCAAAGTGCTGGGATTACAGGCATGAGCCACCACACCTGGCCAAATCCAAATAAGTTCTATGGATTGTACCAGTACCAGCTTCTTAGTTTTGATATAGTACAACTGTTGTAAGATGTTAACATTGGAGGAGATTGGGAGTAGGGTGCATAGGACTTCCTTGCATATTTCCTTGCAACCCTCCCGAATCTAAAATTATTTTTTTACTTAAAGAAATTAAAACAATTTAAAAAGTTAGCATACTTTTTTTTTTTTTTTTGAGACGGAGTTTCACTCGTTGCCCAGGCTGAAGTGCAATGACACAACCTCAGCTCACCGCAACCTCCGCCTCCCGGGTTCAAGTGATTCTCCTGCCTCAGCCTCCCAAGCAGCTGGGACTACAGGTGTGTGCTACCATGCCTGGCTAATTTTGTATTTTCAGTAGAGACGGGGTTTCTCCCTGTTGGTCAGGCTGGTCTTGAACTCCCAACCTCAGGTGAATCCGCCCGCCTAGGCCTCCTAAAGTGCTGGGATTACAGGCGTGAGCCACTGCGCCTGGCCAAAACATGTCAGCATACTTCTTAAAATACCTAAAATCTCTTCAGTTATCACCAGCGTGACATGGACTACATAGTGGAATACTGATGTTTGGCTGTAAGAGAACTAATCTAGGTTTGAGGAATGAGAGCAGGGCACTACAGAGTATTGGAAAGGGTAATAACAGTAAACACTTACACAGTGCTTACTGTGTGCCGGGCACTCTTCCAAACCTTTTCCAGATACTCATTCATTTAATTCTTATAATGACTCTGTGTGGGAAGTGTTAGGTTCTATGGAAAACAGATATTTAGGAAGAGATTTGCATGCAGGAAGTGGGGATGCTCTCAGGAACAAAATCTGTGGAGGGCAAAGGACACCAGATTAGGCAGAGGGAGCTGAACTGTTCCGCAGTTATGGCAGAGATCTCATGTGTAAAGATCTTCACACCTGTGCACAGTCCCATAGATTCATCCACCTATCTCTTTCCCAGATCACCTTGTCCCTAATTTTCCAATCTTTCTCTCTCCAGACCCTTGACCAACAAATCAAGCCAATAACTCCTGCCCATGATTCTGTATATATTCTTACCTCAGGCCACTTTTCTTTGCCCACAAAGTAGATGACCCAAGTCTTTTCCCACCATAGATGCCACAGAGCCACTTGCACCACAGCTTATGCCCGCTGTGGAGCCCTTTCTTGCCCTGGGCCCTCTTAGTGACAACTTTCCTTGTCACTAAGTAAATGGGTTGGAATAATATTCTCAAGTGTGCTACATGCTTTTTCCAGAACCTGGAAAGGTCTATGAGGTTGTGGTAGGCAGCCTCTAAGACGATCCCCAATGATCCCTGCTTCCTGACATTCACTCCCTGGGTATTCTTCTCCCTTTGAGTGTGGACTAGACTTGGTGGCTCCTTTTTAATGAATAGAAAATGGCAGATGTGATGGAATGGCGCTTCCAAGATTAGGGTACAAAAAGACTATGGCTCTCATCTTGGATCTCTCTCTCTGTCTGTCTCTCATCACTACCTGCTATGTTGCGAGGACACACAGAACACATGGTGATTTACCAAGGTCTATCAGCAACTGCAGGAATGAGCTTGGAAGCAGATTTAAGGCCTGCAACAGCCATGAGCATGAGCTTAAAAGCATATGCTTTCAACCAATACCTCGACTACATCCTCATGAGGGTCTCAGGGTCCCATTCTTCCCGATCAGGTCCCTGACCTTGGTATAGCAGATCTGCTGCACTTGAGAATTCACTCTTCTTTGGAGTCTCATCGCTTTTATAATTTAAGTTCTGGGCTTGATCCTTAGTTTTCTCTGCCCTCCAGTACAGGAGATCAGTCTCTTTATACACTACCAAAGATATCCTCAAGCGCTTACACTTTGCCTTATATTGGTAATTAATCATTCTGGGCCTTTCATTGTCTTTCTGCAATGAAACTATGCACCCACCACCCCCAGCAACGGCCATCTCATTCTACAGTCTTTACAAATGCTATTTATCCAGAACCTCTCAAATGCTTGATGTGCTGCAGCCCCTAGTACATTAATATCTACCTGTATCCCATGCCAGCTCATCACCAGCGAAAGTGTTAGCAATTGCACCCTAACCGCATGCTGGGGGCTGCCACTGTTCCACCTACTGTTCGTAATGGGGTCCTCAGAACCAGTCAGCCGGTGAGCAGCACAGCTCCCAAATCCCATTTCTGAGACTGCTGTCTTAGGCCAACTAACTGCTGTTGTAGGTCAGGTTTCCTGGGAAACAGACTCAGAAGCAGAGATTTGCGTGTAGGCAGTTTACTGAGTTTTGGGAACAACACCTGTGAGAAGGAAAGGAGACTGGATTGGGTAGAGAGAGAGGTTGGGCTCTGATGCAGTCACAACAGAGGCTTCAGGAGATTCTACGGGGAGATCAGAAACTGGGATGGCCCTTTGGAGATGTCCAATCGAGATGAGGAAGCCAGGCCTTCGTACGCCCCACTGACTTGTCATTGGATGCAGGATGCCCCAGCGAGGGGATCTCATCTTGGGCAATGCAGCTTCCTTCGGTTGAGGGCAATCCCTAGAAGAGACTCCGTTGTGAGCAGTCCGCAGCTAACACTCCTTGCAGCTGAGGGAATAAGTAACCTAGTTCTGAAGGAGAGGCTGGGAGGCATAACCACACTCCACTCCAGTGAGTGCTGTTACTCTACCCCTTTTAGAGATAAGTAAAACTGAGACACGGAGTAGGTAAGTAACTTCCCCAGCCAGGGAGTAACAGAGCCAGGGCCCATGCTCTGATGCCTCTCCAGGAGGAGGAAGAAAAGGAAGATCCTTCCTCCATTCCTGGGATCATGGCCAAGTCAAGGAACAGGTTAGACAGGCTAAGTCTGCTTTTTATATTCTAGGGTCTCCATACTGGTGCCCTTTTCTCTCTTCTTAGAGTTTTCTTCCCAGACCTCAGCCTCGAAGGCATGGCAGGGAGCATTTCGGGCTTGGGAGTGGAGATGATGTTGTCTGGGTGGGAGTAGGAATGACTGGTGTTGAGGCAATGACTAGACTGCAAAAAAAAAAAAAAAAATTTGAAAGTCAAGTTGAGGGAAGTAAAGTGAGATCATGAGGCTAAGGTCAACTATGGGGGTCTGAATAGTCAAGCTAAGGAATTTGAACACTACTTTATGCACAGTGATGAGGGGAGTGGAGGGTTCTGAGTAGAAGGGGGTGGGTGAGAATGATGTTCACAGCGTTGCTGAAGGAAGATTTTAATGTGTCCCGGGGCTGTGGATGAACTGGTGGCAGAGACTGGAGGCAGGGAAGTCTGTTAGGAGGCTGCAGCAACAGTCTGAGAGCCGGGAGGAAGCAGAGACAGTGAGAAGAGCAAAGAGAATGCTAGGCTAGGCATGCTGAGGCAACAATGTCAGCAATCCAAGCACGTTAAAGGTGATCATCTTAGGAGATACCAACATGGACAACAGGACCTCAAGTGTGCCCCATAAAGGACCCTACAGCAAAGCTTCATTGAGATGAAAGCATTCAAGGGCTTACTATGGAAAGGAGAGCAGAAATTGCTTTCCCCCAGTGGAAGTGTAAGCACCCACGTGACAACTAATACATGAGTACAGGAGGGCACGTGGGTACATGGGTGACTATTTGTCAATCTAGGTAAGGATTTTATTTAAAAACACTGATATGGTAATGCTGTGTGCCAGGCACTGTTCTCTATGTGAAGATCAACTCAATCATTTATTGTCACTGCAATTCTGTTACGTAGGTGTTATGGGAAAACTGAGGTTCAGAGAGGTTAAGTAATTTGCCCAAGGTTACCCAGTATTTTGGTCAGCTTAAACTGTTATAACAAAATACCATAAGGTGGATGGCATATAAACAGACATTAATTTCTCCCAGTTCCGGGGGCTGGAAATCTGAGATCAGGCTGCCGGCATGGGCAGGGGCTGGTGGGAGCCTCTTTTGGGCTGCAGACTGCCCACTTCTTCTTGTATCCCTGCGTGGTGGAAAACCAGCAAGGGAGCTCTCTGGGTTAAGGTTACCAATCCAATCACGAGGGTTCCACCCTCCTGACCTAATTATCGCCCACAGTCTCCACCTCTTAACACCATCATATTGAGGGTTAGGATTTCAGCATAGGAATTTTGGGGGAATGCACACATTCATTCCATAACATCTAGTAAGTGGAAGAACCAGGATTCAAACCCAGGCGCTGTCTCCATATTTCACACCACTAACCACCCTGCTGTGCTCAGGATGCCCTGTGATGCACTATGATAAAAATGAAAGTGGAAGCCAAGCACAGTGGCTCAAGACTGGTAATCTCAGCAATTTGGGAGGACCAGGTGGGAGGGTCACTTGGGCCCAGAAGTTCGAGACCAGCCTAGGCCACATAGTGAGATCCCATCTCTACAAAAATTTAAAAATAAAAAAAATGAGCTTGGCATGGGGCCTGTGCCTGTGGTCCCAGCTACTTGGAAGGCCAGGGTGGGAGGATCATTTGACTCTGGGAGGTGGAGGCTACAGTGAGCCGTGATCGCGCCACTGCACTCCAACTTGGGTGACAGAGTGAGACCCTGTCTCAAAAAAAGAAAATAAAAAGTGGGGATAAAAAGATAATAATCGCCAACTTACTGGTAAGTCCAGTTGAACTTTAAATATTGCCAAGATTTCTAATTTTTATTTTTGAGCCTATTGCTTCCACATTTTTACCTGTGACTTCATCTTGTCTTCTCTCTCTCAGATTTTGGATTCATAAACACCTTTGGGGAAGCCACGCCCATCGCTCTGTCTTGGGCTTGATCATGATCAGAACAGCCTGAAATAATCCCATACATCCACAATGACAAACGGTGGAGCATCTTAGTATTAGGGGGTTAGTCACTTACTCTTTCCTTAAGTGCTTCCTTTGTTCATATGGAAAACAACTATAGAACACCTTCCCTGTGTGGTCACTGGGCTGAAGATTAGAAATACAGAGAAGAGGCCGGGTGCATGGCTCATGCCTGTAATCCCAGCACTTTGGGAGGCCAAGGCAGGTGGATCACCTGAGGTCAGGAGTTCAAGACCAGCCTGGCCAACATGGTGAAACCCCATCTTTACTAAAAATACAACAAATTAGCTGAGCATGGTGGAGGGTGCTTGTAATCCCAGCTAATCGGGAGGCCAAGGCAGGAGAATCGCTTGAACCCGGGAGGTGGAGGTTGCAGTGAGCTGAGAGCACACCATTGCACGCCAGCCTGGGCAACAAGAGCGAAATTCTGTCTCAAAAAAAAAAAAAAAAAGAAAGAAAAATAAATACAGAGAAGGATAAGGCTTGGCCCCTGTGCTTGAGGGGTTTGTAGTCTGAGGGACTCTGGTCACCCCAGGTCCCCCACCCAGAATTCTAAAAGCAATTGGCAATAGGGAGGCAGGGGAACATTCTATGGCTGTTGGAAGCAGCCGGGGGTGGGGTGGAGTTGATGGTACTGGTATAAGGAGGAGAGTGGGGCAGTTATGCCGTAAGGGGAAATGTGAAACCTTGTCTTGATACACTTCTCAACCGGACCCTCAAATGCTTATCAGCTATTTTCTCACAGTCTTGGAAGAAGCCCGGGGGTGGGGGCGTATTTTATTGACATTTTGATATATCCATGAAAGAGTTAGGTGGTTTGCTCAATGTGCGTAGAATTCTCTGTCCTCCAATTTCATCAAGTACATTTCTATCCTTAAGAAGTGCTTGATAGAGAAACGAGTATATACAACATATATCTAAGTACAAAGTACAAAGCATACATCATAAAATGAACATTTATAAACTGCCCAACTTAATAACATTTCCAATTCTGTTGGCTACCTGTGAACTCCTCCCTAATCCCGCCCCCTGCCTACCTCCCAGAAGTAACTGCTGTCCTGGATTTTGTGTTTATCATTTCCTTGCTTTTTAGGATAGTTTCATCACACATATGGGACCCTAAACAATAGATTGTTTAGTTTGGCTTACTTTTTTAGATTTATAAAAATGGTTTCCTTCAGTGTAGAGTAGCTGTGACTTGCTTTTTGCATTTCACATTGTATCTCTAAGATTCTTCCAAATTGCCGAGTGTAGCTGTACTTCATTTTCACAGCTGTTGATTAATTCATTCAATAAACATTGATTGGGTCCCTGTAATATTCTATTAAGTACATATATCACAATTTCTTTATATAGTCTCCTATCAATGAATGTTTATGTTGTTTGTGTGTGTGTGTGTGTGTGTGTGTGTGTGTGTGTGTGTGTTTGCCTTTGTCAGTAATGCTACTGGGAACATCCTTGTACATGGCTCCTGAAACATATGTGTAAGATTTTTCTCAAGAGCACTGGTTTTCCAATTGGGATTCATGGCCTTTAGTGGGTCATAAAATCAATTTGATAGATTCAATCAGTGCTTAAAAAAAAGAAAGACAGAAACAGAGCAGAAACTGAGTTCCTTTCATGTATAAACCGAGTTCCTTTCTAAGTATCTCCATGAAACTTTTGTTTCAGTTACGTTTGTGTATCCTGGGTTATGATGTGAAGGGATTTTCTTTTTTTTTTTTTAATTTTCTTTCTTTCTTTTTTTTTTTTTTTCCGAGACGGAGTCTTGCTGTGTTGCCCAGAACTGGAGTGCAATGGCACGATCTTGGCTCACTGCAACCTCTGCCTCCCAGGTGCAAGCAATTCTCCTGCCTCAGCCTCCCGAGTAGCTGGGATTACAGGTGCACACCACCACGCCCGGCTAATGAGATTTTCTTACTATAGTTCATAGAAAAGTTTGAAAGCACTTGCTCTAGGGTGGTGCTTCTTAAACTATCTATGTGAGTTTTAAAATTTTTTCCAATCTGTCACAGACTGATACTTTTGTAAAATACAACAAAAATTAACTACTTGGAAAATGAAATTTTAAGAATTCAAAGACATACAAAATATAAACCTGAATTTTTAATTATTATATTCAACAGACATAAATTATAATCCAATGAATATAGTGTGGCAGTTTTTCACAAAAGACAAAATATGGAAGCAACCCGAGGGTCCATTGATGGATGAATGGATAAACAAAATGTGGTAGAAACATACAATAGAATATTACTCACCCTTTGAAAGGAAGTAAATTCTGACACATGCTACAACATGGATGAACCTTGAGGACATGAGGCCAAATGAAATCAACCAGTCACAAAGGGACAAAGCTACATGATTCCACTTATATGAGCACTTAGAGTAGTCAAGATCATAGAGACAGAAAGTAGAATGGTGGCTGATAGGGGCTGGGAGAAGGGGAAGTTGTTGGTACATGTATCAGTCTGTTCTCACGCTACTAATAAAGACATACCCGAGACTGCGTAATTTATAAAGGAAAGAAGATTAATTGACTCACAGTTGAGCATGGCTGGGGAGGCCTCAGGAAACTTACAATCATGGTGGAAGGAGAAGCAAACACATCCTTCTTTACACGGAAGCAGCAAGGAGAAGTTCTGAGCCAAGCGGTGGTGGGAGGGGAAAGCCCTTTATAAAACCAGCAGATCTCGTGAGAACTCACTCACTATCACGAGCACAGCATGGAAGTAACTGCCCCCATGATTCAATTACCTCCCACTGGGTCCCTCCCACAACATGTGGGGATTATGAGAACTATAGTTCAAGATGAGATTTGGGTGGGGACACAGCCAAACCATATCAGTATGTAATTTCAGTTTGGGAAGATAAAGTTCTAGAGATGCATGGTGGCGATGGTTGCGTGACAATGTGAATGTACTTAATGTCACCAAATTGTATGCTTAAAATGGTTAAAATGGTCAATTTTATGTTATGGATATTTCACTATGATGTTTTAAATGTCTAAACAAATAAATATAGTGTGTCAGTATCAAGTTGCTATGAACTTTTTTACATGCTTACTCTTTCTGTATTTCTATCAGATTCTTCACATATCAGCACCAGGACCATACTTTGAGTAGCGTTGCTTCAGGCTGTACATCTAAGAACAGATCAACTGGTGTATAGGCTAGGCACATGTTTACCTTTACAAGATAATCCCAAATTGTTTTCCAAAGAGGCTCTGCAATTTTATACTCCCAATAGCAGGTGTATTAAGAATTTTCTTTGCTCCTCATCCTTGCCAATACTTAGAACTGTCAGAATTCTTAATGTTTGCCAATCTGGTGGGTGTAAAATAGTATCTAGTTTTGGTCTTATTTGCATTTCCCTGATTATTAATAAACTTGAGCATCTTTTTATATGTTTATTGACTAGTTGTGTTTTTTATTTTGTGAAATGCCTGTTTAAATCTTTTGCTCATTTTTCTACTGGGCTGTTGGTATTTTATTATTGATTTGTAAGAGTTTGTTTAATCAACAAATATTTACTGAGCACCTGCTATGTGCCAAGCACTCTTGTGTATTATGTATGCAGTGAGCAAAATACACCAAAATTCCTGGTCTCATTTCAAAGTTTATAGTCTATTGGGGACAGCAGGAGGCAGGCAATCAAATCATTTAGTTAAATAGGTAGTATGTATGGCAATGATAAATGTTGAGGTTAAAAATAAGGCAGGAGCTGGGCATGGTGGCTCATGCCTGTGATCCCAACACTTTGGGAGGCTGAGGAGGGCGGATCACTTGAGGTCAAGAGTTCAAGACCACACTGACCAATATGGTGAAACTCCATCTCTACTAAAAATACAAGAGTTAGCCAGGCATAGTGGCACATGCCTGCAGTCCTAGCCACTCGGGAGGCTGAGGCAGGAGGACTGCTTGAACCCAGGAAACTGAGATTGCAGTGAGCCGAGACTGTGCCACTGCACTCCAGCCTGGGCAACAGAGCAAGACTCTGTCTAAAAAAAAAAAAAAAAAGGCAGGAAAGGCAATAGGCAGGGAGTGGTGCAGGGAGTGGTGGTGAGCTTTGCAATTTTTGAACAGTGGTCAGGAAAGGTTTTTTGAAAAATATGACATTTGAGCAAAGATCCTGAAAGAGATGAAGACATGTGCAGATAGATGGCTATAGGAAGGGTTGATTATATATTTATTTGTCAGTTACATGCATTACAGATACCTTCTCCCACTTTGTGGCTTGCCTTCTCACTTTCTTGAAGATGTATTTTGAAAGAAGTTCTTATTTTTAATATACTGTATCAGTCTTTTATTTTATGGCTAGTACATTTTGTACCTTGTATAGAAAATCTTTACCTGTCCAACATCATAAAGGAATTCCATATTTTCTCTGAAAGTTTTAGAGTTTTGACTTGTACATTTTGCTTTTAATTTATACAGAATTTACTTTTGGAGACGGTATGATATAGGGATCTATCTTTCCCCCCATGTGAATAACAAATTGTGGGTACCACTTACTAGATAATCTATTCTTTTCCTGTGGTCTGTGATGCCATCTTTGTCATAAATCAGGTTTTTATATATGTGCAGATCTGCTTTGGGGGATTCTGTTCAATTCCATTTGTCAATGTGTTTGTCCCTATAGCTATACCACACTCTATTACTTACTATGACTTTATATTATGTTTTTATACATGAAGACTTGGTTACTCTTAGGACTCCATCCTTCCATATATATTTTAGAATTAGCTGCTTGCCAAGTTCCTTGAAAACCCTCTTGAGATATTAACTAGAGTTCAGTTGACTCTGTAGATCAATTTGAAGAGAATTGACATCATTTCTTTCTTTCCCTTCCCTCTCCTCTCCTCTCCTTTTCTTTCTTTCTTTCTTTCTTTCTTTCTTTCTTTCTTTCTTTCTTCCTTCCTTCCTTCCTTCCTTCCTTCCTTTCTTTCTTTCTTTCCTTCCTTCCTTCCTTCTTTCTTTCTCTTTCTTTCTTTCTTTCTTTCTTTCTTTTCTTTCTTTCTCTCTCTCTCTTTCTTTCTTCTTTCTTTCTTTCTTTCTTTCTCTCTCTCTCTCTCTCTCTCTCTCTCTTTCTTTCTTTCTTTCTCTCTCTCTCTCTCTTTCTTTCTTTCTTCTTTCTTTTTGTGACAGGGTACAGGCTGGAGTGCAGTGGCACAATTACGGCTCACTCCAACCTCTGCCTCCTGAGCTCAAGTGATCCTCCCACTCAGCCTCCTGGGTAGTTGGGACTACAGGCATGCACCACCACACCCAGCCAATTTTTGTAATTTTTGTAGAGATGGAGTTTAACTATGTTGCCCAGGCTGGTCTTGAATTCCTGGGCTCAAGAAGTCCTCTCACCTTGACCTCCCAAAATGCTAGGATTATGGGCATGAGCCACCATACCTGGCAATGTTATTTTCATACTATGACATTTTATCCATGAACGTGGCTCATCTGACCATTTACTTAAATTTTTTTCATGTCTTTCAATAAAGTTAATTTTTTTCTTTATAAAGGTCTTCTATGTCTTACATCATGTTTATTCCTTAATTTTGGTTGCTTTTATAACTGGCATCTTTTAAAGTTATGCATTCTAAGTGTTTATCCCTGGAGTAAAGAAATGCAGTTGATTTGTATTATCCACCCTCCTCATTAAACTTTTAAAAATTATAATAACTCCAGCACTTTATAAAGTCTTTTGTGTTTTCTAAGTAAACAATTTTATTCTCTGTAATAATATCAGTCTTGTTTCTTCCTTTCCAAAACTTACATATTTTACTTTTCTTCTCTTATTGTACTGGATGGGACCTCGAGTACGATGTTGGAAAGAAGTGTTGATATAGACATTTTTATCTGGTTTCTGATTTTAAAAGGGATACTTCTAACATTTCGCCTTGAAGAATGATGTTTGATGTAATTTTTTTGGTAAAAACTCCTTATGAGATAGGAAGTTTCTTTATGAATTGGAGGTAAATTTTAGCAAACGCTTTTTTTTCTGCATCTTTTTAAGTATATGTTTTTTTCCTTGATCTATGAATATGGTGAATTATATTAATAGCTTTTCTATTGTTAAAGCACCCTTACAAGCCTAGGATTAACCCTACTTGGTCATGATGATTATGATCAGTATTATCTGTTTTTATACACTCCTGAATTCAATTTCCAAGATTTTTTTTTTTTTTTTTTTGAGACGGAGTCTCACTCTGTCACCCAGGTGGAGTGCAGTGGCATGATCATGGCTCACTGCAACTTCTGCCTCCCAGGTTCAAGTGATTCTCCTGTCTCAGCCTTCCGGGTAGTTGGGATTACAGGCGTGCACCACCACACCCAGCTAATTTTTGTATTTTTAGTAGAGTCAGGGTTTCACCATGTTGGCCAGGCTGGTCTTGAACTCCTGACCTCAAGTGATCTGCCCTCCTCTGCTTCCCAAAGTGCTGGGATGACAGGCATGAGCCATTGTGCCCGGCCCAATTTCTAGGATTTCTGCACTAATGTGGAATGGATGAGATTAACCTCTCATTTTCTTGACCAATTTTATTTCTTGACATGCCTCTAATGGATTTGTCACTGTTGCTAAGCACAGGTTAATTATCTATAACTTAGAAGGCCCTTTTTTCCCTCTGCTGGTCACCCAGTAGCCTTTCCATTCTGGCCTTTTCCTTCTAACATCAGCACTCTGATGTCTGTGTACCAACTACAGTGGAGGCCACACACAACCCGACAGTTCAATGGTAGGCTTGAAGAGGCCAAGCCCCTGGAGGCCTGGCTGATTGTCAATCATATCCCTCTTCTCCTGCTCAAAACTTATTTTGTCTGAGAAGCTCTTCCTGATTGCCAGCCTATGATCTACCTTGAGGGCAGAAGCCACATCTTTTTGTCCCTCTATCCCTAGGGCTTAGCACAATGTTTGCATGGGGCAGCCACTCAAACATCTGTGGAGCTGAGTTTACCCAACCCAATTCTGAGCTCTTCTTGGCTTAGTTGACACTGATTAAATTTTTTTTTTTTTCAAAATGTTCTTAAGCCTTTTTTTTTACATGCATGTCATGCATATGCAAAAGATAGACAGTGGTGGTTTTGCAGATAAGAATCGTGTGTATTGAGGAATTTCTTTTCATCTTTCCAATGCCAAGTCCTGCCTCATACAAGCCTAAGTTCCTTCAAAGTCTTGTCCCATCGGTGTTTTTATTCACACTCTTCCTCACACATTGAAAATTCTAGCTGGACCTGACTCTAATGTTTCCTGTGCCAGCCCTGCTCCTTCCTGCTTTTACCTTCGGGCCATACCTTTGCTCACGTTGTGACCTTTTCTGTCTTCAACCCCTCTTCTTCTCATGAACTCCTCTCTCTTTTATGTTTTACTGAAATAAAATCCTTGGTGAGATTGTCCTCTCTTCCTCTCTTTTCCTCCTTCACCCCCTTGGAATCAGTCTTTCATCCTCTGTGCTATACAGATATTACACACATGCCTTTAAAAAAAATTCTTAAAAACTGTGAACTAGTTCAGTGTATATTTCCTAAAATCAGAAAATTGTCTTAACAGAAGTATGCTACAGGCTGGGTGTGGTGGCTCATGCCTGTAATCCCAGCACTTTGGGAGGCCGAGGCAAATAGATCACTTGAGGTCAGGAGTTCGAGACTAGCCTGGCCAACATGGTGAAACCCCGTCTCTATGAAAAATACAAAAGTTAGCCGCTGTGGTGGTGGGCACCAATAATCCCAGCTACTTGGGAGGCTGAGGCAGGAGAATCGCTTGAACCCGGGAGGCAGAGGTTGTGATGAGCCAAGATCACACCACTGCACTCTAGCCTGGGCAACAGAGCGAGATTCCATCTCAAAAAACAACAACAAAAAAGAAGTACACTATAGTTGTCAAAATCAGGAAATTAACATGGACACAAGTACCATTATCTAATCCACAGCTCATTCTCAAAATCATCCGTGATCCCTCTCATTACCATTATTGTAACAACCACATTGCTTTATAGATATGTATTCACATTTTTCTGTGCCTTTGTGTGCACATAATAACCCTAGGAGTCTGGGATTATATCTTTTATCCTTGTGTCTTCCATGTGTGTGTGCATGTGTGTGTGTGGGTGATTAATCAATGAAATCATGTGGCTTGTTTTGAGTTCCTTAGTCCTTCCTGTACGGCCTTTCCCTTCCTGCCCTGGGGTGCGCTCCCTCATTCTGTGGACCGGTGCCGTCTGTCTTTCTCCCTCTCTCTGAACCCTGACACTCACTTCATTTCTGAGCCTTCAGACTAAGTAAGATGACTTAGTTTGAATGGTGGCTTGCAATCTTTCTCCTCCCGAGTAGATACTGAAGGGTAGGCCCAAATGAACACTGCAGTCCTGCTGTCCTCAAGGGCCTCTGTTTCTAGTGTGCTGTGGCCTTCTCCAAAAGTCAGCACTGTGACTTGCTCACACTCTGTGCTTGATGTCTACTGGTCCAGTGAATGAATGCAAGTGTGAGAAGGTGGCCCCGAGATGATGAGCCCAGGGTTCAAGCACTCTTCAGTCAGGCCACTTGGCCACATCGTCAATGGCTGGACATAATGTTCCAAACCGGCAGTATTATATTACTTCCCTTTAGCTCATTTAAAGCCAACAGGCAGTTCTGAGAAGCATGTCAGACTAGAAACTTGGACTGCCTGTTTTATGAGGGGAAAAACTATCACTAAGAGACCAAAGAGAGAAATTGAAAAAGGGCTGAAACACACCTCATGGGGGTCACTATTTTAAAATGCTTGACTTTTTAGCTAGCGTCACTTATCCCTTAAATGCTTGGAGCTCCGAGGGGAGAAAATTTTGCAGAATTTGCAGACAGGTTCCCTGCCCTCAATAAGCTTATAATTTATGCCATGTGCTTGATTTAGCTCTTCGCTTTCACTTTGTCTCCCATTCTTTATCGAGCCTTTCTATTTCCCACATTCTTGTTTATTTCATTGCATGATGATGAACCTTTGTGGAGCGCCAATAATGTGCATGACAATGTGAGAAACTTGGAATTAGGTCCCGGTGGGCTTATAATACAAGATTGACTCTAATACCAGCTTGTGTTTTTCCACCTATCTGCTGCTTTTTGTTTTTTTCTGTGGGGTTCAGTGCCTTCACAGGAAGTAGCTACCATTCACCTGCTCCATTCAAATCCCCTTCTAAGCACTATGATCTTCCTAAACCTACATTTGAAACTTTGGCCTCTTGTCTTCCCTTTGTGAGGTGTTTCAGGACAAGAATCCATTCTTCACAGATTGGACAAAGTGTTTTGATCCCAGTGGAAAGCCGACAGAAACCCTGGTCTTCTATCCTCTCCTGGGCAACAGAGCCCAGAGGGTATCTTCAGGGGTTCCCAAAAAGGCACTGTGGGAGCACAGGCAGAAGATGATTCCAGTGGCTGAAGAGGCCAAAACTCTGGCCCCCATCTTGCCTGCAGTGAAGGGCGGCCGTGCTCATCCCAGCAGTTAATCCTCTGATCGCTGGTTATGGATAAATAAACTTGGGCCACCTGATCCCTCGCAGCGCTCCTGGGGAGAAGCAGTGAGGGGTTGCTCTGTCCCCAGGATGGTTCTGTCATGGGACTGGTTTCTTGGGGATGATTAGCACTCCTCTGCTACAGCCCCAAATTAAACCCAGCCGGGCTTATGTTATGACACCCTGCAATATTTGTTGACACTGTTTTCCTGCTCAAATTGCCATCCTGTCTTCGTGAGGTGAAGGGGAGGAGGGAGAGTGAGGTGAGGAAGCAGTAAGAGGAACTCAGGTCACCTCTCATCCTCCCACGGGGACCAGAGCCAGCCTCCTCCCCACTGCGCCTTTTCTGATGTTTTGTCCAATCTCATTGGTGTGTCAAGCCTCCCAGGGTTCCAGCCCCTTCCTCTAGGGAGGTGATTTTTGCAGTGAATCTGCTTGTCCTGACTCCCCGCTTTTAGCACTCTCTTAATTCCAGCCATTGTTTTACTTCTAAATGCACATTAAATAGCCCATCTTTCTCTTTGATTCTTTTCACCTTGCTGGTGTTTGTAGATGGAATGATCATCCTTGATTTATGAGTTAGCCAAACTGTGCGTAATTATTTCTTCATCTTCACTCATGGATCCTTCCATCCCTTAATCACTCTTGTTTTTCCGTCTGCTGCCACTTTCTGTACATTTGTGTGGTAACGAGGCAGCTAGTGCCGTGTCCAGTTCCTGTTCCAGGGACTCAGTGTCTGATGAGGGCAGTTAATGTGCCCAGGACCTGCCCCTCCACATCATGAATCAGCTTGTCCCTGAGTTTTTCAGCACTTAACACCTTCATCATTTCAGCCATTGTGTCTATTGAAAGTGCGTGGACCACAAAATACCGCGGTTCATTCCTCTGTCTCTCTCTCTGTCTGTCTGTCTCTCCCTTTCTCTCTGTCTCCCTGTCTCTAGTGTTTGTGGTGGAAGGATTGTTCTTGATCTATGAATGTATTTATTCCTGGTGACTTCTGAATAAAGCACTGCACACACTTCAATGTAGATGTTTTCCTGGATCTCCCGTTGTGTGGGGTAATTTAGGAAGAGGCATTGTGGGGGTGGAGGAGGGGTAATGTGTCTAGTTTCAGGCAGCCTGGGTTCAAATCCCAGCCTCTTCACTGCCCTTTGCTAGCTGAGTGACCTTGGACAAGTCTCTTAACCTCCAGAAACCTCACTTTCCATATCCATCAAATAAAAATCTGCTTGCTGGAATGGAAAGTTGCTATAAGGATGACATGAAACAGCTTGCATGAGCGCGGCATAGCGACAGGCACACGGCAGGGCTCAATGCGTATGGGTTTCCTTCAGTTCATGTACTCGGCTGCTTTGTTGGGTGGTTCTCAGACTTTTGGAATTTGTAGACTACGAAAATCTCAAAATACATTTCGAGGAGTCCAAGTTTGCCAACTTTTTATTTTGCCAAGTAAGAACAGTAAAAAAAAAAAAACAATAATAACACAACTAATGTCAGTCTATTTTCACTACATTTCCCACAAAAGAAACAAAAAATAAAGAGGACATAATTTGAGTTAAAAATGAAATGCATTTATTTAGCTTTACAGAAAACTATATTGTTCTGACTTGGCTTATCTCACCAGGAATGGATGGAAACTTGGTTCACAGATCAGCATTTGGGGATCGTTGCTCTCACTGACAACTCAAACAGGCTTTCCAGATGAGCGTGCCCTCGCTCTAGACGCCTGGCCCTGAGGTGGGAGGGGTAGGTAGGAGCATGAGGGGGCGGCACATTTTTCGGTGTTAAGTTTAAAGTTTAAAGATCTGCCAGGTGTGATTGCTGGGTCCGGGGGTCTTGGGACTGCTAGAAATAAGAGTAGATGTGAGAAGTTGATGTGTACAACGTAGAGTAAGTGTAGAGAGCAGCAGCAGAGTATTTCATGTCCGAGTGTCAGGTAAACAAAAAGTTCTATGCATTTTAGTTTTTAAAAGGATGCAAGTGAACAATCAAAACTTGCCACACATCACAGGAATTCGAGACCAGCCTGGGCAACCAAGTGAGACGCGGTCTCTACAAAAAATTAGCCCAGTAGGGTGGCTCATGCCTGTAGATCCAGCTACATGAGAAGCTGCAGTGGGAGCCTGGGTTGAGCCCAGGAGATGGAGGCTGCAGTGAGCCATGATGACATCACTGTACCCCAGCATGGGCAACCGAGTGAGATCCTGTCTCCAGAAAACCCCCAAACAAACCCCAGAACCAAAAACCAAAGCAAAACTTGCCACATCTGTAGCTGAAATGTGTTTAGGCTCATGATGGTTTGTTTCACTCTGACCGTGTTTTGAATTCCTTGTGACTTTTCAGACACACACACACACAGGTATACTTTGGGGCTGCAATATTCCAGATCTGGTCTAAGTGTAGAGGTGAATTGTTTTTTGAGAAGTTTGAGCCAACTCTGCTCAGTTGGTTTCACTTAGGGAAGGGCAGAAAAATCCTTGTTCCTTCCTAGGAGAAAATAAATTTACATACATATGTATTTATAGGTCTATACATGTACTTTTTTTTTTTTTTTGAGACAGGGTCTTGCTCTGTTGCCTAGGCTGAAGTGCAGTGGTGCAATCACAGCTCACTGCAACCTCCATCTCCCAGGTTCAAGCAATTCTCCTGCCTCAGCCTCTCGAGTAGCTGGGATGACATGGGCCCACCACCACGCTGGGCTAATTTTTGTATTTCTAGCAGAGACGGCGTTTCATCATGTTGTCCAGGCTGGTCTTGAACTCCTGACCTCAAGTGATCTGCCCCTCTCGTCCTCGTCCTTATTTTTGTTTATTTATGTATCTTTAGAGAGAGGGGCTCACTCTGTCACCCAGGCTGGAGTGCAGTGGTGCAGTCATAGCTCACTGTAGCCTCAACCTCCTGGGCTCAAGCAATCCTCCCACCTCAGCCTCCCAAATAGCTGGGACTACAGGTGTGAGCTACTGCACCCAGCCCACATATATATTTTATATATGTGTATATATATATATATTATATATATATTTTATATATGTATTATATATTTTTTATATAATATATATTATATATATTAAATATATATATTATATATATATTATATATATTAAATATATATATAATATATATTATATATATATTATATATATTAAATATATATATTATATATATTATATATATTAAATATATATATTATATATATTAAATATATATATTATATATATATTTTATATATATATATATAGGCTGGTACAATCTTGGCTCACTGCAACCTCTGCCTCCTGGGTTCAAGCAATTCTCAAGCCTCAGCCTCTCGAGAAGCTGGGAACACCACACCCAGCTAATTTTTGTATTTTTAGTAGAGATGGGGTTTCACCATGTTGCCCAAGCTGGTCTCAAACTCCTGGCCTCAAGTGATCTGCCTGTCTCAGCCTCCCAAAGTGCGGGGATTATAGGCCTGAGCCACCACACCCAGCCTAAATAAGTTTATTATACACACACATATACACATTTGGGATCCTTTAATGTTGAGGTCTTTTAACATCTGGTTCACTCATACTTGGGTAGGGAACCTCGGCCAGGTAGAAGATCTTAGCAGCAACTATTGAGCTGCAGGGACTGAAGTCTAGAAGCAGGCGTGGAGCAAGCCTCTCCCTCTCTGTGTCCACGTGGGAGCACACTGCTCCTGTGCTGGAGCTGCTTCTGAGTCCCAAGTACTGCTGACTTTGCAGAAGAAAAATCACAGCACTTACTGTGTGCGTGCCGAGTGCTCTGAGAAAAGCCTCACATATATCATCTTGTTTAACCTTTATACAACCCTCTGAGCTAAGCATCATTAGAACGCCCATTTTTACAGATGAGAAAACCGAGGCTTAAGAGCCTTAGGCCAAGTTGTCCAAAACGGCATAGAGCTGATGAGCTGATGAGCTTCTGGCTCATGTTTCAGCTACTAGGATGTCTAGCTAAATCTTAGGCCTGACATGAGTGGGAAGTAGACTTCAACTAACCCTTCCGACACAGCACTTGGAAAAGGAGACGCCCCTCTCCCCATTTACTTTTATTTACTTTTTTAACTCTCTGGAGCACCCCTAAAACATGGCGTTTCTCCCTCTTCTTTAAATAGACAACCTAGGAAACTTTCTGGAGAAAAATTTAGCAATATTTATCAAAAGCCTTAAAATATTTATGCTTTTTGACCCAGAAATTGCACTGCTAGGAATTTATCCCATAACTCATATGTTTCAGGTCTCCCCAACCCATGGGTACAAAGGGCTCAAGTGTTACCTCCGCAGAGGAGCCCTGACCACCCCAGCTACAGTGCTTCTCCCCTCCCTGTTTTTGTCTTTCTTCAAAGTACTTGCCTCCAGGTGGAATGATAGGCTGTAACTGTCATAGAAGGTGAGTCCCCTGATAGCAGGGATTTTTCTGTTTTGCCCCTGCTTTATGTCCAGTGACTAAAATAGCATCCGGCACATTGTAAGCCGGCAACAAAGATTCATCAAAGAACGAATGAGCTTATGTTACATAAATACCTCAACTCCCAAGACTCTGAACCCTCATCGGCTTGGCTGGCAGCAGGTCTAGTCTTTTACAAATTTCCCGCGCTCTCACACTGCCAAGGTTCCTCTAGAAGTTTCCGTAAGTTTGTCCCTGCCATTGCTCTGCACTGCTGCCAGCAGGTGGAGGGAGACATTCAGTCATGTCCCCTGAGACCAGATTCCACATCCCCTGGTCTCCCTGGCAGCCTCCAAGGAGCCATTCCTGCCATGCCACCTGCACCTGCTGGCATCTGCAGCCACAAGTGCTGCTGCCTCTTTGAGCTATCATGTTGTTGCTGGTCATGCCAGGAGCTTAGCTCACCCCTTGCAGAGGCAGTTTCAGTCCACAAGTTGCCTTGGTTTCAACCTCTGCCCGTTTGTACAGGCAGTGAGGACCACCCCCTCCCAACTTTTGTAAAGTTCTGCCAGGGAGAGTTCTGTAACAAAGTTGCCTGGATCTCAACATGCTACAGCCTTTTCCATGCACCCCAACAAGTAGAGATGTCCACAAGGCACCTCCAGACTCAGGGCTGCTGGGTAGAGGGGGGTACACCAGGTGTGTCTGGAATCTGCCTTATCTCCCAGCCTCAAGCCCTGCACCTGGGTCTGATTCACCCTGAGGGAGCTTGTCTCTTCTTTAGCAGTGAGTTGAGGAGTGGGGAGTGGCACATATCAGAATCAGACTCTCTGGGTGGGGAAGGGTGGGGAAGAGAGACAGAAGAACCCCACCCCCACTTCCTTGAAAACACCTGCCAAGGGTGAGTGCATTCCTCCCGGCTTACTCCTCTGTCCTGAGGGTTCTTCTTTTGCAATCTGGACTCGGTTTTGTTGTTGTTGCTGCTTTCTTTTAATCAGCTTTATTGAGCTGTAATTTACACACAATAAAATTCACCCATTTTAACTGTACAGTTCAAAGAGTTTTAACAAATGTATAAATCCATTTAACCACTACTACTTCAAGATACAGAACATTCCCATCTTCCCCAAAAGTTCCCTTAAGCCCCTTTGTGCTCAGTCTCCCCGACCAACCTCACCCCATCCCAGGCATTGATATGTTTTCTGTCTCAATAGATTAGTTTTACCAGTTCTAGAATTTTCGATAAATGACATCATATTGAATGTTCTCTTTCATGTCTGGCTGTTTTTCACTTAGCATATTTTTTGAGATTCTTCTATGTTGTTGCACGTATTGATAGTTCATTCCTTTTCATTGCTGAGTAGTACTCTATTGCCTGGATATACTGAAATTTGTTCACCCATTCTCCTGTTGATGGACACTTGAGTGGTTCCAGTTTTGGGGCTGTCATAAATAAAGCTGCTATGAATATTCGTGTACTCATGTTTTGGTGGACATGTTTTTTTTTTTTTTTGCTTTGAATAAATATCTGAGGCTTGAATTGCCAATTATATGGAAAGTGTACATATTTAACTTTATAGTAACCGACAAACTGTTTTCCAAAGTGGCTTTACCATTTTGCATTCCTGCCAGCAATGTATGAGCATTTGTTTGCTCTACATCCTCACCAGTATTTGGTATGGTCAGCTAAAACCTGTTTTTATATACAGACCTTCAAAGTCTCATCTTAGATGCAAATAGATTGATAAAGAGGGCGATATCACCCCATTTCACTCACCCCATGAATCCCAGTCTTTTTCTTTTTTAAAAAATTTGGAACAGAGTCTTGCTCTGTTACCCAGGCTGGAGTGCAGTGGTGCGATCTTGGCTCACTGCAATCTCCACCTCCCAGGTTCAAGTGATTCTTGTGCCTCAACCTCCGGAGTAGCTAGGACTGCAGGCATGTGCCACCTCAGCTAATTTTTGAATTTTTAGTAGAGACGGGGTTTCATCATGTTGGCCAGGCTGATCTCGAACTCCTGACCTCAAGTGATCCTCCCGCCTCGGTTTCCCAAAGTGCTGGGATTACAGACGTGAGCCACCATGCCCGGCCCACGAATCCCAGTCTTAAATGCAAATGGACCTGCTAGACAGGGGGAGGTTTGGTCTAAATCCTATCATCAGCCTTGTCTAAGTTCCAGTTTCTGCCCATTTATAGCTCAAATGAAATCATCAGATAGATACATCCATTTATATGTTCTCAAGGATGTTCCTTGAAGCCTTGTCTAGAAACAGTGAAAAAAAACCTAGAAATGATTCAAGTGTCAAAAACTAATAGACTGGTGATTCTAGGACTAGGGTAGGTAATATACAAGATAAACCTGTAGCATCTTGTAGTGCCAGAAGGTAAGGAAGGCACAAACGAACATCCAATTCACAGTAATAGGAGTATGTCAAAGGAATGCAGGAACCAAATTGAAGAGCTCCCAGTGGCTAAAACTAAACCAGTTTGAATAAACAAATAAAGTAGTATTAGTAGATAGTATTGTTATTAATGACTGAACAGATAAATAATTTGGGGAGAAGAGACAAATCTCCCATGCTGTAGAAGTTAAAATAATGTTTGTAGTTACCCTGTCCTCAAGAAGGGAAGCAAAATTCCCCACCCTTTACGTGTGGGCCACACATAGTGACTTTTCTTCCAAAGCAGTCAGTGTGGAAAGGAAATAAGAATAGTCACTTAGAAGAATCGCTTGAACCCTGGAGGCGGAGGTTACAGTGAGCCGAGATCGCGCCACTGCACTCCAGCCTGGGTGACAAGAGTGAGACTCGGTCTCAAAAAAAAAAGAAGAGTCACTTTACAGTGGAGAAATGTGCAAACACTACCCTAGCCAGGTGATCAAGGTTAACATCAATCGTGATAAGTCATGTTGATACTGTGGGCCCTTTGATATGATGTAATGAAAATGGCAGTTCACCTCTGTAGGTCTTCCTCCTAAAACATACATCTCCAATCTAATCATGAGAAAAACATCAGACAAAGATGAGAAACATTCTACAAAATACATAATGAGTGCTCCTCAAAACTGTCAAGGTTATCAAAAACAAGGAAAGTCTGAGAAACTGTCCCAGCCAAGGGGGGCATAAGGAGACATGAAAACTAAATGTAAAATGTTCCTGGAAGGGATCTTGGAACAGAAAAAGGACAGCAGGTTAAAACTTAGGAAATTTGACAACAACCCTTCATGCTAAAAACTCTCAATAAATTAGGTATTGATGGGACATATCTCAAAATAATAAGAGCTATCTATGACAATCCCACAGCCAATATCATACTGAATGGGCAAAAACTGGAAGCATTTCCTTTGAAAACTGGCACAAGACAGGGATGCCCTCTCTCACCACTCCTATTCAACACAGTGTTGGAAGTTCTGGCCAGGGTAATTAGGCAGGAGAAGGAAATAAAGGGTATTCAATTAGGAAAAGAGGAAGTCAAATTGTCCCTGTTTGCAGACGACATGATTGTATATCTAGAAAACCCCATTGTCTCAGCCCAAAATCTCCTTAAGCTGATAAGCAACTTCAGCAAAGTCTCAGGATACAAAATCAACGTACAAAAATCACAAGCATTCTTATACACCAACAACAGACAGAGAGCCAAATCATGAGTGAACTCCCATTCACAATTGCTTCAAAGAGAATAAAATACCTAGGAATCCAACTTACAAGGGATGTGAAGGACCTCTTCAAGGAGAACTACAAACCACTGCTCAACGAAATAAAAGAGGATACAAACAAATGGAAGAACATTCCATGCTCATGGGTAGGAAGAATCAATATCGTGAAAATGGCCATACTGCCCAAGGTAATTTACAGATTCAATGCCATCCCCATCAAGCTACCAATGACTTTCTTCACAGAATTGGAAAAAACTACTTTAAAGTTCATATGGAACCAAAAAAGAGCCTGCATTGCCAAGTCAGTCCTGAGCCAAAAGAACAAAGCTGGAGGCATCACACTACCTGACTTCAAACTATACTACAAGGCTACGGTAACCAAAACAGCATGGTACTGGTACCAAAACAGAGATATAGATCAATGGAACAGAACAGAGCCCTCAGAAATAACACCGCATATCTACAACTATCTGATCTTTGACAAACCTGAGAAAAACAAGCAATGGGGAAAGGATTCCCTATTTAATAAATGGTGCTGGGAAAACTGGCTAGCCATATGTAGAAAGCTGAAACTGGATCCCTTCCTTACACCTTATACAAAAATTAATTCAAGATGGATTAAAGACTTAAACGTTAGACCTAAAACCATAAAAATCCTAGAAGAAAACCTAGGCATTACCATTCAGGACATAGGCATGGGCAAGGACTTCATGTCTAAAACACCAAAAGCAATTGGCAACAAAAGCCAAAATTGACAAATGGGAACTAATTAAACTAAAGAGCTTCTGCACAGCGAAAGAAACCACCATCAGAGTGAACAGGCAGCCTACAAAATGGGAGAAAATTTTCGCAAACTACTCATCTGACAAAGGGCTAATATCCAGAATCTACAATGAACTCAAACAAATTTATAAGAAAAAAACAAACAACCCCATCAAAAAGTGGGCAAAGGACATGAACAGACACTTCTGAAAAGAAGACATTTATGCAGCCAAAAAACACATGAAAAAATGCTCACCATCACTGGCCATCAGAGAAATGCAAATCAAAACCACAATGAGATACCATCTCACACCAGTTAGAATGGCGATCATTAAAAAGTCAGGAAACAACAGGTGCTGGAGAGGATGTGGAGAAATAGGAACACTTTTACATTGTTGGTGGGACTGTAAACTAGTTCAACCATTGTGGAAGTCAGTGTGGCGATTCCTCAGGGATCTAGAACTAGAAATACCATTCGACCCAGCCATCCCATTACTGGGTATATACCCAAAGGACTATAAATCATGCTGCTATAAAGACACATGCACACGTATGTTTATTGCAGCATTATTCACAATAGCAAAGACTTGGAACCAACCCAAATGTCCAACAATGATAGACTGGATTAAGAAAATGTGGCACATATACACCACGGAATACTATGCAGCCATAAAAAATGATGAGTTCATGTCCTTTGTAGGGACATGGATGAAATTGGAAATCATCATTCTCAGTAAACTATCACAAGAACAAAAACTCAAACACTGCATATTCTCACTCATAGGTGGGAATTGAACAATGAGAACACATGGACACAGGAAGGGGAACATCACACTCTGGGGACTGTTGTGGGGTGGGGGGAGCGGGGAGGGATAGCACTGGGAGATATACCTAATGCTAGATGTCGAGTTAGTGGGTGCAGTGCACCAGCATGGCACATGTATACATATGTAACTAACCTGCACATTGTGCACATGTACCCTAAAACTTAAAGTATAATAATAAAAAAAAACTTAGGAAATTTGAATAATTATGGGCTTTAGTTAATAACAATGTATCAATATAGGTTCATTGATTATAATAAATGTACCATGCTAATGTAGGATGTTAATAATAGAGGAAACTGGGTATGAGGTCTATAGGAACTCTCTGTAGTATATTCATATTTTTCTGTAAATCTAAAACTTAATAAATAAAAAGTTTATTTAACCCCCTCTCCCAATAGTGGACTTCCTAAATAAATTACAGAAGCTTCATTAAATGGAGTATACTACAGCCTTTAAAGTGGATGCAATAGATATTTATATGTGCATCAGAAAATATTATTGGCTGGCCTTGGTGGCCCACACCTGTAATCCCAGCACTTTGGGAGGCTGAGGTGGGTGGATCACTTGAGGTCAGGAGTTCGAGACCAGCCTGGCCAACGTGGTGAAACCCTGTCTCTACTAAAAATATAATAATGAGCTGGGCATGGTGGCGGGCACCTGTAATCCCAGCTACTCGGGAGGCTGAAACAGGAGAATCGTTCCAATGCAGGAGGCAGAGGTTGCAGTGAGCTGAGATCGCACTATTGCACTCCAGCCTAGGTGACAAGAGTTAAACTCAGTCTCAAAAAAAAAAAAAAATTCTTAAAACATTGTTAAAGTGAAAAAAGTCAGTAACAGAATAATACATATGCCACAATCTGATTTTTAAAATACATGTTCATATGGGAAAAGTATAGAAGGCCAAATCAACATGCTAAGATAAATTGTCTATAGGTGAGATAATTTCCAACTGTTTAATTTATTTTTCTTTTTACTTACCTCTATTCTCTTTTTTCTCTCTCTCTCTCTCTCTTTTTTTTTTTTTAGACAGGGCTCATTCTATTGCCCAGGCTGGATGGAGTGCAGTGGTGTGATCACAGCTCACTGCAGTCTTAACCTCCCGGGCTCAAGTGATCCTCCCACCTCAGCCTCCTGAGTAGCTGGGACTACAGGCATGTGCCAACATACCCAGCTATTTTCGTATCTTTTTTTAGAGATGGGGTCTCGTCATGTTGCCCAGACTGGTCTCAAACTCTGGGGCTCAAGCAATCAGTCCGCCTGCCTTGGCCTCCAAAAGTGCTGGGATTATAGGCATGAGCCACCGTGCCCAGCCTATTTTATCATTTTTAAATGATGGTTCACCTCTATGACAAAGCCTCAGCCAACATCATACTGAATAGGCAAAAGCTGAAAGCATTCCCTTTGAGAACTAGAACTAGGCAAGGATGCCCACTCATACCACTCTTATTCAATATAGTACTGGAAGTCCTAGCCAGACCAATCAGGCAAGAGAAAGACATAAAGAGCATCCAAATTGGAAAAGAAAAAGTCAAACTATCTCTCTTCACTGATGATATGATTCTCTACCTAGAGAACCCTAAAGACTCTGCCAAAAGGCTCCTGGAACTGATAAATGACTTCAGTAAAGTTTCAGGATACAAATCAATGTACAAAAATCAGTAGCATTTCTATACACCAGTAATGTTCAAGCTGAGAGCCAAAACAAGAATACAATCCCATTTTCAACAGCCACACACACACACACACACACACACACACGCAAACCTACGAATACATCTAACAAAGGAGGTGAAAGAGCTCTACAAGGAGAACTACAAAATACTGCTGAAAGAAATAATAGATGACACAAACAAATGGACAAACATTCATGCTCATAGATTGAAAGAATCAATATTGTTAAAATGGCCAGACTGCCCAAAGCAATCTACAGATTCAGCACTATTCCTACCAAACTACCAATGTCATTTTTCACAGAATTAGAACAAACTATTCTAAAATTCATATGGAACCAAAAAAGAGCCTGAATAGCCAAAGCAATTATAAGCAAGAAGAACAAAGCCAAAGGTATCACATTTCCTGGCTTCAAACTATACTACAGGGCTACAGTAACCAAAACAGCATGGTACTGGTACAAAAACAGACACATAGACCAATGGAACAGAATAGAAAACCCAGAAATAAGGCTGCACACCTACAGTCATCTGATCTTTGACAAAGTCGACAAAAATAAGCAATGAGGAAAGGACTCCCTATTCAATAAATGGTGCTGGAATAGCTGGTTAGCCATATGCAGAAGAATGAAACTGGACCCCTACCTTTCATCACATACACAAATTAACTCAAGATGGATTAAAGATTTAAATATAAGTCCTCAATCTATAAGAATACTAGAAGAAATCCTAGGAAACACCACTGAGGACATTGGACTTGGGAAAGAATTTCTAAGTCTTCAAAAACAATTGCAACAAAACCAAAAATTGATAATTGGGGCCTAATTAAACCAAAGATCTTCTGCATGGCAAAAGAAACTATCAACAGAGTGAAAAGACAACCTACAGAATGGGAGAAAATATTCACAAACTATGCATCTGGCAAAGGTCTAATATTCAGAATCTGTAAGGAACTTAGAACAGTTCACAAGCAAAAGCCAAATAAACCCATTAAAAAAGTGGACGAAGTACATAAACAGACCCTTCTCAAAAGAAGACATACAAGTGGCCAAGAAACATGAAAAAAATGCCCAGCATCGCTAATCATCAGAGAAATGCAAATCAAAACCACGGTGAGATACCATCTCACACCAGTCAGAATCACTATTATTAAAAAGTCAAGGCCGGGTGCGGTGGCTCACGCCTGTAATCCCAGCACTTTGGGAGGCTGAGGCGGGTGGATCACGAGGTCAGGAGATCGAGACCATCCTGGCTAACATGGCTAAACCCCGTCTCTACTAAAAATACAAAAAATTAGCCAGGCGTGGTGGCAGGCGCCTGTAGTCCCAGCTACTCAGGAGGCTGAGGCAGGAGAATGGCGTGAACCCGGGAGGCACAGCTTGCAGTGAGCCGAGATCGTGCCACTGTACTCCAGCCTGGGCAACAGAGCTAGACTCCATCTCAAAAAAAAAAAAAAAAAAAGTCAAAAAACAACAGAAGCTGGTGAGGCTGTGGAGTAAAGGGAGTGCTTATACATGGTTGGTGGGAATGTAAATTAGTGCAGCCCCTGTGGAAAGCAGTTTGGAGATTTCTCAAAGCACTTAAAACAGAACTACCAGTCAATCTAGCCATCCCATCACTGGGTATATATCCAAAAGAAAATAAATAATTTTAACAAAAAGATACACGCACTTGTATGTCTATAGCAGCACTATTCACAATAGCAAAAACATGGACTCAACCTACGTGCCCATCAACAGTGGACTGGATAAAGAAAATGTGGTACATATATACCATGGAATACTACACAGCCATAAAAAGAATGAAATTATGTCTTTGGCAACAACATGGATGCAGCTACAGGCCATTATCCTAAATGAATTAATGGAGGAACAGAAAACCAAATACTGCACATTCTCACTTATAAGTGGGAGCTAAACATTGGGTACTCATGGACATAAAGATGGCAATGATTGACACTGGGGACTCCTATGGAGGGATGGAGGGGGACAAGAATTGAAAAACTGTTGGGTACTATGCTCACTACCTGGGTGATGTGATCAATCGTACCTCAAACCTCAGCATCATGCAATACACTCATATAACAAACCTGTGCATGTACCCTCTGAATCTAAAATAAAAGTTGAAATTATAAAATAAATAAATATAAACAAATAAAAAGTAAATGAAATAAATGATGGCTCAGTGTATCATGCATGATGTGTTAGGCAACATTTTCAGGTGACCGCCAATGAGCCTTGCCTAATCAATTACCTTCCCTTGAGTGTGTGGGGCATGTGCATATGAGGACTGTCACTCCTTTGATGGGCGACATTATATGACAAATGTGAGAGGATTTTTGCAGATGTAATTCAAGTCCCTTGCCTGAGATTGGAGAAGATGCCGCGGGTCTTGAAGAAGCATGCTGCCATGAGTCTACAGCTACAAAAAGATGAATTCTGCCAACAACTGCCTGAGACCATAGCCCTAGCCAATATCTGCATTGCAGGTTTGTGAAACTCACTGAGGACCCACCTAAGCCATGCCCAGACGTCTGCCCTAAGGAAACAGCAAGATAATAAATAGATGTTGTTTAAGCCACAACATTTGTGATAATGTGTCACGCAGCAGTAGAAAACTAGTACAGATAATGAAAAATAATAATAAAGGAAGGGAAAGTCAACTTAGGACAAACAGAATGAGATCATTTCATTTCCAAACACATAAAAATGCTTTTCTTATCCAGCACCGTGGGCCTGTTAGGTGGACTTCTGTCATTCAAAGTATTCATGGCTCCTGGCTCCAAAGTTTTTCAAACTACCCAGGTAAAGTTGTTTGTATTCTATGCCAATGGATTAATCAAACCAAATGCGGCTAGGCGCGGTGGCTCATGCCTGTAATTCCAGCACTTTGGGAGGCTGAGGCCGGTGAATCACCTGAGGTCATGAGTTTGTGACCAGTCTGGCCAACATGGCAAAACACCGTCTCTACTAAAAATATAAAAATTAGCCAGGTGTGGTGGCAGGCACCTGTAATCCCAGCTACTTGGGAGGCTGAGGCAGGAGAATTGCTTGAATGCAGGAGGTGGAGGTTGCAGTGAGCCGAGATCGTGCCACTGCACTCCAGCCTGGGAGACAGAATGAGACTCTGTCTCAAAAAAAAAAAAAAAAAAAAAATCAAACCAAATGCTATGAATAAAAGTACAAATACTCTTAAATTATATGTAGCTGTCATGCAGTAAACTCAAGAAAATATGAAATAACTCAGCTGTAAAGGAAGAAGACAGAGAAAGCTATTAGAAAGCCTGTTCTTTTTCCCCTCCAAAATGGAAAAATCTCTTTTTAAAAAATAATACATGATCATTATTTTAAAACTCTAACAATACAGACTGAATGAAAGAACACCGTTCTAGGAAAGTCAATTTTAAGATTAGGAAATCATTGAGAGGGTGAACTATTTTATGTATGTGAAAGAGGGAAAGGAAATGGCTTGAGATCCTGCACAGGGGCTGGGCCCTGAGTCCTAGGTGGCCCCCATAAAAGCTGCCATCACTGTGCTGCGGTCATCATTATTTAACATTTGCACAAGCCCTTTTTAATGTCCCAAACACCTTCTTGTTTGTTAAGGCCTGGAGGGAAGAGATGGAGTTTGTAAGAGGAATGAAGTGAGAAGCCGGTTGCCCCCAGAAGAAGGAGCCCACGCCAAACTCTTGCTGGGGCTGGCCAACCTCCATCTGGGCTTCCCACACCCATCCCCCAACCTCCCTGAACTGTCACCTAGGCAGGCAGTGTGGCTACCTAGGCTGGGAGGGGTGCCCTTCTAGGAGTCATCAAACTGCGCCTTTGAAACCTCAGAGTATCATTTTGACTTTAAAAGGAGCAGAAAAAGAAGGGCTCTCTGAAGTGTGATTGAAGAATTAAGGATAAAGCTCTCGATCCAAAAATATTTCAATGACTACCTTTCACTGTGCTCTAATTCCACCATTAAAGAGTCATCTGGGGGGGATTTTGAAGGCTTTTCTGTTTTTAAAAATCCCTTAATAAATGTAAACATCCCTAGGAGATGTAATAGGGAGTTTGACACCTCAGAAAGGATTAGATACAACCCGTTGATAGTAAGAGGATGGCTGAAGGGTGGAAAGAAAGCGAGATAAAGGGCCAATTTCCGGGGAGAGGTGGTGGAGGGACAGCCTTTGCCTCTCTCACTGCCTTGTGTAAATAGGAGGCATGTGCGTGGCCAGGCGCCCCTCCTGCCTCCACTTCAGACATCGACCAGGGATTGTGATGCGCTTGCCCACCGGCCTCGAGCATCCTTCTTCACACAGCTCCCCAGGGTGCCACTAGCGGTCAGCTGGGGCAGGCTGTGGGGATGAAGCTGCCCTGTCTTGCAGACCAGGTCCTGGGCAACGCTTGGCTACCTGGAATGGGCACTTGAAGCAGTCATTTCAAGATGCAGGGCAATAATTCAGATTTTGTGGTGCAAGATCCAGTGTTATGATAATGTTAGCAACCACCTAAGTATGGTTTATAACACAACATCATCTCATTTAATTCTCACACCTGCCACCCCCCACCCATGAATACATCACCAATCCCTGGGCTATGTCTGAAGTGGAGGCAGGAGGGGTCCCTCCACCACCTCTCCCAGGAAATTGGCCCTTTATCTCGCTTTCTTTCCACCCTTCAGCCACCCTCTTACTATCAATACTTTCATGAAACAGACAAATGAGAAAAGACTCAGCTAGCTCATGGTGGTACCAGGATCTCCATCGGAGTCTTTTAACACCAAACTCGTATTCTTTCCTGACCAGCCCCACTCCCCTCCCCGCCAGATCCTGACCCAGGCACAGTGTTGCAGATCTAATGCAGGTAATAGTGGAAGAATAGCACATATGTAAATAGGTAAACCTTCCTAGTATGGTTCCCACCCCATCACCCATCACTGAGACACCCTGGCTAACTAACCTCACTGCCAGTAATTCCTATGTTCCAGAATCCCACGGACACCAAAAAACAAAAACTTAAAAAATTCATAGATAACTTTTTGTTTTAAAAATGTAAATCATTCCAAAGTACACGGAGTAAAGGTAAGTCTTCCTTCACCCATCCTTAGCACTCCAAACCACTTTCTAGGTTAATCATTGTTAACAGTTTGCTAGGCATCCTTCCAGACAGTTTTCTATGCATTTATATGCATATAAATGTAAATATTTGGGCCAGGCACGGCGGCTCACACCTGTAATCCCAGCACTTTGGGAGCCTGAGGTGGTTGCATAACCTGAGGTCAGGAGTTCGAGACCAGCCTGGCCAACATAGTGAAACCTCATCTCTACTAAAAATAGAAAAATTAGCTGGGCGTGGTGGTGCCTGCCTGTAGTCCCCCCTACTTGGGAGGCTGAGGCAGGGGAATTGCTTGAACCTGGGAGGCAGAGGTTGCAGTGAACTGAGATTGCTTCACTGCACTCCAGCCTGAGTGACAGAGTGAGACTCTGTCTAAAAATATGTATATATATATTTATATTTATTTATATCTATATTTATTATATATAAAATATTAATTATATATTTATTTAATATATAATATTTAATAATATGCAGGTTTTACAATGTATATCAACAGGACTTTCCTACACACATTGGTCTGCCACTTTTTCACTTCACGCTGTCTTGGGGACCTTTACATTTAAGTGTATATAAATTTGCATCATTCTATTAAACTACTTCCCCAGTCTTCAGTTATATGTACATAGCCTTCTTTCTATCAAAGGACATTTATGTTATTAGCAGTGTTTCAGTTTTACAAACAATGCTGCAGTGAACAGTATTGTAATTGCAATCTCTTGCGCATGAGCCAATATTTCTCTAGGATAAATAAACTAGAAGAGAAATTGCTGGGTTAAAGTGTATATGTATCAGTTCTAGTAGCTGGGAAATTAAAAAAGAGAAAAAAAGAGTATACATAGTTTACGTTTTGATAGATGCTGCCAAGACCACCCCCAAAGCTGGTACCATTACATTTCTACCAACAGGATCTAAGAGTACCTCTTCCCCCATCTTTGCCCACACTGGATATTATTCATCTTGAAAATCTTTACTATTGAATAGGTGAACACTGATATCTTATTGTTTTAATTTGCATGTCACTGATTATTAGTGAGATGGAACAATAGGCATTGTTTAAGTTTCTCATCTCTCTTAACCTCTCAGCAATTCTACTGACACCCTCCCTAAAATGCCCACCTTTTCTTGGCTTTTGTGAGCCCCACACCACTCTTGGCTTTGTTTCTATCTATACCTCTGGCCTCTCTCAAGCAGTCTCCAGTCTTGACTCCTCCTTTCCTGGCTTTAAATATTGATGCTGCTCAGGGCTTGGTCTTAGCTACTTCCTCCCTCTCCACAAAACACCCAGGTCTCTCCATCTACATTCTCTCCTCTGACAACCTCATTCAGACCCATTGAGACTTTTATTTATTTTTTATTTTTGAGACGGAGTTTTGCTCTTGTTGCCCAAGCTGGAGTGCAATGGCAAGATCTCAGCTCACTGCAACCTCTGCCTCCCGGGTTCAAGCGATTCTCCTGGCTCAGTCTCCAGAGTAGCTGGGATTACAGGCATGCGCCCAGCTAATTTTATATTTTTAGTAGAGATGGGGTTTCTCCATGTTGGTCAGGCTGGTCTCGAACTTCCAACCTCAGGTGATCCTTCCACCTCGGCCTCCCAAAGTGCTGGGATTACAGGCGTGAGCCACCTTGCCTGGACCATTGAGGCTTTAAATATTGTCTGTACACCAATGACTCCCAAATTTTATCTCTATCCTTGTCTCTCCTCTTGCTGTACACCTGGCTATTCCACATCTCTACTTGGATATCTCAAGAGCATTCCAAAACTGAACTCAGGAGTTTATTCCCCCAAACTACTCCTTTTTTAGGGTTCTCAATTCAGTGATTGTCTTGCCAACCTCTGGTTGCTCAATGAGAATCTTGGGAGTCATCCTGGACTCCCTCCCCATGACTCCAGTATCCAATCCATTCCAAGTCCTATGGACTCTATGTCCTAAGTGTCTCAGGAGAGTATCCCTTTCTTTCCATCTCCACTGATCCCATCTCCCCAGAACTTCTGCAAGGGCATCCTAACTGGTTTCCCTGAATCCATGCTTGCCCTTAGCCAGCATGTTCTCTACAATATAGCCAAAATGATTTTCAGAAAGCAAATCTGATTATGTCACTCCCCTGTACGAAGATACAGCCACAAACTTGTTAAACACAAAATTATTTACCAAAAGAAAGAAAGGATGAAAAAACTTAAATATTCACAAATATCAGATTGGGCCAGGTGTGGTGGCTCATGCCTATAATCTCAGCACTTTGGGAGGCCAAGGTGGGAGGATCACTTGAATCCAGGAGGTCAAGGCGGCAGTGAGCTAGGACCATGCCACTGTGTTCCAGCCTGGGCAACAGAGTGAGATTCAGTCTCAAAAAAAAAAAAAATTAAGTAAGTAAAAAATACAGATCAGTCAGACACACTTAGTATATCCATTTGATGAGACAGTATGCAGTTATAAAAAACAAGTGTAGTTCCAGCAAATGTTAAGAATCAGATAAATGCTATTATTTAAAAATCTAGAGCAGTGGTGTCCAACGGAAATATAACATAAGCCTCATATATAATTTAAAATCCTTTAGTAGTCATGTTTTAAAAAGTAAAAAAAATTAAATTAATTTTCATAATGTATTTTATTTAATCCAATATTTCAAAAATTTAACATTTCAACATGTAATCAATATAAAAATTCTTATTGGGGTGTTTTATATTCTTCTTTCACACTAAGTCTTCAAACTTGAGTATTTTTTTTGTGGGGGGGCAGGGTTTGGTGTTTTTTTTTGTTTGTTTGAGATGGCGTTTCACTCTTGTTGCCCAGGCTGGAGAGCAATGGTGCAATCTCAGCTCACTGCAACCTCCGCTTCCCGGGTTTAAGAGATTAAACTCTCCTCAGCCTCCCGAGTAGCTGGGATTACAGGTGCCCACCACTATGCCCAGCTAATTTTAGTAGAGACAGGGTTTCACTATGTTGGCCAGGCTGGTCTCAGACTCCTGACCTCAGGTGATCTGCCCCCCTCAGCCTCCCAGAGTGCTTGGATTACAGGCGTGAGCCACAGCGCCTGGCTTGTACATATATATATGTGTGTGTGTGTGTGTGTGTGTGTGTGTGTGTGTGTGTGTGTGTATTTAAACAGTTATGCATTTATTTTCATGTGTAAGAAGACAACCATAACTGCCACGTGAACATGACTGTGTGGATACACAGTTCAGCACAAGGCTAAAGTCAGAAGTGAGTGAAAACAAAATAGCACGTTGATTTAAGTGAAATAACAGAACAGGAGGCCTTTGGTTATGATAAAAATTGTGGAGGTGGTCTGTGAATGCAGAAGTTCAGGGCTCACTTCTCCAGGCTTAGGGTGAGATGCTGTGCTCTGGACTGAAGCCCCTGGAGTTCTACAGAGAAGCTTGCCCAGTGCACGGCCCCTGTGACGTTCTCCCAGGAGCCTGTGGTACAGCAAGACCCCAGGGAGGAAAGCACATTCTGTTTAACTTGTCCATGCTCTGCAAAATGTCTTAGAAGTGATGAAGCAATGATGATGATTCTCTTTCAAAGGGAAGAAGAATCTTCTAGATGTGGCATTGAGGAGGCAGCGGTTACAAGACGGGCTGGGCTACAGGGCCCGAGTGGGTCTTGGGGTCATAACTAGGGGACTGAAGGGACATCTGTCCTGGAACCGTCCTGGAGAAGTGCTTGTGTGTGTTTGGGGGTGGGGTGGTGCATGGCCCCTGTCAAGGCTGCAGGAGGCACACTCGGCCCTGTGCCCAGCATGCAACAGGCTCTCACCCCATGCCTGCTGACTCACTACAGCACCCGGGAGGAGGTGCCAGAAGGCAGATTGGGGGCTGCTAACATCCCGGGGTATCTGTGGACCACCCTCTCCTCCTAGGCCTGGGCCCCAGCCCCACTTTAGCACCACACATTCCAGAGTGAGGAAGTCCAGGGCTGTGCCCCCAATGGGTCCCATTCTTGTACGTGTGCAAACCAAGGGGAGGTGTTTGCTATTACACTGCCTCCCCTAAATCCAAAGAATGTTGATTCCCATCATTTCAACCTTAACATTTTCTTTTCTTTTTCTTTTTCTTTTTTTTTTTTTTAATTTTGAGATGGAGTTTCACTCTTATTGCCCAAGCTGGAGTGCAGTGGCACGATCTTGGCTCACTGCAACCTCTGCTTCCTGGGTTCAAGCCATTCTCCTGCCTCAGCCTCCCTAGTAGCTGGGATTACAGGCAGCTGCCACCATGACTGGCTAATTTTTTGTATTTTTAGTAGAGACAGAGTTTCACCATGTTGGCCAGGCTGGTCTCGAACTCCTGACCTCAGGTGATCCACCCGCCTCGGCCTCCCAAAGTGCTGGGATTATAGGCATTAGCCACCGCGCCCAGCCAACTTCAACATTTTCAAAAGCACTTTTTTTTAATTTTTGAGATGGAGTCTCACTCTGTCGCCCAGGCTGGAATGCAGTTGTGCAAGCTCAGCTCACTGCAACCTTTGCCTCCCACATTCAAGCAATTCTCCTGCCTCAGCCTCCCAAGTAGCTGGGACTACAAGCATGTGCCACCACGTCTGACTAATTTTTGTATTTTTAGTAGAAACGGGGTTTCACCGTGTTGGCCAGGCTGGTCTTAAACTCCTGACCTCAAGTGATCCACCCACCTCGGCCTCCCAAAGTGCTGGGATTACAGGCTTGAGCCACTGTGTTCAGCCTAAAAAGCACTTTTTAAGGGACTTTGGAGTTTTTCCTCAAACAGCTCAACCGTGCAAAGCCATGCTGGTCTCAGCACCCCGACCAGACAGCTACAGTCAGCACTAGGGGTCCAATTGTCCCCGGCAGACTCCCCCCAGCTTTCCCCTGGAAGTGGGGTGGGGCCAGCAAGGAATTCTGGGGGCGACGCTCATGGTCCAGGAACCTTCTGGTGCCCAGAGGGTAAAGGAGGAGTGGAAGTTCTGACGGCGCTCAGCCCCACTGTGTCCTGGAAAGGCTGGGCCGACTTGCAGGCTGGTCCCCATGGAGGCTCAGAAGGAAAGTGTGCAAGAGCAGGTCAGGAAGGGAAACCAAGTCAGGAAAGGGCCCCAGCCGGGACTAGTAGTCCGCTCACTGCCTGACACCCGGCGGGCACTCTCAGCAGCACCCCGCAGCACTCTGCTTCAGGTGGCACGCCTTGCAGAAGAGATGGTTGTTGAGCGGGTAGCAGCCTTGGTCCGTGGGCTCAATAGACAGGAGGATCCTGCAGTCCTCATACCTGTAGCAATTTTCATGGAAGTTTCTTCCAGTGCACTCGATTTTGAAGGCATCTTTCCCATCCCGAGGAATGATGGGATTCTCACAGATGCTGCAGACGGGGGCAAATTTCCTGTAGAAGTCGTCCAGGCAGTACACCTCCTTCTGGCTGCCCGGGGCAAAGCTCTCATCCCCGCTGCACCGGGCGCAGGTCACACACGTGAAGCAGGCGGGGTGGAAGGCCTGGCCCGGGGCCCTGATGATGTGGTCCCGGACCACCTCGCCACACTTGCTGCACTTCTGCAGCGTGTCCTGGCAGCAGGGTTCGCAGAGGGGTCGCATATCCTTCTGATAGAAGCTCTGCCCAGCCAGCTGGCGGCGGCAGGTACGGCACGTGAAGAACTGGACATGGTACTGCCTCTTCATGGCCTCCACAGCCAGCTCCTGGGGGGACACAGTCTTATGGCAGAAGGCACGGATGTCTGTGGACGCCTCTCTCTCAACAGGCTCTGCTGGGGGAGGCGGCAGCTCTTTTTCCACGGGCCAGAGGGGATCCGGCCCAGGCTGGACTGAAGGTCTCTCCGCAGGGGCCTGTGGTGGGGGTGGGGACGGGGGCAGGTGCAGCTGCTCTAAGTCCGCAATAAGTGAGGCCCCCATTGGAGCAGGAGCCTCGTCTTCACAAGGCAGGAGCACCGGCGGGGGCGGTGAAGCGGGTGGGAGGAGGTCCAGGTGGGGAAGCACGTCCTAACCATCCAGGACAGGAGGAGGGGGTGGACACCCCGGGCTGCCCGCGCCCCGGCGGCTCCGACCCCTGTGTATTTTATACTTACAGCATATCTCAATTCAGACACTAAATTTTCATCAGAAATACTTATCTCTGAAGACTTAGGTTTTATAAAGTAAATTTACAGTTGAAAAGCAGATTCACATACCTACATTGTTCCAAAATACTTAAACGTTTTCCAGTAACTAAGTCAAACATCAGTTTTTAAGTTTAAATGTTAAAGATAAATAACATCGTCCAGGGAGAGTGGCTCATGCCTGTAATCTTAGCACTTTGAGAGGCCAAGGTGGGAGGATCACTTGAGGCCAGGAGTTCAAGACCAGCCTGAGCAACACAGCAAGACTCCATCCCTACAAAAAGAAAAAAGAAAAATTAGCCAGGCATGGTCGTGTGTGCTTTGTAATCCCAGCAACTTGGGAGGCTGAGGCGGGAGGATCACTCAAGCCCAGGAGATGGAGGCTTCAGTGAGCAATGAATGCACCACTGCACTCCAGCCTGGGCAACAGAGTGAGACCCTGTCTCAAAATAATAATAAAAATAAATTTAGTTCTTCACTGGCAGTAGCCACATTCCTCCTTCTCCTTCTTCTTCTTTTTTATACAGGGTCTCACTCCGTCGCCCAGGTTGGAGTGCAGTGGCGTAATCACAGCTCACTGTGGCCTGGATCTTCTAGGCTCAGGTGATTCTGGCACCTCAGCCTCACGGGTAGCTGTGACTAGAGGCACGCATCACCATGCTCAGCTAATTTTTTGTACTTTTAGTAGAGACTGGTTTCGCCATGTTGCCCAGGCTGGTTTCAAACTCCCAGACTCAAGGGATCCACTCGCCTCAGCCTCCCAAAGTGCTAGGATTACAGGAGTGGGCCACTGTAGCCACATTTCAAGTGCTCATTTGCCACACATGGCTGGTGGCTACTGTATTTGTTGAATGATACATTTCTAGAGTAATATTAAGACTGAAAGTTCCCTGATTCATTTATAAACTTTGCAAACATTATTATAAAAGTCCTTCAAAGGATAAAAATATTTCATCCTTACCTTTCTTGGAAATAAATGACAAATAAATATGAGCAAATTAAATCAAGGAATATTTTCAAATAATTGTAGCCAAATATAATATATGTATACTATTTTATTTTATTTATTTATTTATTTATTTTTTTGAGATAGAGTCTTGCTCTGTCACCCAGGCTAGAGCACAGTGGCATGATCTTGGCTCACTGCTTCCTGGGTTCAAGCGATTCTCATGCCTTAGCCTCCCAAGTAGCTGGGATTATAGGTGTCTGCCACCACGCCTGGCTAATTTTTGTATTTTTAGTAGAGACCCGGTTTTGCCATGTTGGCCAGGCTGGTTTCGAACTCCTGACCTCAGGTGATCCTCCCGCCCCTGCCTCCCAAAGTGCTGGGATTACAGGCATCAGCCACCTCGCCCAGCCAAATAGAATATATTTAAGAAATGAACAAATGATCCTTCTTGAGTTTTCCTATTGGTATAAGATATCCCATTTACAATCAGCATAAAAAATAAAATACAAATAAATAAGCTTAACAAAAATGTGCAAGATACTTATGAAGAAATGATAAAACTTTGCTAAAGGGCATAAAAGAAGATGAAAAGTGGAGAGGCACAGTCCAAGATCCTGCTAGGAAAGACTAAATATTGTTAAAGATGTGAAGCCTTCTAAAGTTAATCTATAAGTTTAAAGTAAGTCAAATCAAAATGCTAAAGAAAACATTCGTTGGTGGGTGGGTGGGACTAGTTAAACTAATCCGAATGTTTATCTAGAAGAATAAACAAATAAAGAACAGCCAAGAAAATAACGAAGAAAGAATAACTTGTGCTACCTGATATGAAACTGTAGTGATGAAAAACATTGTGGTACTGGAGCAAGAAAAGACAGATCCATGGAGGTAGACCCATGAATTTAGGAGAATTTGGTAAATAATGAAGATGATATTTCAACTTGATGGGGAAAATATTGATTATTTAATAAAAGTTATCCATACATCGGATATCCTTTTAGAAAAAAAAGTAAAGTTGTCTCCTACTATACTCCTAAATAAATTCCAGATAGTTTAAGGATTTGGAAATAAAACAAAGAAACAAAAACTCAAAAGTCCTAGGAGATAGTAGTGGATTACATTTTAAAAGAATTTGGGGGCCAGGCGCAGTGACTGATGCCTGTAATCCCAGCACTTTGGGAGGCCAAGGCAGGTGGATCACGAGGTTAAGAGATAGAGACCATCCTGGCCAACAAGGTGAAACCTCATCTCTACTAAAAATACAAAAACTAGCTGGGCGTGGTGGCACGCGCCTATAGTCCCACCTACTCAGGAGAATCGCTTGAACCCAGGAGGCGGAGGTTGCAGTGAGCCGAGATTGCGCCACTGCACTCCAGCCTGGTGACACAGTGAGACTTGGTCTCAAAAAAAAAAAAAAAAAAAAAAAAGAAAAAAGAATTTGGGGATAGGGAGGTCTTTTGGTAATGTGGTGTTAAGCCACAAGTCATAGAGGAAGTGATTGGCAGGTTTGATTATTTCAGCACACACTACCGGTTACCAGTGAGATGTAAGTAAAAATCTACTGGGACCTTCTGGGAAAGAATTTCCTCCCTGATGAAAATAGTAGATCTGGGGGATGGCAAAAAAAATTCTTTGTCCTTATTCTCTCTTTTTTTTTGTCCTCATCCTTCCTAATCAGAGTATGAGGATATCATATTCAAAGGTGTGGCAGGCATTTTGTCTCACTGAGGGGAGGCACTGTCAACGCACACTAAACGGCAAATCTGAAGGACATACAGAGACTGATGACATCTCTGAACCACCAGACCAATCCTGTGACCTCCTACTTCTGAATTTCAGGTTAACTAAACAGCTAATATTGTATGGTTTAAGGCCGTCACTTGGCTTTTTGTTTGCTCAGGCTGGTACAAATACATAAAAATACACTTTGGGAGGCTGAGGTGGGTGGATCACTTGAAGTCAGGAGTTTGAGACCAGCCTGGCCAACATGAGGGAACCCTGTCTCTACTAAAAATACAAAAATTAGCTGGGCTTGGTGGCACACACCTGTAGTCCCAACTACTCGGGAGGCTGAGGCAGGAGAATAGCTTGAACCCAGGAGCCAGAGGTTCCAGTGAGCTGAGATCGTGCCACTGCACTCCAGCCTGGGTGACAGAATGAGACCCCATCTCAAAAGAAAACCCACCAAATATATAAAAATAAGAACTTTCTATGGCAAAAGATACAATGAACTAAGTGAGAAAAAACAATTTCAACATAGACGTCAAGGTTAATAGCCTTGATATATAAAGGACTTTTACCAATCAATAAGGAAAGAAGAATGCTTTTATAAAATAAAATAGGCAAAACACATGAATAGGTAATTCATAAACTAAATTGGACAAATAAAGATATAAAAGCATGCTTCAACCTCACTGATAATCAAAGTCTTACAGATTGAAACCAAAATGAAATCTCATTTTCAGCCTGGCAAAGATAAAAAAGAGTGATAATGGCCAATGTTGGAGATGGTGTGGAAAATCAGTTTATCTCATACATATTGGTGAAATGTAAATTGGTGCAATATTCTAGAGGACTATTTATTGATATGATCAAATTTTAAAAGATGTATCCTTTTTTTCTCAGCAATCTTCCTTCTAGGAATTTATTTCTAAAGGAGTAATCAGATACATGACCAAGAAGCATACACGATGATGCTTAGTACAGTACTCCTCATAATAGTGAAAAATTGAAAAAATAATAATTCCTTATAATAGTGAAAAATTGAAAAATTAGAATATGTTTCCAACAAGAGGTGATTGGTTAAAGAAATTATGGTCCATTTATTCAATGTAATAGAATTCAATGTAGCCATCAAGAAGGATGATGCATTCTTTTCGGCTCACTGCAGCCTCTGCCTCCTGGGTTCCAGTGATTCTCCTGCCTCGCCCTCCTGGGTAGCTACGATTACAGGTGCATGCCACCATGCCCAGCTAATTTTTGTATTTTTAGTAGAGACAGGGTTTCACCATGTTGGCCAGGTTGGTCTCAAACTCCTGACCTCAGGTGATCCGCCCACCTCGGCCTCTCAAAGTGCTGGGATTACAGGCATGAGCCACCGCGCCCGGCCCGATGATGCATTCTATGTATTGATGTGGGAAGATACTCATGATCTAGTGTTAAGAAGGAAAAAGCAGTTTACCAAACACTATCCAACAATGTGTTAGGAGTCTGTCTATAGAAATGCATGTTTACACATACATAAAAACTTGAAGGATTTTAAAAATTAATAGTGACTATTTTTAGGAAGTGGGATTATGAGGGACTCTTTATTTCTCTGTATTGGTTAAATATTTTATATATCAGAAAAACAAATTTGATTCCGGTTTAGAAAATAAAATGTTTCCAGAAGAAAATGCAATGATGTGCAAAGAAACATAACGTACTGCCAAGTTAAAAAATAGGATATAAGTTAGTGATACAGTTATTTTCACTGTGAGGCTAATTTTCTTGAAAATTATCTAGAAAGTTGTAGACCAAAATATTAATAGTAATTACCTCTTAGGGGGGATGTGGTGGGAATTTGAATCGTTTTTATTTTATTGGTCATACTTCAGTGTTTAAAAAAGGTTTTTAAAGATATTTGTATTGCTTCCACAAAAAAAGTTACTCATAGAAAACAAAAAAAAGGAAGCAAAGAGAAATCGAGGGAGGGGAGGAGGGAAGAAAGGAGGGAGGGAGGGAGGGAAAGAGGGAGAGAAGAAGGAAGGGAGGGAGGGAAGGAGGAAGGACAAATTAAGTCTAACTTGGACCAAGCCCTTTTGGAGGTTGGCTAGGCTCCTGAGACGCCTACAACATGTGTGTTGATTTGATGACATTAAGTACAAACCCGATATTTATTCAACTTTTCGGTCTTTTGTCCTGCCACAAAGGACTTGAGGGAACGCAAAACATATGATAAAACAGAACATTACAAATAAAAAAATTTCAGGATCAAGAGAAAACAGCGATGTACTAGAGAGACAAGAATTGGGAGGAAGCAGGGTCGTACACACTTAGGAAAGTTTAGCTGCAAGGTGAGCTCCCCTGAGATTCCATAGTCCTGGGAGTCCTCTGCTCAGCTTGTTGGAGACCTGTGTATTTGAGATTCTGTACAGGGTGAGTCCAGAAAGAGGATAATCTTGTAGACACATTGTGGGTGTCTGCCGAGCTCATAATGACTCCTTTTCCCTTGCGTGGAAAAGGGAGCTTGCGGTCTAACAGTTAGCTGTGCTGGGTGAACCTCCTCCTAAGCTGAGCAAGTCAGAGTGTCACTCCTAGACATTCCAACCCGGGTCTGAAAGCTGGCCGCAGTCTGGCTGGCCACTTGGGGTGGCTACACAAAGCCAAGCGCACCTCTTAGTTGGGGCCTTAGAGCCCACTTTCCATGAAGAAATAAAGAAACAAGGTTACAAAAACGACGGTATAGTTTTAATGTTTATATTGAATAAATTAATGCTTTTAACACCGAAAAACACAGTGCCACAAAAATGTTCTGTTCACAAGATAATTACAGGATTTATTAAAAATATTAATTCATGGTGCACTACAGGCAGTGTGCTGCAGAGCCAAGGGGCTGTGCCAACCTCCTCCCCTCCCACCACAGGCCCCCGAGGCTGGGGCGAGCAGGCTGAGGAAACTTAAGTGCAGCTGACAGCAGCCAAACGTGGGGTGTTGCTGCTTCTGAGGATTCCTGGGGAGTCCATCTTCCAGGGTTTGGTACCCGGTCCTTCTGAGCCAACTGCCCCTGCCCTGCAACGTACCTGATATACTTCCAACGAGGTCCCTCCTTCACTAATTCCACTTGACGTGGATTTCTACCATGGCAAGCAAAAGAACTTTGCCTGAAAGAACCTGCAGTCATCCCAGATTCTTTTTTTATGGAGACGAAGTCTTGTTCTGTTGCCCAGGCTGGAATGCAGTGGTGCGATTTCGGCTCACTGAAACCTCTGCCTCCTGAGTTCAAGCGATTCTCCTGCCTCAGCCTCCTGAGTAGCTGGGATTACAGGCATGTGCCACCATGCCTGGCTAAGTTTGTATTTTTAGTAGAGATGGGGTTTCACCATGTTGGCTAAGCTAGTCCTGAACTCCTGACCTCAGGTGATCCGCCCGCCTCGGCCTCCCAAAGTGCTGGGATTACAGGTGTGAGCCACCGCGCCTGGCCCCAGATTCTTATTTTTCAGGGGAGGTCGGTTTTTCCCTTTGTGACCAATTCCCCTCCCAGGGAGAAAGACAATTTTCAGCTTCCGTGGTCCCAGACTGCAGTGAGTTCATGCATATTCTCCCAAGGTGGAGGAAGATTGTTTAAAAGATGCTGAGTGGCAGGGAGAAGAATGTCACCTAAACATCCCTCTGCCACAGAAGGAGAGGTTTGGCTGAGCCTCAAGGACATAGGTTCAGACAAGGGCAGTCCCGGCTGCCTTACCGCGAGATGGAGTCATCTTCCTGGAGCTGGAGGATGTCACGGAGCTTTGGGATCCTCCTTCATCCTTCAAAGTGTCTCCTAGGGTGCGTTTGTCTTAAAACTAGCTTCAGAGGTGAGGGAAAGAAGGTGAGATGAGGAATTTGTCCCCAAGTGGTTTCTTGGCTGACTCTGCTCCCTGGTAAACTGGAACAGTAGTAGCTGGTTATGCTTATGATCTCATTTCTCTGTGGTTCCCAAGGTGCCTAGAGTGAGCCTTAAATAAAGTAGAATGCTGGCCGGGAGCAGTGGCTCACTCCTGTAATCCCAGCACTTTGGGAGGCCGAGGTGGTCGGATCACGAGGTGGGGAGATTGAGACCAGCCTGGCCAACGTGGTGAAACCCCGTCTCTACTAAAAGTACAAAAATTAGCTGGGCGTGGTGGTGCGTGCTTGTAATCTCAGCTACTAAGGAGGCTGAGGCAGGAGAATCGCTTGAAACCAGGAGGTGGAGGTTGCAGTGAGCCGAAATCACGCCACTGCACTCCAGCCTGGAGACAGAGCAAGACTCCATCTCAAAAAATAAAAATAAAATAAATAAAGTAGATGCCCATTAAACCTTTTGTGGTCCCCCTTGCTGCCAGCAAGACAAGGCCTTTGCCTCTTTGCTCAGGCAGCTCCAGAGGATTGCTCTGGGGCCCTCTTATCCTCCCATTCCTGAATTCATTCATTTAGTCAACAAATACTTCCTGAGCACCTGTTCTGTGCTAGGCTCAGTGTAGGTGCTGGGACTACAGGGGTGATAAATAAGATGGACATGACCCTTTCTTTCTTGGAACTTAGATCTTTCTGTCCACTTTTCACCCCTTCCCCCAAATATATATCAAATAAAAACACAGAAACTTAAGAGAGAATTTCTCCTGCCACATGACAGAATACCAAGCACATCGTTTCAGAGAGAGAGAAAGAGAGAAAAGGAGAAACTAGAAAGAAAACTCCCAGCTGTATGGGAGTCTCCCAGAACAAGGGTCCCATTTTTGTTACTCCTTGTTCAAAAATCTCATGTCCCCCACTCAGTACACACACACACATACGTATAATACATATGTTACTTGCACCGTTTACATTCATAACATGTACAGCTGGAGAGCAGCGAAGTCTGCCTCCCACATTTTACAGAACGGATTGGCAGCTGGGACTGAAGGCGATAGAAATAAGCTATTGATCAAGGGTTAAGAAAGTACTGCCACTGGGATCCTGTGATGCTTGCAAGCTGAGGGCAGCAGTAAAGTGCTACACAAATGCAATAACATTTATAACCCGAGGGCAAGTGCTTTGTACATGAAAATAAAAAGCTGATCCTCTGTCTAATTCTTTCCCCCTCCTTGGGCTGGGCTGGCCTTTGACAAGTGCATGAACAGGAGCCTAAGCGGGGTCACCTGGATGGGCTGATTTCTGACTCTCTGGGCCAGTGACTGGATCTGTTTTTCCCATGTTGGTGCCTTCTGGTGGTCTGGGAAGTTACCTACACATTTAAAGCTTCTCTGGGAGAAGCAGGGAAGCAGCCACATTCCACCACCCTGAGAAACCACTTAATGCCTTGGCCCCATGGGTCTTGCTTGGTTTGCTTTGCGGACGTTGTCTGCTCCTCTTGGGAGCTGAACTTTTCACTTGTATGGATGCTGGAAATCACTCTTTAGAGCTTCCTTCTGTGACATTTGTAAAGAGGAGAAATCCTATTTTTGGGAGAAATAGATAGAAAAGAGAGACAATTCTGGAGGTACTACAAAACAGTAAATGGACCATGATGACTGGACCCGAATAAGCCAGCTTTTTCCTCCAAAAGTCACCAGATCAGTGCTTCCTGACACGTGCCCCCAGAAACGCCAGTCCTGTAAGAGACACCATTAAAATGGGTCAAAATAAATTGAGACTCAAAATAAATTGAGAAAAAGCTTCCTCTTGGAGATTCCTATTGCATCTTTGCAATTTAAAGGCTCTGAGAAGCCCTGCAGTAAAGGAGTTTAACTTTGCTTAGCAGTATCTCCCAGATTTACTTGACTGCCAAACTATCCCCGCCCTTAAAACTTCTTTCATCCTTTCTCTTTTTATTACCTAATGCCTATTAACAACATACTTTAGGAAAGCACTTACAGAAGGATTTGATATTTTGCCTGCCATGTACTGTATGCCTTCATGTGCCTTCAAGACACTTTGCACGAATTATTTCTACCCACCAAAATAGCTCTGCCAATATTATTATCCTATTCTCATTTCACATCCTATCCCATCCTATTTCCTAGATAAGACATATGAGGCTAAGAGTGGATAAGTCACCTGTCCAAGGCCCCTCAACTAAGTAGTAACTTAGTGAAGATTCTTTTTTTTTATTTTTATTTTTTGAGATGGAGTCTCGCTCTGTTGCCCAGGCTGGAGTGCACTGGCATGATCTTGGCTCACTGCAACCTCCACCTCCCATGTTCAAGCAATTCTCCCGCCTCAGCCTCCCAAGTAGCTGGGATTACAGGCATCCACGACCATGCCCAGCTACTTTTTTTGTATTTTTAGTAGAGTGGGGTTTCACCATGTTGGCCAGGCTGGTCTCAAACTCCTGACCTTAAGTGATCTGCCCGCCTCGGCCTCCCAAAGTGCTGGGATTATAGACATGAGCCACCGAGCCTGATCAAACTTAGTGAAGATTCTAACCCAGGCCTTTCCAACTCCAAAACTCACATTTTCCATCATACCACACATCTTGTTATATAGGATGAAGACTGACTTCTTTTTTTGCCAAAGAGAAAATGAGTTGCTCTTCTTTGGAGACCTTTGTCTCAGGATCCATCCATTCTCCTCAAGGCCTTGCCTGGTTCATCTCAACGTAGTGCTACCCCACACTTCCTTCCTTGTGGCTCATGGGAATTCCCATTAGAAAGCAGAAGCTGAATCTAAGTAGCTGTGGGCAGGCATCCCAGTTTTGCCATGTACTATTTATGTGACCTTAGGCAATTTACTTAACCCCTCGGTGCCTCAGTTTTCTTATCTATAAAATTTTAAATATGTACAAAACATCTGGCCCAGAATGCTTAGTAAATGGCAGTTGTTATTTTTACCATTAATAATTAACAATAAGCCGTCATGAGAAAAAAAATACTTATTAGGAAAATGTTAGGGATTCCTACTTCAAATCAACTATCCTGGTGTGATAAGATACAGATATTTTAAGATGAAAAAACGGAAGCCTGTTAAGTCAGTGACTTTTTCAAGTGCACAAGTAGCTAATAGCAGAACTGGGACCTGGATTCCCGGAGCACAGAAATTTAAGACACCCTGATGTGTCAAAAAGCTAAATGCACCTGAGAAAACAGAGAAACTTAAATTTATAGCTTTGGGAGCTATTTCCATGAAATCCAATCAGCAATGAAGATCCAATTTCCCTGAAATTATACGTTTGGTAAAATAAAAAATAAAAACTTTAATGGAAAATATTAGATCTGAACACACCTTCATTTGTTTTCTTTCTTTTTTTTTTTTTTTGAGACAGAGTTTCGCTCTTATTGCCCAGGCTGGAGTGCAATGGCACAATCTCGGCTCACCGCAACCTCTGCCTCCCAGGTTCAAGCGATTCTCCTGCCTCAGCTTCCCGAGTAGCTGGGACTACAGGCATGCGCCACTACGCCTGGCTAATTTTGTATTTTTTAGTAGAGACGGGGTTTCTCATGTTGGTCAGGCTGGTCTCGAACTCCCGATTGCAGGTGATCCACCCGCCTCGGCCTCCCAAAGTGCTGGGATTACAGGCATGAGCCACCATGTCCAGCCCACCTTCATTTCAAGAGTTCATTTTTAAAAACTGGAAACAGGGCCCACTTGTATTGGCTACTGTCATATTTTATTTGTTTGATTTTTCTGGTTATTCATAATTACTCAGGACAAAACACGTTTCTTTAAAACAACATTTTTGTAAATTGAATTAGGTTCCAATAACATGTGAACATAAAATTTCTGTGTTAATGTTGTCATACTCTCCGTTGGTTTTGCTCTGTGATCTTTTTGGTTTTGCCTAAGCTGCTGAGGCAAGGACACTCCAGTATGAAATGAGCTGTCTTTAGGCACAGTTAGTCACAAAACTTAGGTCTGAGCGTTTCCACTTGAAATGAATCCGTTCCCATCAACCCACTGACGTTTATCAAAGGAAATATAATATTCACCCAGATTGGAATTGGAATGAGTTTTTCTTTTCTATTAGATGAACAGTGACAACTCAATGTACTTGGAAAAATAATGTTTATACTTATGCTAATTGAGGAACTAGTATTAAAATAAAGTGTTTGTGGCTCTGAAACTCATAATACCTGTACCTTCAGGGAGTCAAAACTCCCCAAGTGGCTATTGGAATATGCTTCTTGTTTTTAAATTCTGACTCTCACTAGGTTAGAACATAATGTTTCAGGTCCCTTCTTCTCTGTGTCATCTCCATATCCACCAATGCAATTCTTAGACCCAAGCCCCCAACCTACTATTACCTCTAGTTTTGTCCACCAACCCAGATGCTGAGATGGCTGAAGTAGTGTCATTTTAAATTTAATCCATTCCTCTTTCTTTCACTCACAGCACCCATTTTCAGTAAACTTGGTCATCTGCAACTTCTATCTCATCAGTTCTCTGTAAGCAAGGAGAGGGAAATGAATGGTATGGCATGTCCATTTTACAGGCTGGAACAATGTGGACTGTACCCCTCCCATCTCATCAACATTATAGTGCTGAAGAAATGTGGGGTTTTTTTTGCATAATGAAGTGTAAAACACAAATTATCAACCTCTGTTTAGCGCTAGGATAATAAGGCTTTCATCAAAGAAGGATACAGCTACAGAAATGATGCTTTTTGTCTTAAGGTTTTGAATTCTGAGAACCTGGAAGACATTAAAAATTTTTTTTTATTTTTTTATTTTTTTGAGACAGAGTCGCTCTCTGCCGCCCAGGCTGGAGTACAGTGGTGCAATCTCAGCTCACTGCAATGTCCGACTCCTGGGTTCAAGTGATTCTCCTGCCTCAGCCTCCCGTGTAGCTGGGATTACAGGCACATGCCACCATGCCCAGCTAATATTTTGTATTTTTAGTAGAGATGGGGTTTCGCCATGTTGGCCAGGTTGGTCTCGAACTCCTAGTCTCAATTGATCTGCCCACCTCGGCCTTTCAAAGTGTTGGGATTACAGGCATGACCCACCGCGCCCGGCCCATTTGTTATTTAAATTGTTCTCCTAACATTGCCGCTTACGAGGAAATAAAATCCTATTTTAGAGAGAAAGAAAATGGGGCTAAAAAGAAAGTAATTGGCTGGACTTAAAATGAGAGAATAAAATCTAAGCCCTCTGCTTCTCCATTCCCACTGCTTTGGGGTGCGGTTCTCCATGTGTTCTAGCTTGAATGCTCACAGCTGGTTGGCTTAACACAAATGGGTGTCAGGTTCATTCAAAGAGCACGACCTCAGTATGTAAATTATTCAGCAGTGAGGTTGATGTGACTATTTATAGGTCATAAATCAGTTATAAACTCAGAAATATGAGAACAGTTCCCTAAATAGGCAATTGTTACCTATCCAGGGCTTAATTTAAATATGCAGGGCTGAAGCTGGGCATAATTTCCTGTCTGACACCCTTTACATTGGGCTTGGGAGAAGTGGATAGGAAAGGTGCATTAATTATAGCAAGACATCAGGGCTGAGTCCAGGTATGCCAAAATAGATTTGTATCTTGGGCAAGCTCCAAACAGTTGCTAATGACTGCCTGATGCACTGTGTTGAGAAGGATTCTGAGGTCAAGTTTAGGCCCTGGGAAACCCACAGATTAGCCATCCCCGGTTTGCTTAGTTCCTATCCTTTACCCATCAGCAAGAGAAGTTTCATGAAAGTAAGAACACTGGGTCACATTTTTTCACCATAATTGTCCTCCTGGATTGTGTATGCTGATAGATCTCCTGCAACCAATCAAGGAATGAGAAACTAAATCGCCTCCTTTCAAAGATGAGAAGCCATTTACAGGATTGAGACAGTCAAAAAGAAATGAGAGACCCAAAGGTCCAGCTGTAACAAATCAGGTTACTGGCTGGATTTGGGGGAACTCCCTGTTGCCATCATCCAAAGGGGGAGACTCCTCTGTCAGGTCTCGGTTCCGAGACCCAGTCTGCCCCATTCTTTTCCCCTTCGGTACTGTAGTATCTCTTTCTCTCATTCAGTATTCAGGTTGACTCAAATGCGCACTTACATCTTATCGCAGTGTGAGGGAATGCCGGGCCTAAAGATACACATTTGAGGTCATTCATAAGCTATAAGGTGCTCCAGTCACTTGGCCTTGGATAAAGCCCTAAACGAGTCCTCCTCCTTTAGTGCACAGGCCTTTCAAGACTCTGGCCTCTGGGATTATGATTCCTGTGGCTGCAGTTTCTCTCGTTCCTCTCTATAGACCCACATCAAACAAGCAATCACTCTTAGACCTTACTCTGGTCTCTAAAAAAAAAAATCAGGTCATGTCCTGTTTGGATGCTAGGCATACTCCTGTGGCTTTCTGTTCAGAACCGAGCTATCTTCACAGCTTTTTGGTTCATCACCCTGCCTGCTGCCCCCAGATACCCTGCTTTCTCTCATTCTGTAGGCTTTCCCACAGACATACCCTCCTTGCTGGTGTGAGTCCTGGGGCTCTGTGGCAGCATCCCTTAGCTATTCTGATGCAGCTCCCTTGCTGTGCAAAATTTCCTTTTTTTTTTTCCCCTAAAATAATTCTTGAGATGTCCATAACTTCTTTTCTCTCATCCCTTGGGGCATCATACTATATGGAAAATGATTTACTTCTATTGAGAGCTTACGTGCCAGACTCACCCAAACCTTTACACATGTTATTTTGCTTAATCCAAACAACAGTCCTATTATTCTCCCCATTTAACAAATGAGAAGACTGAGGCACTTGAAGTAAATTGTCCAAGATCATACATCAAGTGGCAAATGGTGATATAACTTTTGCATTGGCAATCTGATTCCAATTTATCATTTTGCAATATCTCCATTTGATAATTCAAAATCACATTTGCATATCAAAGGCAATTACTATCTTGTCTGGGAAATCTCCACTGTGTTCTTTCAGATTCGTGATGCCCCTTTCTATCCCCGCGCCCCAATGATAAAACACGTTTATTACAGAATTCTCTAACCTTCGAGAACACCTCTGTATAGGTGTGTTAACTTTGTGAAAATTTACGAAAATGTACTTGTGATTTGTTCACTTCTCTTTATGAATGTTATACTTCAATTAAAGAGTTTATGTAAAAGATACTGTCAGATCCCTGAGTATCTCACCACCTGCACTCAGTTTTAGGACTGCAATGCAATTTGCCAGTGCTTTGCGGAAAGGTGAATTTTGGGATAACACCTAGTCATATTTAAATGTTTATGACTGGACAAACTGCTAGCTGGGCATGCTACGTCTGACCCCATGTGCTTTATGTAATACAGAGGTTGTAAAAAACTTATTAGAACATTATTTCAATGAGGGGAGAACCTTATGTTATTGTAAGAAACGTGTGCCCTAACTGATTTCACTTGGAAGACAGAAGGTTTTATATACTACAGTTTAAAGCTGCTTTCACTTGGTTGGAATTTGGGATGTAATATATTTCAAACAGGGTTTCACTCATATGGGTATACTAATTAGTTTTTCAGGTTTCCAGGTTTCAATGCTCACAGAAAAGAAACAATAAAAATAAAATACGTAATTGTGCAATGTGATACAAATTACCAAGGAACCAAAGTAATATTTATCAAGCACGTATGACACACATTATCTCATTTAACCTCCATAACAACTCTATAAAGTAATATGATTATTTCTGCATTTTGCACATAAGGAAACTGCCGCTTACAATAGCGCATCATTTGTCCAAGGTCAACCCGGGACTGTTTGATTCCAGTTTTACTAATTCCTCAAGAATAAGCCCTGCTAACTTCCCGTTAACTGCTTGGACCCTCCAAACAATCCAGTGAGGCCGAGTGCAGTGGCTCACACCTGTAATCCCAGCACTTTGGGAGGCCGAGGTGGGCGGATCACCTAAGGTCAGGAGTTCCAGACCAGCCTGGCCAACATGGTGAAACCCTGTCTCTACTAAAAACACAAAAAATTAGCCAGGCATGGTGGCGGGCGGCTGTAATCTCAGCTACTAGGGAGTCTGAGGCAGGAGAATCGCTTGAGCCTGGGTGGAAGAGGTTGCAGTGAGCCGAGATTGCGCCATTGTACTCCAACCTGGGCAACAAGAGCGAAACTCCGTGTCAAAAAAACAAAAACAAAACAATCCAGTCGATTAAGTATTATTATTTTCCCCATTTTGGGGGAGGAAATAGGTCCAGAAAGATAAAGTGTTTAGTTGGATATTTGCAGAACCCAGACTCACTCGCAGTTTCTCAGCCTCCAAATCTGGTAACACCTTACACTAGATAACACCATTGCTCAGGCCCACAGTGTAATTTATTTATGTTGATAATAGATATCAAAGACTAGACATTGAAGGTGGAAATAACAAGATGATAAAATTCTTTCAAATCCCTGGTCTTGGAAGAATATCCCTGTGATACATTTAGCAGTTCAGCAGCTTTAAGGCAGACATTTCTATAGCTCTAATTGCAGCCATTTTAGTTCCTAACAAACAGGTCCAGCCCAGGCCCCCAATCTGCATCAGTTACTTCTGGAAAAGGAGTCAGGATCTGCTTCTTGGAGGGTAGAGTCACACACATACAAATGCACACGTGAATCTCTCCATGGCGTTTAGTCTAGTTCTGTGGTTCTCAACCATCCCCTCCCAACGAACCCAACCCCAGTGCAGTTTTACACTCCTCCCACTGGACTCCACCCTCACCCTGTACACACCGGATATTTGGCAATGCCTGGAGATACTTTTGGTTGTCACAACTGTTGGGGAGCTGCTACTGGCCTCTAGAGGCCAAGGATGCTGCTAAAAGTCCTACAATGCCCCCTACAACAAAAAAATTACGTGGCCCAAAATGTCAATAGTGCTGAGGTTGAGGAGCCTTGGTCTAGTGAATGCTGTTAAACACACACACAACTGAAATTACTTAGGATTGAATTGACCTTGGAGATTATGGCAAAGTAATGAAATTGAAGGTATTCTCTAGAGTGGACTGTTTATCTACCAATATACATTTACAAGTTATATCTGACCCATTTCCAATTATGATTTTGGCTTACCACAAATGCACACACAAGACAGTTACAGTGAAGATTTTTCAAAAAGATCAGAAACCATCGAGACAGTGGGGAGAAAGAAAGTACATTCAACTTCTGCTAGTCACTGGGGATTTTCTGTCATAATTCTTTAAAAATCACATTGATATGTCTTCTCTACTTACTTAAGCACTTTGTTGGTACAAGCCAGGTTTTCATTTATTCCAGCCCAATAAGAATTAGAAAAAGAAGACTTGATGAATTCTAATATTTACCTTCCTGCCTCAGTGAAGAAATAGAACTCCCAGGTTTTCAGACAGAGTTCAAATCTTCTTTGGGCTGACCTTTTAAGAGATAATGAGGTTACTTTTCAGCCTGGAGCAGAAAACAGGACAGTGGTTGAGTGAAGTGGGAAGGGTGGCCGGGTTGGATGAGAAAGCCATCAATCAGTCCTTTCCAGGGGGGGTTTCATTGCTTTATTTGAAATACTGTCAAGTTCCAGAACATCAGAGAAAATCATATACATGTACAAAAATACCTTAATATCCATGGGTGTGGTTATGTGCTGTGCTAGTATAAAACTGTAAAATAAGAAAAATTCATTCTCTATTATAGTATATAAGGACTCTATAATAATATAATATGTAATGCCTATTACCTTTTTTCTATATTTACAGTGTATCTGCATTAGACTAATAGTGCAAATAGGAAGGAAGCTATTTTACTATTTTGAGTGGCATTTTACATTGTCCCATAGAACCCCAATATTAATATTAATTAAATCCTTTTTTTTTTTTTTTTTGGAGATGGAGTCTCGCTCTGTTGCCCAGGCTGTAGTGCAGTGGCGCAATCTCAGCTCACTGCAACTTCTGCCTCCTGGGTTCCAGCGATTTTCTTGCCTCAGCCTCCCGAGTAGTTGGGACCACAGGTGCCTGCTGCTACACCCGACTAATTTTTTGTATTTTAGTAGAGATGGGGTTTCACCATGTTGCCCAGGCTGGTCTTGAACTCCCAAGCTCAGGCAATTTGCCCGCCTCAGCCTCCAAGTGCTAGGATTACAGGCGTGAGCCACCGCGCCCGGCCTAATTAAATACTTTTTATTGAACAAAAGTTATTTAGATTCCTACCTCATATCTCGCACCAAAAAAAATTTTAAAGATAAATGTAGCAAAGTAAATGGAAAAAATAGAAACCATAAAAATACAAGAAGAAAATTGTAAGTAGTTTTCTAATCTTGGAGTTTGGATAACTTCTTGAAGCATAGAACAGGAGGCAGGAATATGTAAGAAAATACTAATTTGAGTACTTTTACAAAAATTTAAAACTGCACATTTGATATTTAATAACATTCAAGATTTGGGTTTTAACCTTTGTTCAGCAGTTTTTGTTTTTTCGTTTTGAGGCAGGGTCTCGTTCTGTTGTCCAGGCTGGAGTGCAGTGGTCCAATTGTGGCTCACTGCAGTAGCCTTTAACACTTTGGTTCAAGTGATCCTCCCACCTCAGCTCCCCACTAGTAGCTTGGATGGGGTCTTGCTATGTTGCCCAGACTGGTGTTGAATTCCTGACCTCAGGTGATCTTCCTGCCTCTGTCTCCCAAAGTACTAGGATTATAGGCCTGAGCCACTGCGCCTGGACTGTTCAACAGGGTTTTGATGGCAATTAAATGGGTTGGAAGGGTAACTAGGTGGCAGGAGAGCAAATTTTAAGTTATTGTGCACCTGCTATGATTATGTCATTCATGTCTAAAAGTTGAATGTCTCAAAGCAGCTTTTGACAGTAAACTTTCAATTTCTAGCTTATTTCTGGAATTTCTGCTAACATACTAATTGTTATCTTTTTTCCTTTAACACTTAAGCCATTTAGCCCTTACAACAATCTCACAAGGTATTATCTTTATGTTTAAGGAACACCAGGGTTCAGAAAGCCTAGGTATTTTGTATAAGGCCACAGAGCTAGTGTGTGCCCACAGAGTGCCTGTGTCAAGCACACAGAGATGCTGAGAGCTTGAGAAAGACCCACCAAAGCTTATAATGCCAACCTCACAATCTTCAATCAACACGAGAGTCCCTGAATCCCACATGCACATCTGCACCATCAAAATACTGGGATGCCACCTGTTCACCTTCTTGAGTTATGTTAACTAAGAAAATGAATTTAAGGGCACAGTGAAAATGCATTATACAGTTCTATGTGCCAGGACTGTGCTAAGCACGTTACATGAATTATTTTATTCAGTCTTCTCGAGAGCCCTACTTAGTAGGGTTTTTGTTGTTGTTTTTGAGACAGGGCCTCACTCTGTCACCCAGCTGGAGTGCAGTGGAGCAATCTCAGCTTACTGCAGCCTCAACCCCTTGGGCTCAAGTGATCCTCCCACATCAGTCTCCAGAGTAGCAGGGACTACAGGTGCGTGGCACCATGCCCAGCTAATTTTTGCACATTTTGTAGAGATAGGGTTTCACCATGTTGACCAGGCTGGTCTTGAACACCTGAGCTCAAGGGATCCGCCAGCCTCGGTCTCCCGAAGTGCTGGGATTACAGGCATGCAACACCTTGCCCGGGGCTGGAAGTAGGTATTCTAAGCTGCAATTTACAAGATAGGAAAACTGAGGCTGTTAACAGAGATTAAGCAGCCTGCCCCAAAGTGCCTTAGTTGAAGGAGCAATACTTCCAGAGTATTTTTTTTCCATTAAGTTTGGTAGTTACAGGAGTGTTAGACACTCTTATATTCAGCTAAAAATATTTTAATTAAATATCTAGACAATGACTTTGCATAACATTGATTTTTGGTTGCTACCACACATCTTAATAACCAAGCACCCTTTGGTACAAGTTCAGTGGTTAGTCCACCTTAAGTCTTTTTTTATAGCAAGGATTGGTAAATGACAGCCCGTGGGCCCCATCCAGCTCACTGCCTGGTTTTGTGAAGTCCCCAAACTGGGAATGTGGTGCTTTTTAAAAAATTTTTCTTAATGACTGAAAAAAATCAAAAGAATATTTCAAGACATGTGAAAAGTACATTAAATCCAAATGTCAAGGCCTATAAATACAAATTGTATTAGAACATAGCCAGATTCATTCATTTACATGTTGTCGTATAGATGCTTTTGGGTTATAACAGCATAGAGTGGAGAAGTTGTGACAGGGACTGTATGGGATGCAAAATCTACGATATTTACTATCTGGGCTTTTACAGAAAAAGTTTGCTAACCCCAGTTCTATAGCATGATACAATTAGAGGTTCTGGATTTTTTTCTATGAAATTCCAAAAAAAATTTTACCTTCTTTTTCCAGAAAGAACACCAAAGCAGTCTTCCTATGAAAAAAGGTTGATAGCCTGGGATGATTTGAAATCACACCATTAGGTTATAGTTCCAGTGACTGGCCAGTGGGTCCAGCTTGAAAGACCCCCTCCCTCATTTTAAATACATTACAGTTAGCTCTAGATGGTAAAGCTGGGTCTTACTACCCAACCTGTCCTCCCGTTATTCATCTTGACTGCGTTATGGGTTTAGTTTCACAACATTATGAGTTCATCTAGGCTTCTTGAATCATTTATAGGAATTTTCATTTTCACTCTCAAACTCTTACACTTTCGCTGCTGTGAATTTTTTTTAACATAAAGCTCAGACTACTAAATGGCCTACACATGTACCATAAAGTCCATATTTTATTTTTTAAGAAATCAGAATTTTTAAAAATTGCTTTTTCTTGAGAAACTAAACTTAATTTTGCAGGTCACGAAAGTAAAAAAATACCTTCATATCCAATGATCTCAAAGCACCTCTTGTGAAAATACATAACAAGGTAATAGAAATATTATTTAATGGAAAAGATGTGACTAGTAAAGTCCAAGGCTATTTCTGGTTCTGCGAATGACTCACTTTGACTTTGGGCAAATCATCTCACCACTGTTGCTCTTTATCTGCAAAAACTGGATTTCATGCCTATGGGAGTTGCATGGCTAATCAATGCCTGGAAAATGCGTAGTGGCAGTTGCTACAAAAGTGCTGAGCTTTAAAAACAAAACCCCCCACCCCCCCATTTGTATTCAGTTGAGGTTGGGGTTTATTGTTATTTAACATTCGAAGGCCAACACTATGTTAAGTCCAGAGTGCTGCACAGATCAGATAATATCACTGTCCAGTAGGGGTTTTTTTTAATCTAAGATTTTTTACTTTTAAAAAATTTATTGTGGTTGGGGGTTTAGAATCCGGTAATACATCCATACAAAAACGTTAAGCTTCAAGTTGAAAACTATCGATTCGAAAATCTAAATAAACCCCCTCCAAAAAAAAAAAAAAAGGCCCTCCCCCGCCCCGCCAAGAAATCTCTCAAAACAAGAATTCTTCTGATGTTTTTCTCCTCCCTGCAATTCTCCATGTTACAGTCCTTGGAGGTAGAATAGGCATAAAATACTTTCACTAATAAAATATGACAAACCGCCGGATTATACGTGGCCGATTCCCAGTGATTGCCCTGCTACACAAAGCAGAAAAGTAAATGCCATCATCCCCCTTAGAACAAAAGAACTTAGGAATAAAAAACATGGAGAGGGGGGAGAAAGCAGCAATAAATAAAGGTGAGCGAAGGCCCCCGTCCCCCGCCCCTCCCGGGAGCGAGTGCTGGACTAAGTACTGCTAATAAAGTGGTTCAAGGGTAGTTATTTGGAAAGGGGGCGGGGTGGCGAGGGGAGGGAGCGGGCGAGCGGCGGCCGGGGATTGCATGTTGCATTCGACTTGAGGTTGCATCTTTCTCCTGTTGCCTGGACCACGCTCCCCCATTGCAGTGCTTCCCCATCACTTCTCCTCGCTCCTGCCCCTCACGGCTTTCCCCCCCCCCCTTCAAACTGCTGTTGCACTGGAGGGAGTTGGGGCCGCTCTGGAGCCCCTTTGCAGCTCCCGCCGGCGGGAGGGGGGAGTTGGGCTCGGGCCGCGGAGTTGGGGGGGCCGCCGCGGGCTCCGGCCTCGCCTCGGCTGCGGCTGCACGGGAGCCGAGCTGCGGCGCTGCACGGGCCCCGGAGTTTGGCTGCCTTCGCCGCCGCTCGGTGCTCGGCCCCATCACCGCCGCCGCCGCCGCCGCTGCACTGGAGTTTGGCTGCCGCTGCCCTACTTCACTCTAGTTTAGTTTCACTCACTTTACATCCGGGTTTTTTCCCTAGGCAATGGGTGCCGCAGCACACCCCGTTCCTTAGGCAAAGTGAAATAAATTCGCCGCACCGACACGTCAAGTAGTCCGCCCGCCCGAGCGCCGCCGCGGGCCCCCGTCGCCCCCCCCGCCGACGCCCCACCGCCCCCGGTGGGGGGACCCGAGCGTCCCGGGAGCCGCGGGCCGAGGCGCGGGGGCCCGGGCCGGCCGCCGTACCACTCCGCCCGGCGGCCCCCTCCCTCCCCGCCGCGGCCCGCTCTCCCCCGGCGCCTCCTCTCCCCTCGCCCTCGTCCCCGCTTTCCCAGCCCCAGTCCCTCTCGCCCGGCTCTCGGGAGCGGCGGGGGCGCGCACGGCGGCGGCGGCGGCGGGCCGGCGGGGCCGCGCGGCGGGCTCCCGCGCGGGCGAGTGTGTCTGGGCCTGGGCGGAGGGATCCCCGGGCTGAGGCGGCGGAGGTGCTGCGGCCCGGGGCCGGGTGGTGAATGGGCTGGTGGTGCTCGCTGCTGCTGCTGAGAGGAGGAGGAGGATGAAGAGTTGGGCTTGTTTGTCTCCTACAGTTTCTCTCCTGCTGCTCTGATTCCCCCCTCCCGATTCCGGCCCGGGGCCTGTGTGTGTCCCTCCTGGAGGAGGAGGAGGATCCAGTTCCTCCCCCCAACCCCCTCCTCCCCACCCCCCCTTGCCTGGGGAAGAGGAGGAAAGAAACAGCCCAGAGAGAGAGAGAGAGAGAGAGTGAGTGAGAGAGAGAGGAGAGGAGAGGAGGAGGAGGAGGAGGGAGAAGGGAACAACCTACCATCTTAACACACTAATATCTAAAAAGTGCGAGAGGCCCAGAGCAGCAGCAGAAGCAGCAGCAGCAGCTCCAGCTTCTTCCCTCCCTCCCCATGAAGAAGAGTTCCCTCCTCCTCCTCCTCCTGCTTCTCCTGCTCAGAGTTCCTGCCTCCAGCTGCCAGGGGGGACAGCCAGCCAGCAGCAGGAGGGTGCAGTATCCCAGCTTTTCCATTCTCTCTTCTTCTCACTCTCCTCTCTCTCTTTTTTTCTGGAGTAGCTCTATTTCCCCTCCCTCCCCCTTCCCCCTCTGCCTCTCTCCTCTCTCCCTCTGTCTTGTCGCTGGTGTTTGTCTCTGGGAGGATCAGGGGCTGCCTGCTTGGAGTTTGTTGTGGGGGGAGGTAGGGGGAGGGGAGGGGTGTGTGGGAGGGAGGAGGGAAAGGGGGGTGTTCTCGTCAGGACCCCTCAGTCAACTTGAGATTTGAGCAATAACTTCCCCTTCGGGGCGCCCCCCTGCGTGCCCTTCCCATACCTCCCCCC